>NC_000003.12:156735877-157038907 GCF_000001405.40 Homo sapiens
TTATCCATGGTCTAGTTATCCATGAGCTATTACTGTACTTATTACTCCCTGCATATACAAGGCCATATTTCTCTTTAATAAAGTAGTTTTAATCACATATCTTTGAGATCTTGTTTGAAGTTTGTGTTTTCACCTTCTGGCAGAGACATGCTAGAGGACACTGGAAGTGATGTCATCAATATAAAACAAAGCCATGGCTCCTTGGAGGACCATCCAGACATAGAGATACTAGATGAATATCAAGCCAGGAGAAATCTCTAGTCTTAACTGTGCAAAAACAAATCTCACAGAGGAATAAATTTACCTCTGACCCTGTAAGAAGGGTAATGGAAAATAATGATATGTTTCTGGGTTGGAAGTTTGGCATTGGCTGCATTCATCATAAGGGGGTCAGTGTAATATCATGTAAGTGTCCATTATGAAGCCAGATAGATACAGATGTGCTTTTGCAGTCAACTGTGGTTGATTATGCTAGCTTAGCACCATTCACTCTTCTTTTGCTAACAGCACTCCAGTCCAGAAGTGGGTAAGTGACTGAAGCCTGGCCAATCAGAATAACCTATCTTAAAGGGCTCACAGTGATTGTTTCAGATATAAATATTCTAACCAGTGAAAGCTTACTGGGATTTTATTGGTGCTAACAGAAAAGTCTCCTTTTAAACTGGAGATGCAAGCCTAAAGCTGCTTGTGGCCATCTTGCTGATCTGAGCATCAAACAGAACCCCATGTAAGCCCTTTTATCCAGCAATATCAACACTTTTCAATTATATATGCAAGTTCTCTTTTGATTTTTTTTTTTGAGCTAGTTTGAGTTGGGTTTTGGTCACTTGCAACTGAGAGATTTCTAATAATACAGTCTGAACACTTCTCAAAAGAAGACATTTATGCAGCCAACAACAACAACAAAAAAGCCCATCGTCACTGCTCGATAGAATGCACATCAAAACCACAATGAGATACCATCTCACGCCAGTTAGAATGGCGATCATTAAAAAGTCAGGAAACAACAGATGCTGGAGAAGATGTGGAGAAATAGGAATGCTTTTACACTGTTGGTGGGAGTGTAAATTAATTCAACCATTGTGGAAGACAGTGTGGCGATTCCCCAAGGATCTAGAACCAGAAATACCATTTGACCCAGCAATCCCATTACTGGGTATATACCCAAAGGATTATAATTATTCTACTATAAAGACACATGCACACATATGTTTATTGTGGCACTGCTCACAATAGCAAAGACTTGGAACCAACCAAAATGCCCATCAATGATAGACTGGATAAAGAAAATGTGGCACATATACACCATGGAATACTATGCAGCCATAAAAAAGGATGAGTTCATGTCCTTTGCAGGGACATGGATGAAGATGGAAACCATCATTCTCAGCAAACTAACACAGGAACAGAAAACCAAACACCACGTTCTCACTCATAAGTGGGAGTTGAACAATGAGAACACATGGACACAGGGAGGGAAACATCACACACCGGGGCCTGTTGGGGGTTGGGGGGCTAGGGGAAGGATAGCATTAGGAGAAATACCTAATGTATATGACGGGTTAATGGGTGCAGCAAACCACCATGGCACATGTATACCTACGTAACAAACCTGCAAGTTCTGCACACGTATCCCAGAACTTAAAGTATAATAAATTTTTTTAAAAGGCGTTCTTATAGTACATTTAAGATGAAAAAAATACAGTCTGAAAATTTACAGCTCTTATCTCTGTGTGTCCTCATGGTAGCCAGCCTCCAAGATGGCCCCCAAATGAACTTTGCTTACTACCATTCAAATGCCTGAGTAGTCCCCTCCCACACTGACTTATGGCTGGGCTGTGTTACAATTGAAGACAGCAGAAGTAATACTGTGTGACTTCCAAATGTAGGTTAAAAAAAAATGCACTGCAACTTCTCCCTTGACTATTTGAATTGCTCATCCTGGGGGAAGTTAGCCACAGTACTGGAAGAACACACACACACACACACACACACACACACACACACACACACACCATGTGAAGAAGTTCATGTTGAAGAAATTAAGACCTCCTACTAATAGCCAATATCAGTTAGCCAGCCATATCAGTGAGCCACATTGGAAGCGGATCCTTCAGCCCCAGTCAACCTTTGCAAACAACCTTGCAGTCGTGACCGTATCCTCATGAGAGATCCTGAACTAGAACCCCCGCCTACCAATTAGAGTCCAAATTCTTAACCCACCACTGTGAGAGATAATAAGTAGTTGTTGTTGTTTTAGGTCACTATATTTTGGAGGGATTTGTTACACAGCATTAGATAACACAGACTTCTGCTACTTCTCATCCCCTACCCCTGATGGGAAAAACAAGACTCTGTCGTAATGTGTACTTCCCAGGCTTTTGTCCTTCCAAGTCTCACTCCGTTTCTGAGAGTTCCCAGAAGGGAGGCGACTGCCACAGTGAAATCCCTCCCACCATGTGCCATCACCTTCTCTGAGGATCACCATCCTCTGTCTGGGCACTGCCATCGCTTCCGCAGGGATCTGTACCCAGTGACTGGACTATCCTCTGGCTCCAAAGCCTCCTCCATAGCAGCTCTCAAGTTTCCAAAGCAGAGTTCAGGCCTCATGGACTTTTGTGAGCCTAGGGCTCACTGTGTCCCCTGCAGTAATGGGGCTTCTTCTCTTCCTCTTTCTGTTCTATCACTTTAAACTTTGACTTGCCCATGAAGTTTGGAATGTGAAATTTTGTACATTCTAAATGATATCTTGGCAGTCCGTCTTGGTCATGATCTCTTTAATCATTGGAACTAATAGCATTTTCTTTCACACAGAGCTGCTTAACAGAATTTTTTGTGAAGATGGAAATATTCTGCGTCTTTCAATATACAGATTCAATACAGTAGCCACTAGGCACATGTGATTACTAAGCATTTGAAATGTGACTAGTGTAATATAAGAATTGAATTTTCAATGATATTTAGGTAGCCACATGTGACTAGTGGCTTCTGCATTAAACAGCGCAGCTTTAGATGCAGTGGTTGGCAAGTAAAAAACTTCCTCTTGACCGGAGTTTGCAATAAGATAAATGTGACTTGAGAGCAATGCTTTAACACCAATGTTTTATCCAATTTTAATAAAAGTGGCTCTTTCACTTATTTCGGTACCTCCTCCCATCTTCTTTGCAGGACTCAGATAGGAGCCCAGGGCTGACTAATCCCACCATCCTCCAGACTTGTCCACACACAACTGAAGCCCAGTGACGGGTGTGACTCTCTTTCAAATGGATACTCTGCTATAGCTACAATCAAACCTAGAATCTCAGGGTGGGAAAGGATGTGGAAGCATACGTAATCCACACTTCCATAGGCCCCTCGCTGTTTATGATTCTGGAATTGTTTACTGGGCAGTCCCAACTCAGCAGAGCCTAAACAAAATGGCTTTACTATTTCCAATCACTATCTTCCAATTTGATTTGCTCCTAACAAATAAAAAGCAAAAGTCTTTTCCCTGAGCACATTGTAGATAGATTCCTTTACTCTTGTCACTTTCAAACACTAAACTGAGGTCGATTCACTCTAAAACCTCTTTCTCATATCTAATTCAGAATGCTCTCTGGCCTACTTCCCTCATTCAGTTTTAAAATCCTCCAGGTGTTGGAGTGGGATGGTGTAGGAAAGAGGGGACCACACCATTCCCTGATGTGGAAGATCCAGCTTGAAAGGACGTCTTCTGCCACTTCTCAGCAACGCTCTGGTGGCACACCCCACAGCCTATTGTTTCTGGGTCCCTATGCCCAGTGGGCAGGCCTCTTGGGTAGATCTTGACAAGAGAGTTCAAGACTCACACTTTCTCCAGGTGCAAACCACTCCTCAGCTGCCCTCTCTCTTCAGTTCACTTTCTCCTGCTCAGGTAGGCAAAGGGGGAAACCTGCAAGTCCATAGCTGAAGCAGATGTCCAGCTGGGGAATGAGGTGCTGCACTCCCCTTCTTGCAGCCCCTCCCCCATTTCTTTTGCCTTGGGGCAGGAGTGGACAGTGGGGAATAGGAAGTCTCTTCCTACTATAAACCTTGTCCAAGGCTGTTGACCTAGATGACTTCTTTCTGCTCTTCTCCATACAGAAGGAGCAGTGAGGTGGTAGGGATAGGAGCGGGGTTGACTGTGGAAGCCTAATCAGCTGCCTAGGGAAACAGTATCTGACCCTGGTATCTGAGATCTCTTTTGAATGTGAGGCATTTAGCACCTCTTCTTTTCAGCAGGACCCTAGATACCAGGTCCAAAGAAGCAGACAACCTCATTCCACCAACCATACTTATTGTCTTGGGCAGGAAGTGTGGATCTTGGTAAGCTGCTTATGGTCTTGTGTGAGCTTCTGGCAGAAGGGCTATAGGCAGAAGCCGGCTTTGGTGGGGCATGTCTGAAGATCAGAAGCTGGACAGAAACCCCAGCACCAGGAGTAGCTCCCTGGATTCTCAGGCAGTATCACCCCTGTTCTGGGGTCCTCACATTGGGCAATGACTGCCCTGCTGCCTTGCTAGTGAGAGGTGACAGCGTGCTGGCAGTCCTCACAGCCCTCGCTCGCTCTCGGTGCCTCCTCTGCCTGGGCTCCCACTTTGGCGGCACTTGAGGAGCCCTTCAGCCCACGGCTGCACTGTGGGAGCCCCTTTCTGGGCTGGCCAAGGCCGGAGCCGGCTCCCTCAGCTTGCAGGGAGGTGTGGAGGGAGAGGCGCGAGCGGGAACCGGGGCTGCGCGCCGCGCTTGCGCGCCAGCTGGAGTTCCGGGTGGGCGTCGGCTTGGCGGACCCCGCACTTGGAACAGCCGGCTGGCCCTACCGGCCCCGGGCAATGAGGGGCTTAGCACCTGGGCCAGCGGCTGCAGAGGGTGTACTGGGTCCCCCAGCAGTGCCAGCCCACCGGCGCTGCGCTCAATTCCTCGCCTGTCCTTAGCTGCCTTCCCGTGGGGCAGGGCTCGGGACCTGCAGCCGCCATGCCTGAGCCTCCCATACCCTCCGTGGGCTCCTGTGCGGCCCGAGCCTCCCCGACGAGTGCCACCCCCTGCTCCATGGCACCCAGTCCCATCGACCACCCAAGGGCTGAGGAGTGCAGGTGCACGGTGCGGGACTAGCAGGCAGCTCCACCTGCATCCCCTGTGCGGGATCCACTGGGTGAAGCCAGCTGGGCTCCTGAGTCTGGTGGGGACATGGAGGACCTTTATGTCTAGCTCAGGGATTGTAAATACACCAATCGGCACTCTGTATCTAGCTCCAGGTTTGTAAAAACACCAATCAGCACCCTGTGTCTAGCTCAGGGTTTGTGAATGTGCCAATCTACACTCTGTATCTAGCTACTCTGGTGGGGCCTTGGAGAACCTTTGTGTCTAGCTCAGGGATTGTAAACACACCAATCAGCACCCTGTCAAAACAGACCACTGGGCTCTACCAATCAGCAGGATGTGGGTGGGGCCAGATAAGAATAAAACCAGGCTGCCCCAGCCCGCAGTGGCAACCCGCTGGGGTTCCCTTCCACATTGTGGAAGTTTTGTTCTTTCGCTCTTTGCAATAAATCTTGCTACTGCTCACGCTTTGGGTCCACACTGCTTTTATGAGCTGTAACACTCACCACGAAGGTCTGTAGCTTCACTTCTGAAGCCAGCGCGACCACGAGCCCACCGGGAGGAATGAAAAACTCCAGACGCACTGCCTTAAGAGCTGTAACACTCCCCGCAAAGGTCTGCAGCTTCACTCCTGAGCCAGCGAGACCACGAACCCACCAGAAGGAAGAAACTCCGAACACATCTGAACATCAGAAGGAACAAGCTCCAGACGCACCACCTTAAGAGCTGTAACACTCACCGCGAGGGTCCGCGGCTTCATTGTTAAAGTCAGTGAGACCAAGAACCCACCAATTCCAGACACACTAGGGCAGGAAGACGGGCTTTCAGCATGCTGGCCTACGTCTGAGGGTAAAGCTCTTGGCTTCTTTTGTTGACTCACAGGTGGGCAGTGGAGGAAGTTCCAGCCTAAAGTGGCCTGACCCCTTGGGATCACAGACCAGGGGCAGTTGAGTTTCCCTGGTGAAGCAAACCTTGAAGGTGGGGTCTAGGGGGCAAAGCAAGAGGCTGGGTGCTCTGCTGGGCCCGCTGCCATGGAGGACTGGCACAGCTGGTAGTTCACAGTGATTCTTGGGAATGGATTATTCTCCATTGTCACACTCCGTATCTGGCCCTTGCACATTATTAGGCCAAATGCCAAGCTACTGCCATTCTTAGTGACCTGCACAATCAATCTTTGTGCACAGATGCCTGTGGAGGCTAATGGGAGTGGTAGCTCAGGCCAGGTTCCAGCATCTGCTGCCTCCCCTTGACCTAAACCACTGTCCTGTCCCAGATATGCAAACCCTGTTCCCATCTACCCAAGAGGAAAACAGCTCCTCTTTCTTTTTTTTTTTTTTCTCTCTCTCTCTTCTTCCTTTCCTTTTTAGACCCAGGATAGTAGGGAGAACTCACTGCATACCCACTGTTCTCAGGGAAGCTTGCTGCATTGATTCTAAGGTGGTAGTAGTATCTTGTGCTTCTCTCACTAAAGAACAGAAAAGAAAAAAAAACACAAATTAAATCTCCAGGACATGGTTCTGGTAGAGTACCTGCTCCCCATGTACAGAGGAGAAAGACAAAGAAAAGAGCACCATTGCTCTTAAAGCATTAACCTCAAATTGGCTTTTGGCAGACTTTTTGTAGCCTGAATGTGTCCCCATTCTCAATACCATCTGTTCTCACACACCTGCAACCTTTAAATAGGCCAAACATTCCTATGACAGGTGAAAGATTACCATAAGCAACATAGCCTATGAAGGAAATGTGTTCTTTAAACTCACTGAATTCTGAAACTTACTTATAATTCATAAGGAAAACATCCAAAATGAGTGCATAATAAAAATTATAAAATATGATTGCCTTGTCTCTGTATTAAAGGGAAGATATAGAAGCTGAAAGCTGGGTCAGCCTTTCCTCTATTCCCTCAACTGAATTGCTTTTTCCTTGTGGTTTGGCCAACTTTCAGAAGACTTTTTTTTCCTTTTCCTATTTATTTATTTATTGACAGGGACTCACTCTGTGCCCAGGCTGGAGTGCAGTGGCGCGATTATAGCTCACTGCAGCCTCAAATTCCTGGGCTCAAGCAATCCTCCCACCTCAGCCTCCCAAGTAGCTGGGACCACAGATGTATGCCACCACACCTAGCTTCTATTGGTTCTTAAAGATGAGGTTTTGCTCACTGCACTCAAGGTAACATTTTAATTAGAACTGTGGTGGCAATTTAGGCTATTCATTTCCTCATAACAGAGCCATGAAACAGTATTGTTCCATTGTATTTATGAGAACATTGAGGCACAAAAATTTAGGAAAGTTTCTCCAAGGTTATTACAGATTAATTGACCTAAGATTTTAAGTCATCATGCTGCCCCATATATTTAAGCAGTTCTGCCACTGTTGACTTTCTGATAGGCTATTTTCCTTTAGTTCCTGATGCCAACTCCTTATAATTTTGAGTTATCTGATGGTAGGTTTAGAATGATAAGCATATTAACTGGAAATGTCACTATTTTTTTATAGTGGCTTAACAAAATATATAGGTAAGATGTGCCCAGAATTTTGTCTCAATTTCTATATATTGTTTCAATTATCTTATTGGCAAATCTTATTTCTAATGCTTGTTTTAAATGAGTCCTTACTAGCCTCTTGGAGAAAACATAGAAGGGGGTAATAGTTTTAAGTCACCACATAAAATCCTCTTCTCAATGTTTAACTTTTATATGAAGGGATCTTCTTTCATGCTGTATTTTCATGTATATTACTACTTGGTCTGTGTGTTCTTGAATTATTTTCCTAGTTTGTTATCTTTGTTTCCCTTAGAACCACCAAGATTCCCCTCTTTTTCTACAGGTAGCCAACTGGCTTCTCTCACTGTTTCTTTTTAATTTTATTTTCTTTAGTTCATCCTTTGGTCACAGGCAGCACTAACATCGCACATCCAGAGAGTAAATGTTTGTATTCCCTGAGTGCTTGAATGTCTCAAACATGTAGGCCAGCAATGTAGGTGGGAGCTTGTCATTCTTGGTCACAGGAGTAGGAACTTAAGTTGGCCCTCAGCGGCCCTGTGTGTGGCAGCTCTGGGCAGCACTCATATGCCCGTCTGCTTCCCTAGAAACTGGCAGCACTCTTTTCTTCCCTTTCACCAGAAGCCTCTTCATGCGGCCACTAGGATGTGCTACTTGAGGAATTCAGGGCTTCGCCTCACCTACTTGCTGTCCTTTGACCCAACTTGTGAGAGCTTGCCATCAGCTGACTTCTCTGAGACTCCATTTCATTCTTTTAAATGAAGAAGGTACTTTAAAAATTACCAAATGCCCATGTCTTTTAGACTGTGAAAGGTTTAGAATATAGCACGGAGAGTTAGGGGGAGTGAAGCCATGTGAACCACCTAGAAAGCACAGAAGCTTCGGTAAATTAAGTGCAAACTATTGAAGTGGTGGGGTGATAGAAAACCTGACATTTGGAGAAAGAGAGAAAAAAACTAACATTAGGCTTGACAAGGACCTAGAACCCATCAACTCTAGGTTTTGGTTCCCAAAAGCCTATCTCAGCACTGCTGTCTTAAAATGCCCAGTGGAAGGAAGTGGTGGAAAGAAGACTTTGCTAAAAATGTTAGTTGTGTTAGTCCATTTTGCATTGCTATAAAGGAATACCTGAGACTGGATAATTTATTAAGAAAAGAAGCTTATTGGGCTCAGAGTTCTGCAGGCTGTATAAGAAACATACAGCCAGCATTTGCTTCTGGTGACGGCCTCAGGAAGCTTATATTCATAGCAGAAGGCAAAAGGGGAGCCAGTGTATCACACGCGAGAGAGGAAAGCAAGGGAGAGTTGGGAGAGGTGCTGGGCTCTTTTAACAACCAGCTCTCACGTGAACTAATAGATCATAGATCAAGAACTCACTCGTTACTGTTGGCATGACACCAAGCCATTCATGTGGAATCTGCCCCCATGATCCAAACACCTCCCACTAGGCCCCACCTTCAGCACTGGGGATCACATTGCAACACGAGATTTGGAGGAGACAAATATCTAAACCACGTCACCAGATCTATGGACCACTGGAAATTTAGCCCTCTCTCCAATCCCCATTTTACAGATGAAGCCCAGAACAGGAACATGACTTTTCCAGTATCTATGGCCATTTAATGGCAGAACTAGGATGCAAAATCTCCCAACTTATTGCTCCATCCCTTTTTCTAATACAACACAGAAATAATGTACTAGAACTGTGCTTAAGGGGAAAAAGGTGTTCTACCAACACAATAATAAGAGCTAAAGTACTGAGCAAATGTTCAATGTCAAGGTAAAAGGAGTAGCAAGGATAGGGATATAAAAGGCCAATCACCAGGAATATTGTAGAAGTTTGACTGCATGTTCCCCACTGCCAAGTCTGAGTTTACATGCACACTCAAAAACACCAAGGCCAGGCATTTTACACAGAGAAAAGTAAAATGACCTAGATACGGGGAAAAAAATTGCCTGGCGTATGTTTATAACCCCTGCTTCCTCCTCTTTCCCTTCCAAGCTTTGGACTGGTCCTGAGGTGTAGAGTTTGATGAATTCACTATGAAGATTTAGAGGCCCAGAGCCAAAGACATCATTACAACTCCTGTGTTTCCAACACAGAGCACAAAAGTGAGGGTAAGAATGTGTGATGCAGGTGTTTTTTTGTGTTAGAAAACAAAAATAAAACAAAACAAAAACTCCAGGGAGGCACTGAAGGAAAGAACATTTTAGGTCAAAAATTAGGAAAAACTTGCTAAAACTCAGTCATTTCTCTGACGATCTAGGGAGCTTGTTTCCTTGCCACATTCAGATCTAAAATTTTTTTTTTTTCATAGCAATGCAGTAAGACAGAAACTATCTTTACTCTGCAGAACAAGTTCATGTCGATTTTTTGGATTGTCTGTCTTGCTTCTGTGCTTTAAGAAATTATCTCAGTAAATATAGCAGGCAACAGCATGACTGGCCTTTTCCCTAATTTGATTCAGGCCTCAGCATCACTGCTAGTAAGGAATAGGATCCTTTTCTTTAACCCTTCAGAAGGCACCAGGGCAAATTCCACAGTGCATTCATGAGTCAAGGGACAGTATCTCCATGTGAGAGATATCTGCCTGGCTAGAATTTCTAGATGGCTTTCCCACTATAGGAATCCAAGCAAACCATTGTCATTCTTCCCTCTCTAGCAAGAGAAAAGAGAATCTCAGCCTTTAGAGCATTCGTTCTGGCTCAAGAACATGGGTTTTCTTTCCTGGAAACAAGGACTGGCTCAGTGAGACCTCGAAAGTTGGTGCTTTGTGGTGTTGCCAAAATGCCTGTTTCTGGCAAGCAGTGGGGGTAGGTGCTGCTTGAGGGAATCTTGTTGCCCCTCCGAGTGAAACAACACATTCATTATTTAATAGTTATTCAGCATCGGAGAAATTTTAGCTCAAGAAAAGGCTGAACTTAGAAGACTTCACTAATAAGAGTATTTTAAGAATTATAAACAGAAATCAGACTACACTAAATAGTGTGTTTCTAAGCTGAGTACATGATAAATTACCTAACAGGCTGAAGAGGGAAATAAAGAACTGAGTTGTGGATTCACAGTCTTGTGAATGTGTCTGTAACTGGTAGCACTGGGTGAGCCCATTTGCTGTGCCCTCCAGCCTAAGGCCTCACAAGCACCTCAGCACCTGGATACTCCTAGGACTCCTCTGTTACCAGCCCCATGTGCTGGCAGTCACTGAGGCAATAGTGACATTGACCCAAATAAAGGAGTCAGAACCATGATATGGCACATAATTCAGTCTCTTCCAGGCCTCAACAATAACCATTTTGTATCCATAACTTCTCCTAAGAGATTTTGTTTCCCAAGTAATCACCTACTATAGCAGTTCTCTAAGATCCCTGGGGAGGCCAAGCCTACTTCAGGCGGTCCATTAGATCAATCTATTTCCATAATCACACCAAGATGCCATTTACCTTTTTCACTGTATTGACACCTGCACTGATGATGTCAAAGCAATGATGACGAAAACTGCCGATGCCTTAGCACAATTCAAGGCAGTAGCACCACACTATATTAATAGTTACTGTATTCTTTACTGCCACCCATTTCCTAGTACTCAAAAAAAAAAACCTGCCAGTTTCATTTAAGAGTGTCCTCAATGAAGCTGTGAAAACTACTCATTTTATGAGATCTCAACCCTGAAGTATACATGTTTCTAATACTCTGTGTTATGAAATGGGAACATGCATAAAGCACATACATCTGTTACATATGAAAGTACAATACTTGTCTGAAGGAAAAGCACTTGTGCAGTTGTTTGTGTTACAAGCTAAACTAGCCGTTTTTGTCATGGAGCATCACTTTTACTTGAAAGAATAGCTGTGAGACAAACTACAATTACTCATACTTGGGTAATTTGCCAGGCATTTATTGATTGAATAAATATTGTACTATATTCAGTGTATCAATGAATGCTTTTGGTTGCAAGGAACAGAAATGACTTTAACAGTAAGAAAATTACATCTCATAACTAGAAGTCAAGAGACAAAAGAGCTCAACAATGTTGTAAGATCCAGGTGCTTTCCGTCCCTCTGCTGTGACCCCTCAGTGTTGGATTTCCTTGTGCTGCAGGTAGCAAGACAGAAGCAGAATGTCCGAGGCATCATGTTTAGGCAGGACAATGTTCTGAGACATTTTTTTACCCTCCTGTGGCTTTCTCTTAGGGAAGAGGACACTTTTTCTAGATTGCCCCTGCAGACTCACATTTTATTGAGCTGAATTTGGTCACATGTCTATCCCTAAACTAATCCCTGGCCAGGGGAATGGGATATGCCTTTGGACTACTCAGGCCCAACATGGGGTCTAAAGGTGGGGTCAAGCTTCCCTGAGGCAAAGGCCTGATGGGTGAAGGGCTGATCACCCTTCCAAACAAAATTTGGGCTTTGTTAACTAGGAAGAAAAATGGGAGACTAGAAGAAACCTGTAGGCAATCACACAGGGACCACTCCATTCAGCAAATGAAGGTCTAGAACAGTGGTTACGAAATGCAGGTCAGCAGCCGGGCTACAAAGGAATCACCTGGGAGCTTGTTAAAAATATAGCTCAAAGTGTAATGTGCATATGAATTGCCTGGGGATCTTGTTAAAATACATATTCTGCATTTGCAACAAGCTCCCAGATAATATAGCCACTGCTGGCTTATGGACCACACTTTGAGTAGGAATGATACAGACCTTCAAATTATTGACTCAGAATCTCCCAAGTGATCCTGGTTTGAGAACTGGGTTCAATGTGGTGAACATCAACAATGTACAAGATTGGCATTCATTCATCCATTCACTCAATAAGTATTCATAGAAACCAAGCCCTGTGCTTACTGCTGAAACTACAAAGGGTCCACATGCTATTAGGGAGGAGGAGTGGGCTAACCTATATACAGTTATCTTTAATGTAAAGTGAGAAGGGCTCCAGTAGAGATATGCCAAAGCATTCTTCCATCTGATCTAGGAGCAAGGAGTGACTTAGTAGTGAAGGTGGGCTTGACAGGAAAGGTTTCACGGAAGAGGAGAGGACATTGGAGCTGAGCTTTCCTTAGGTGCCCAGAGTCAGACAATGTGTGTGCAAGAAAGCCTGGAAATATGAATGAGCCAAGTACATTCAGAGAACAGTGAGAATGTCTCTGTGGCTTATGTACAGGCTGAGATGGGGTGCTGGAAGGAAAAATTAGGCTGAGGCTAGATTATGAGAGGCTTTGAATGCTGTATTAAGTCACACTATAGCAGCTGTTCTCAACCTTGACTGCACTTGGGAGCTTTTAAAAATCCTGATGCCGGCCAGGGGCTGTGGCTTATGCCTGTAATCCCAGCACTTTGGGAGGCTGAGGCAGGTGGATCACCTGAGCTCAGGAGTTCAAGACCAGCTTGGGCAACACAGTGAAAGACCGTCTCCACAAAAAATACAAAAATTAGCCTGGTGTGGTGGTGCGTGCCTGTAATCCTAGTTACTTAGGGGGCTGAGGCAGGAGGATCTCTTGAATCTGGGAGATTGAGGCTGCAGTGAGCCAAGACTGCACACTGCACTCTAGCCTAGGTGACACAGTGAGACTCTGTCAAAAAAAAAAAAAAAGTCCTGATGCCCAGGCCACACCCTAGAGCTTAAAATTAAATTCTACTTTCTTTAGGGGCAGAAGAGGGAGGAAAGCAGGCATCAGTACCTTTTAGAGGAGGTGATCCAGTGTGTTGCCAAAGCTGAGAACCATAGCTCTACAAGAGCTAGTGCCTGTCCAACCTGTTTGCATAGAGCATGTTCTTCAATAAGGATAGAGCCCTTCCTTCCTAAATGTACTTTTCACTTCCATTTGATATTCAAAATCAGAATTATTAAAAACCGTTTTGGCCTGAGAGGTCATGTGATGGGCACTGAAATGGAACTCCCCTGCGCAAGGGCCTGTGGGATGCAGGCAGATGAAGCCTGCCCTTTGTTCCCCTGCCTGCATTGGTGAAAGCTGATCCCCGTGCAGCCGCTGTCACTGGGCAGAGGGCACGTTTTTCTCTCACTAGCCTAGACCACAGGGATCTTTGACTAGAAATATCTGCAAAGTGTTTGCTGAATGAGAACACATTTCATCACCCCACCCTCTTTTCCTAACTGAATGCCTGTTCAAGAATTTGGGTATATTTTTATTTGATAAGATGAAAAGATGAACTCTCCACATTATGAAGGCTAACAGAATAATCTTTTTGTAGGTGCTTCACAATATGAATTTGAAATGCTTGCTCTTGTTTTGATCCCTGTACTCAGGTGCCGAAATGTTATAGTTAGGAAAAGTTGTCCCTTCTCTCATTTATCAGCATTAAAGTTCCTGAAATAATCTTTAAAGTGTCCAAATGTTGCCATAAAATGTTCGTCACTATTGTCTCCTCAAGTTGCTGAATTTCTGGGATGTTTTGAATTTTTAAAATACATTTTAAGCACTTCAATATATAAAACAAACATAACTTAAAAAACAAAAAACAGCACTCTAAACTTTTTTACCATCTAACTCAGGCCCCCAGTTTTCAGTCAATAAATTATTCAACTCCCCCCGCCCCAACTTTAGTAGAATGGAACACGCTCTTCTGCTGTGTGACAATGGAGAAAGGAGGTTGATGTGTGCAACTGCCACAGCCCCCCACCTTCCTGGGAATGCTCGCCTGACTTTGGGCAGACATTGATGTGGCCCTAATGACTATTTTGACTGTGTTCTGTTTTACAGCTCTACCCAACACACAAGAGGTGAAGTACTGCTTTGTTTTCAGAATTAAACTGTCTCCCAGGAAGCCTTCTAGGGTCCCCTTTGCTTTTCCTTGGAAAGGCTCCAGATAAGAGACAGGCTATTGTTCCTCCACAGCAATTCACAGGCTTGCTTTTCAAATAATTTATCCAATCTCTTCCCTCCATGATAGCCTAGGCTTTCCCTACAATCACATGATGTGACCTGTAAAGAAAAATAAAACAAACACTTATCTGGAGTTCTGACTCAAAGAACTGGATTCTATGGAAATTACAGGCTTTTGCTCTGGCTGTACAGATGTGAGTAGGAATCCATGCATGGCTAATGCAGGAAGGGAACTGGCCTCCATGTGCACAGGCCTGCCAGTGTGTGGGTGGCCCAGGATGAAGCCAGACCCTCCTGGGCAAGCCTCAGCTGGGTTTGAGTCTCCGAGCAGGAGGCCTGGGACTCACACCTGTCCACTTAAAATGTGACAGCCCCCACCACTAAGCTTGCATTCACACAGCCCCAGAAGATGGACTGTCCCCAGCATCCTCACTTGTGTGGTGGCCTCTCATTCCTGTGGCCACTTTAACAGAGCTTGGCTCACCCAGGACCCTGCTTGGATACAAACAAGCTGGCCTTTGATGACAGGAAGGGAGTGGAGATTCCCTCAACGTCGGAGTTTTAATCTTGGTTCTGGGAGACATTACCTCCCTCTTTGTGGATCGCTGATTGCTTTCAAAACAACCAGGAATCATTTTACCTTACGGGGCTAGTGTGTGCTATGATTAATTTAGCTAGGCTCTTAGAAAACAGTAAATGGTGAGCAGCCCTGTTAGTTCCCTTTTTAGAAAGCACTTTAACACCCCTGGGCAGCTAGTTTGATGAGAAGTGCTACTCACCATGACTCTCATGCGCATTCCTTTTTCTTGACTGATTCTCGAAAGGCTTTTCAGTCCCTCTGATAAAAATGCACTGCTTCCAAATGAGTCTAAAAATTAAGCAGGAATACAAATTTTATCTTTAAAAAAATAAATCCTAATTTCTAATGAAGGAAAAACAAGAAATAATTTCATGCTAATTAGGAGGGAGACACATAGCCTGCATTTTGGAGATAAATAGGACAAGCTTTTGAGTTTAAAGTTTAACTGGAAAATGTCTGCCTCAAAGGAAAACTCAATTTGAAGAACTTGCTCACAGCTTAGGGATCTCACTCAAGCCATTCTTACCCTTTCCCCTTCTCTTTCCTTTCCTCTCCCACCCTCTCTTTCAATGCCGAACCCCAGAGGCCACGGGAGTGAGTCTTCACAAGGCGCATTAGTACATCTTGGGTGGTGCCGAAAAGCAGGGATTACAAATGCTGGAGACAGTTTGGCAGCGGATGTGCCTCAACCCAGCTCTGCGGATTCCACATTCTTCCCCTGGAGGGGAGCCGTCGCCGCGGTTGCCTGAAAGCCCATACTGCCAGCAGCCAGGGGTTCAGCAAATGCCTGGGGAGCTGAAGGGTTTTCTAGAAACCTGTCCAATCTCTGCCTCTTTCTCTGGGGTTGCACAAGGATGTGCCAAACTCAACCCGTTTGATAGTTTTAAACGTGCCGCTTACATGTGTTTTTAATTTTTATGTAATAAAGGAATGAATGCTTCATAATTAAAGACCAGTTGGTGATTAAAATCAGTTTCGTTGATGACTAACAAACACAAATAAAACCTGATATAAATCTTTATGAGATCTGTGAGGCCCACAGCAGCGACAGTTCCTCTTCTCCTGACCATGTTTTCTCTGAAGCAGCATGTCTCTCCACTTTCCCTCAGCTTTGTTTTGCCCTAGTAATTCTCTCTGGCTTCTACAATTGCCTATCCTTTAACCTCCTGTTTTTGATTACCAACTCGTGTTTATTTTAAATGTAGTTACTCGCCAATTAAATAGAAATTAGCTACATTTAGAGACAGGGTTCCTGATTACTGCTTTTCCTTTGGCAACTGTTAATTCTTCTTTAGGCAATCCTGAAAGCAGAAATCCCAAGGTCCAGATCACCTTGCCAGGGCACCTTAGGGTAGCTACCTGTTAAATCCAGAGTTGAAGGAATCAGGGATGAGATGCTCGCTTCACCTGTTGGGACCTGGAGCAAGTTGGGCTGTACTGGAGACGTTTCCTGTTGTAATTCAGTTAACTCTTTTTTTTTTTTGACGGAGTCTTGCTGTGTTGCCCAGGCTGGAGTGTGGTGGTGGGATCTTGGCTCACTGCAACCTCTGCCTCCTGAATTCAAGCCATTCTCCCACCTCAGCCTCCCGAGTAGTTGGGATTACAGGCGCCTGCCACCATGCCTGGCTAATTTTTGTATTTTTAGTAGAGACAGTGTTTCACCATGTTGGCCAGGCTGGTCTCGAACTCCTGACCTCAAGTGTTCCACCTGCCTCGGCCTCCCAAAGTGCTGGGATTACAGGCGTGAGCCACTGGCCCGGCCAACCCATTTTTGATTCAAGACAGACTCTCCTCCAGAAGGAGGAGGAAGAGGAGGAGGTGGGGGAGGAGGAGTGGAGCGGAGGTGGGTAGAGGAGGAGGAGGAGGAAGAGGAAGAAGAAGAAAAAGAAGGAGGAGGAGGAGGAGGGAGAGAAGGGGAAGAAGCCATCTTCAACTTTTGTTTTTTAGGGCAGCTGAAATCCATCTTCCTTTTCACCCAAACACTGATACAGCTGCCTGTTTGGGTGAAGGAGAGGCTCCCTTTCTGGGTTGGATAGAGCACATAGGCTATAGCAGTCAGCATCAGGGAACAGTCAACATGTAGCCTTCCTATTTTTAAATCAAAGCCATTGTGCTAATCACCCAGATAATCTGATATGGATATCATTTATTCTAAAATGAGAACAAGAAACACATCTGTGACAGAATTCATTAGTGCAGTCCTTTTTCAGTCCCAACATGTGCTTCTGCAGATTGCATATGTCTATATAAATTCTATAGGTTGTATTTCAATTTATATTGCTTCTTCATGAGGAAATGTCTTCTCCCGTTGCTGTGGTTTGAATATTTGACCCCTCCAAACCTCATGTTGAAATTTGAGCCCCAGCATTGGAGGTGAGGCCTGGTGGGAGGTGTTTGGGTCATGGGGGTAGGTCCCTCATGGGGGCAGGTCCCTCATGGGGGCTCTCTTGCCATGTGAGCTCTGCATACAGCAGTTCCCCTTTGCCTTCCACCATGAGTAGAAGCAACCTGAAGTCCTCAACAGAAGCAGATGCTGGCACCATGATTCTTGTACAGCCTGCAGAACCAAAAGCCAAATAAACTTTTTTCTTTATAAATTACCCAACCTCAGGTATCCCTTTATAGCAACTCAAAGATGCTTACAAGGGTCAATTAACTTGGTTTATAATAGCAAAAAGTGGAAAATTCCCTAAAGGCACAATAATAAGTGATTGGGATTGGTTAAATAAAGTAAATTACATATTCATTTAATGAAATACAGTTTAGCCATTAAAAATGGAAAAAAAGGACTTACCACTCTATAGAGAGATAGAAGAGACATCACTCTTACACTTACAATGAAAGTAACTGAGTTAACTTCAAATTCAGAACTTTCTTTGAACTTATCAGAGAGCTAAAGTGTCAGAACAAACAGGCTCAAAATCTGAAGGCACTGGGGTCAGCCTGATGCCTGAGGACACAGAATAGACTGGGTGTTGGAGCATCTTAAAAGTTTTGTCCACAATTTCCAGCCTGGAGACTGGGACCATGGGGGCTTGCATGGCACCAGGTTTCACTGGGGCAGGTCTGGTGCTGTTTTCCAAAGTTTCTTAGGGGAGCTGAAGGGTTTTCTGGAAACCCTCACTTAGCTGACCCTTACTCAGGTCAGCTTATTTCTTCCCCATCCCTTTCAGAGAAGTTATATGATTAATTTGTAGCATAGTAAAATGCATTTATCACAATCTGCATTCCATCTTTTCTCTTACATCCTGGTTGAGGTTTTGTTGTTGTTTTAATTTTACTTTAAGTTCTGGGATACATGTGCAGAAAGTGCAGGTTTCTTACACAGGTATACACGTACCATGGTGGTTTGCTGCACCTGTCAATCCGTCATTTAGTTTTAAGCCCTCCCTCCCCTTGCCCAACAAGGGAGGGAGACAGGCCCCCAACAGGCCCCGGTGTGTGATGTTCCCCTCCCTGTGTCCATGTGTTCTCATTGTTCAACTCCCACTTATGAGTAAGAACATGGCAGTGTTTGGTTTTCTGTTCCTGTGTTAGTTTGCTGAGATTGATGTCTTCCAGCTTCGTCCATGTCCCTGCAAAGGACATGACCTCATTCTTTTTTATGGCTGCATAGTATTGCATGGTGTATATGTGCCACATTTTCTTTATCCTGGTTGAGTTTTTAAAAAAATTTACATGTAATAAAATTCACTTCTTGTGGTACAGTTCTATCAGTGTTGGCAAATGCACAGAACTGTACTATGGACCACTATAATTCTATACATAATAATTCCATGACCCCAAAGTTTCCTTGTGCTACTCCTTCATAGAAAACCCACCCCCCAACCCCTGATCCGCTACCTACTCATCTGTTTTCCTCCCTATAGTTTTGCTTTTTCCAGAGTGCCATATGAATAGAATCAAACAATTCTGGGTCCAGCCTCTCAAAATGCAGGTAAGATTTATCTATGTTGCTTTGTGAATCAATAGTTCATTCGGGTTTATTGCTGGTGGCATTCCATTACATGTATGTACCACAATTTGTAGTACATCTAGGTTGTTTCCAATTTTTAAATTAGCTACAAATATTTACCTATAGGTGTTTGTATTGTAGGAGACCAGAATATGCCACCTCAAATTATGCTTCTTTGGCATATGGATTGTTTTGTGCTAATCATTTTGAGAAACTGTAGATGCAGAAGAAGATCTGAAAACAGAGCAGAAGTTACCCTTTTATAAAGGACATTTATGTCTATAAAGGAAATCTCTATTTATAAGGGTGTCTCCCTATGTACTATGAAGAGAAGGATGACATTACATCACTAGGGACTCTTATCAATGGACAAGGCACCGGACTTAAATCTGTGTAAGAAATCTTACCCTTGTTATCCTGCCTTCCTGGGCATCTCCTTATGTTTTTCCTTCCTCACATCCTTCCCTCTTTGTTTCAGTAGACAATTGTATTTAAGCCTGAATTCAAAGCCACACCTTTGGGATTTACTTATTTCTCTGGGTATCTCCCATGTATACATAAGGTATACATGCTGTTAAATTTGTTTGTTTTCCTCTTGTTAATCTACCTTTCGTTATAGGAGTCTGTTCTAACTAAGAATTTGAAGGGTAGAGAGAATCCTCTCCTATAGTTTGCACATCTTTTCTATTGTTTTGGATATATAGCTAGGCATGAGATTGCTGGGTCGTATGGTAGGTATATGTTTAACTTTATAAGAAACTGCCAAACTGTTTCCCAAAGTGGCTGTGCCATTTTGCATTCCTACCAGCAATGTATATGAATTCCAACTGCTCAAAATTCTCACCAGCACTTCATATTGCCAGGTTTTAAAATTATAGCTATTCAAATAGGCATGTTGTGGGTTTTTTGGTGTGGTTCTAATTTGTATTTCCCTAATGATTACTAAAGAGCATTTTTTTATTATGCTTATTTTACATCTAAATATGTTCTTTTTTGGGGGTGGGAGGGGGGATGGAGTCTTGCTCTGTTGCCCAGGCTGGAGTGCAGTGGCGTGATCTCAGTTCACTGCAACCTCCACCTCCCAGGTTCAAGCAATTCTCCTGCCTCAGCCTCCCAAGTAGCTGGGACGACAGGCGCGTGCCACCATGCCTGGCTAATTTTTCGTATTTTTAGTAGAGATGGGGGTTTCACCGTGTTAGCCAGGATGGTCTCGATCTCCTGACCTTGTGATCTGCCCACCTCAGCCTCCCAAAGTGCTCAGATTACAGGCGTGAGCCACCGTGCCTGGCCTAAATATGTTCTTTAGTAAAAACTCTGTTTCAATTTTTTGTTTTTAAAAATTGGGTTTTTTGTTTTCTGGTTGTTGAGTTTATGAGTTCTTTATATACTTTGGATATAAGTCCTTTGACAGATGTGATTTTAAAATATTTTCTCTCAGTTTGTGGCTTGTCTTTTTTATTCTCTTAAAGATCCAAAGTTTTTGCAGAACAAAAGTTTTTTTAAAAATTTAATACAGTTCATCAATTTTTTTCTTTCATAAATCACACTTTAGGTGTCATATCTAAAACCTGTTTTCCTAACTCAGGATTTCTCAACAGATGCAAAATTGACATTTTGGACCAGATAATTATTTGTTATGGGGACCTATCCTGTGCCTTGTTGGATGTTTAGCAGTATTCCCGGCCTCTACCCATCAATGCCTGTAGTGTGCATGTGTGCATGCATGTGCAAACACACATACACAGGCCACAATTATAACAATAAAAAATATTGCAGACATTGTCAAATGTCTCCTGAACTACAAAGCTGAACTTTGTTCAGTGGCCTAACCCAAGGTCATACACACATTGGCCAGGCTGGTCTTGAACTCCCAACCTCGTGATCCGCCCACGTTGGCCTCCCAAAGTGCTAGGATTACAGGTGTGAACCACTGCGCCCGGCCTGCCTTTCTCCTGTTTTTTTCTCAAAAAAGTTTTATGGTTTTATGCTTTATGTTTAGGTCTATGATCCATTTTGAGTTAATTTTATATGAGATGTGAGATATAGACTGGGGTTCTTTTTTGTCTTTTTAGTATATGGACTGCTATGGTTTAAATGTTTGTGTTTCTCCCAAAATTTACAAGTTGAAATCCTAACCCTCAAGGTGATGGTATTAGGGGGTAAGGCTATGACAGGTGGTTAGTTAATGAAGGTCCTTATAAAAGGGAACCCAGAGAGTTCATTGGCCTTTCTGCCATGTGAAGACACAGCGAAATAATGGTTGTCTATGGACTACAAAGCCGGCATTCCCTAGACAGTACATTTTCCCACACCTTGATCTTGGAATTTCCAGCTTCCAGAACTGTGAACAATAAATTTCTATTGTTTATGAGCCACCCAGTCTATGATATTTTGTTATGATAGCCCAGATAGACTAAAATGTGGACATTCAGTTGTTCCCAGGCCATTTATTTGAAGAGACTTTCTTCTCTCTATTGACTTGCATTTGTATCATTGTCAAAAATCAGTTGACTGTATTTATGTGGGTTTATTTCTGGTTTCTCTTCTCTGTTCCATTGATATATGTATCTGTTGTTTCTACATTACCACAGTCTTCGTTACTGTAGCATTACAATAACACTTTAAATTAGGGAGCCCTTCAACATTATTTGTTTTCAAAAATTTTTGGCAAGTCTAGTTCCTTTGCCTTTCTGTATAAATTTTTAAACCAGCAGTCAACATCTACATAAAAGGCTGCTGGAATTTTGATTGAAATTTCACTGAATCAGTATAACAAATTGGGCAGAATTAACATCTATCTTAACAATACTGAATCTTCTCATCTATGAACATGGTATATTTCTCCACTTATTTGGATCTTCTCAGATTTTTTCTTCAGTGTTTTGTACTTTTCAACATACAGATCCCACATAATTTGTTTCAGTTTTATACTTATGTGATTTTTTTGTGCTATTATAAATGGTATTGTTATTTTAATTTTGAATCCCAATTTTCCTGCTATTATATAGAAATACCATTGATTTGTATGCGTTGACTTCATATCCTGAGACTTTATTAAATTCATTAGTTAGTTCCAGGAAGTTGTGTGTAAGTTGTTTAGAAATATCTATATAGGAAATCTACATAGTTATGTTATCTGCGAATAGAGCTGACATCCCCTTTATTTCTATGTCTTGTCTTATTATAATGGCTAGTATTCCCAGGGTGATATTAAATGCAAATTGTGAAAGAAGATACCTTTGCTTTGTTCTCCATCTCCAGGAAAAGGTCTTCAGTCTTTTACCATTAAGTGTGATGTTGTGATGTTAGACGTAGATTTTTTTGTAGATATTTTTTATTAATTTAAGCAATCTTTCTTTCTTTTCTTTTCCCTTTCTTTCTCTCTCTCTCTCTCTTTCTCTCTTTCTTTTTTTAGATGGAGTTTTGCTCTTGTTGCCCAGGCTGGAGTACAATGGAAAGATCTTGGCTCACTGCAACCTCCACCTCCCAGGTTCAAGCGATTCTCCTACTTAGCTGGGATTACAGGTGTGTGCCACCACGCCCAACTAATTTTTTTTGTATTTTTAGTAGAGATGGGGTTTCACCATGTTGGCCAGGCTGGTCTTGAACTCCTGACTTTAGGTGATCCGCCTGCCTCGGCCTCCCAAAGTGCTGGGATTACAGGCATGAGCCACCACGCCCAGCCGCGAGTTTTCTTTTATTTCTACTTTGCTGAAAGTTTATATCATGAGTACAAGTGGAATTTTGTCAGATGCATTTTCTGTATCTATTTTCTTTTGTAATCTGTTAATAGCTTACAATGATTGATTTTTTTAAAAGTTGAACCAGTCTTACATTCCTTAGATCAATGCCACTTGGCAATGGTGTATTATCTGTTGTATATATTAAATTTTAATTTTAAAAATTAAAACATACATATACATATAAATATTTACAGAAAATTTACAGAAATAGATATATAGATAGATCTATGTGTATGAGTTAGTGTGTATACAATATGTGTTTATATATGTATATATGTATGTATATATATGTATATATGTGTATATATATCTATGTGTATGATTGTGTATATATACACATACACACACACGCAGAGATATATATCTGCATATATCTCCAAGCTGTATCCACTGAAAGGAGTTAGAAACAATGATATCTCAGTTAAAAGGAGAGCACCTAACTCCTAATGATACTGGTTTCTAAATACTGTCCTCCAACAATAGGAACCAGGAATCACTGGAGAACTATCTGATTCTAGGGCTGGGGCAATGAAATAAATATGAGTCTGGATATCTTGTGGTGTTTTTCAATGTAAGGAAATTTAAAAAAAAAATAAAAAGAAAAAAACATAAAAAATGTGCAGGAACCAATCTGAAAAAGCTCCCATGAAAGAATTTGAGCAACAAAATAAATAATAAGAGTACAATGTTAGTTTGTAACTAAAAGAATGAGTACAATGTTAGTTTATAACTAAAAGAATAAATTAAATATCCATGATCCCACAAATAAATGAATAAATGATTAAATAAATACATAAGTGGGAGAAAAGGAAAGCTCTTCTTTAGAAAAGAATCTCAGTTATTATAAATATAGAAGGCCTGGGGAAAATACAAAAGTACCATTAAACCCCATAGTAACCATTGCTGCAGGTTAAATCCTCCAAGGATGCTAAAAAGAATGGGTGAATGTTTAAGTAGAAACAGAATTGTGCATAGTCTCCAAGTATCTCTGTACTACTTTTTATGACTCTTCTTTAACTTCAAAACTATTTCTAAATAAAAATTAAAATATAATAAGGGAGAGAATACTTAGTGATGTGGAAAAATGTTTATGATCTATTACATTTTAAAAAGCCATTAGATTCCAATTTTATGCACCTACACACTTATACACACATGAACACACAACTAATTAAAAAAATTAAAATTTGATTTAAAATAGCTTAAACCAAAATGTAAGACATAGGTATCTCTTGGTGGTAGCATAGAGTGCAATAGTAGTGATTTCAGTTTTATAGCATCATTATTATTATTATTGCTTATCAAATATTTTCTAAAATTTTCTATCATGACCATGCGTTCATATTAGAATAAAAAATATATTTAAAACATTCCTGGAGGATATGTTTCATGCTTCATATTCTGCATTGTGTTGAAAACAATAGTGGGTGCTGTCAAAGTGAATTGTTGAATTGAAGCAGTGCCTTGTTATTTTCTTTTGCAAAATAGATCATCATCCACCTAATTTATATTTGTATACAGAACCTATCTTAGTGCTTTGGATAAAATACTCAGTAATAGTTGAGTTATAAATATAGGTTTTGCTCTATTTAAGTTAGTATGAAGTTAAGAACATCTGGAAAAATAACATGTATAGCATCTGATAAATAGAAATCACAGAAAACATTTAGTGCTAAACATTATCCTAAGCACTTTACATATCTTAATTTATTCAATCCTTAGCACAACGCAGAGGGGCAAGGATAGTACTATTACCCTCATTTTACAGATGAAGAAACCAGGGCACAGAGATTAAGTAATTTGCACAAGGTAACACAGCTATAGCAAGTGGCAAGCAGTGATATAAAGCACTTCTACATTTATTGTTATTTAACTTCTCACAGCAACTCATTGAGTTAGGTGTCTTTATCTCCAATTGTCAGATGAAGAAACTGAAGCTCAGAGAAGTAAGTGACTGGCCTAACTGAAAGTGTCAGGGCTGGGACACTTGACCTCAAAACCCTTGCTGTTTCAGCTATAACATGATGCCTCATGCATTAACATGAAGTGGGCAAACCAAAACAGGATATTACCAGAGAGCTGTCAAGACACATCTCCAGTGGAGAACTCCACATGTGGATTAGTTCTTTCCCAAGTCTGCTTAAATTTCACACCATCCACCTACATGTTTTTTTTTTTTTTTTCCCTACCAGCTGAGAATGGTGACATTTCTTCTTCTCTGGTCTAAATCAGAAAAACTTGCAGCACTACAACCACCAGAGAAGGTATATATTAGCTTACAGAGGTTTTTTTCCCCCTCTTCCTTAATTTAAAGAGGCAGAAAAAAAAAGAAAGATACAATCCTGCTTCCATTCCTGTCTGTGAGAAAGTGACTGTGGGCATTCTCAGGCAAAAAATAAAGTAACTTCATTTTTAGAGTAAATGCCCTGTTGACAAGTTGGCAGGGCTGCCTTGTTTGGAAAAGAATGTGCAGAAAACTCAAAGGATAATTAGTGTGTGGTAGCCTAACAGCATGCAGCAGGGCTGTAACGTGTCTGGCAGAGGCAGATGTGGCCACACAGTTCATTAACGCTGTAAAGTTTGTTTAATTCCAGTTGGGGTAATTAGAGAAGGCTCTAGAACCTGCCTAGAGCTCCAAAATAGACTCTGATCTCAGCAGCAGTGGGGTGGATCTAAGCCACCACAGTGGGCCCCAGGAGATCAGAAGATTAGAATTCCTCACAAACCCATTTGCTTTTCTTTGACAATCATCTCTGCATTGGCCATGATGACAGAGGGGAGGAACAGCATGATGGTCACAATAAAGGAGAATTTTTAAACTGGCTTTAAAATGCACGCTATGATGATTCCATTATTTAGCTTATCTCTTAACTTATATTTTGCTTAAGTGTCCATTAAAATCACAGGAGTTTCTCATTTTTATAGAGTGAATAAATTTTAGTAAAATTGTTTATGAAGTAATTTTTCTATTAATGTAGTTTTGTCTTTCTAACAATTTCTTTTAAGAAAATTAAAGCTGTTCCATTGGAGAAAAAAATTAGCTAGGTAATATTGGATGTTTTGTTTATAAAAATGCTTGATAGGCCTTTGAGAATTGTATCACTTTTCTGATTTTTCTCCTATCCTTACTTTCTTTTTTCTCCCTTCTTTTCATATTGCTCTTCCTCAGACCATGGAAATCACACCTGTGCCCAAGATTCTCTGTCTCCACATTCACAACTCTTGAAATTCAGCTCTGATAGATCTCTTTCTGCTTGTGTATTTATACTGCCCAACAGAGCTAGGATGCACTATTACACATAGCGAATAGATGCCGCTTTAAAATATGAAGGAGCCCCGACTTGATGTATCCACTTAGTAATTCTCTCGTGCAAATGAGTATTGCATTTTATAAGTTCATTGGACCTGAAAAATCTATCACATGAATTTGTTTATAATGCTACACTTGCAGTGTATACTTTCTGATCCTAGCAACTGATGTGAGGGAAGCAATCCAGCTATGCTGAGCAAATAGGGAAAGCTGAGCTGCTGCTAGATATTTTTCAAAAGTTTTCCTCTATGTGGTTAACTGGCCAATAGAAAACCAAGTGGCTTTGAGTCTTTTTAAAAAAAATAAATAAGAACAGATTTTTTTTTCTAGGTTACATGTGTAGTCTGTCAGAGAACACAACTATTTGCCAAATTCCTATAGCCCCTGTCTTTAGCAGAAGAAAGAGAACATGTGTGGCTTTTGTTTATAGCTGTAGGTCAGTGTGGTGTGTCACTGATCTGATCAATGCTACCATGTACCCTGGGCATGACTCCAGCCTCCCAGCAAAGGATTGCTGTATCTTTCCAGGATTTGCATTGAGACATTACGTATGTTTTCTGTCTCTCTTTTTACCTGTCTTTTCCTGACTGCCTAGGAGGGGTAAACTTGCTTCACTTACCCATCCATCACCCATTTGGACTCCCACATCTATTTTTCTATGGAGTAAGGCAAAAATAATTGTGAGACTTCTCTCCTACCACTTTAGAGGAGTGGTGACCAACATCCCCAACAGAAAGCTTATTGTTGGTACCATGCCCAGTCCGGCTTCTTATCCCTGGTGAAACTGAGTAGTTCAATGAGAACAAGATATTACCCAAAGCCAGCTCCATTCAGCAAATGGTGTAGGCTTGCTGGCTTTGTTTCCTCAGCTCTGGAGTTCATCACACCATAAACCACAGGGACTTTGTAGGCATGTTATTGTATTAGCACCATACGGAGACTACTCATGGAACTCACATGCAGAGTGTGTGATGTCAGAGAAGTTGACACGAATCCAAATTTTGTGCAGCTGTTAGACACAGATGTTTCATTTCATTTTTTATGTCAGCACCATCCCAATAAATCCACTGATCGTGAGATTAAAAAGTAAAGAAAGCTCTGTGTGCTTACACATGTTTCAGAGCCAGGAAGCTCTATACCACTTATATGCAGATGTACACTCACTACCAGGGGTCACATCAGGCTATGGCTCTCATACTCATAGAAGGACAAACATAGCTGTGGAAATCAATAGGAAAGCAAATGCAAAAGGACAGTAGCCTTCACTCAAATCAGAAACTATTATCTAGAATCAGATGCACTCTTTGCAATAGGTGCCTGCAAAGGAAAATTTCAGGGTGGACATCACAGTTTCTTCAGAAGACATTTGATAAAAATCATTTATTAAAATGAATTGGCTTCTGAAAAGTCTTGGCTAATAAGTCTCCCTGACTCTACCTTACAAGGCTGTCTTGGGTTTGCCTTCATCGGGGCAAGATATATCACTGTCTTTTACCAGTAAAAGAAAACCTTCAAAGATTGCCACCCAAATAATACTCATATTCAAAAACAAATAGCTCTCAATGTTTCCCTGGATTTTAGAAGGCTACACACATGTTTTTAAATGCCTGGATTTTTAATTTATATGTATTTATGACTCCCCATAATATGACTAGATGTGTTATTTAAAAATAAATGCTGAGACTGGATTTTCTGTTCTTCATTTTGGATAGGTTGTGGTTCTTAATGACTTCATAAAGAAATAGAACTTTGGGGATAAAAAAAAGAGGGCAAGAATTCTCTGCTTTTCTGGACTGGTGTGGGCACACTTTCTGACCCCAAATTACGACTTTGTTTCAGGTTTTATTCTCCGTCTTTGCCTCATCCTTATCACCTCACTCCAGGGACTTTTACAGAGTCATCTTCTTGCATTGTGAGATGGCAGAGTAAAGCCTTGCACACATATTGCCCTGTCTGAAAGTGGCTCATGCACAAGAAACATGTGGAATTGTTTGTTTGACTTGTCTCCCCTCCCCATCATGTTTTGTTGTACTTTTTTTTTTTTAATCGGAGAAAACAAAACAAAACTACTCCAGCTTATCTTCTGAAGAAGATAGAAAACATTCAACTGCAATATGCTGTGAACATTTTAGGGCATGCTTCTCATTTCAGATGCATGGCGTGCCTAGCTACTTAAGACAGAAAATCCCCTGCTGTGTTCTCTAGGCAGGCACTAGAGCAGATTTTGTGAGATGCTGGACTCAGTTTAGACTCTGGCTCTTAATGCTCAGTCATTAAACTGCCATAGGAGATGTAACTCTATTTGGTATTTTGGGGAAGATCCACTATGTGGCTCCTCCCAGATTTGGTGGGGAGAAGAAATGGATTTCAATTTAGCAACAAGGGAAAAGTGTGCTTGACATGTGGCTTACTCAATTTGATTTGGAAGATATTGCTCTTTGAACAGAAAGTTACGCTCCATTGCACCATCAACTTCAAAGATTCTTTTTTTTGTTTTGTTTTGTTTTGTTTTGTTTTGAGACGGAGTCTTACTCTGTCACCCAGGTTGGAGTGCAATGGCTTGGTCTTGGCTCACTGCAACCTCCAACTCCCGGGTTTAAGCGATTCTCCCGCCTCAGCTACTCCCGAGTAGCTGGGACTACAGGCACGTGCCACCACACCCGGCTAGTTTTTGTATTTTTAGTAAAGATGAGGTTTCACTATGTTGGCCAGGCTGGTCTCAAACTCCTGACCTCGTGATCAGCCCATCTTGGC
The DNA here is from genome assembly GCF_000001405.40 of Homo sapiens. Taxonomy (NCBI): domain Eukaryota; kingdom Metazoa; phylum Chordata; class Mammalia; order Primates; family Hominidae; genus Homo; species Homo sapiens. The sequence continues at coordinate 156,764,658 of NC_000003.12, forward strand.
CTACCAAAGTGCTGGGATTACAGGTGTGAGCCACCGTGCCCTGCCAACTTCAAAGATTCTTGAAACTCTCTGGACCTGGTAAAAGATGCTAAAGGTCTCAGGGTCCCTTTTGAGTACAATGCTGGCCAGACTGTCATAACTCAGGGGAGGGAACTCATGTAACAGCCCATGCCTGACAAGAAACTGCTGGAAATTCTTACCTAGGAAAATCAGAAGGTTTGCATGGAGGCCTCATGACAATCATAACAATTACACAAATGCCTCAAGTCGTGAAAGCTAAACCTTGTGAAAGGTTCAGCTCTTGGTGAATGAGACTCTTTTGAATGTTTTTTTTAATCATTCTTTTTGTGACTCATGCCACTCAAGACTAAGCTGTCATCCTTCTATTAATAATCATATTGTTTTCCCTGTGATATATATCCATTTAATGAGTTCATGTAGGAATTTGCAGCATAAAACAAATCTTATAAAAAAGTTATATTCTTTATATATATATATATATATATATTTTTTTTTTTTTTTAATTTCCTTTTGAGACAGGGCATTCCTCTGTCACCCACGCTGGAATGCAGTGGTGCTATCTTGGCTCACTGCAACTTCTGCCTCCTGGGCTCAAGCAATCCTCCCACCTCAGCCTCCAGTGTAGCTGGGACTACAGGCACACACCACAATGCCCAGCTAATTTTTTGTATTTTATTTAGAGGGGAGTTTCACCATGTTGCTCAGGCTGGTCTCAGCTCCTGGGCTCAAGTAATAGGCCTGCCTCGGCCTCCCAAAGTATTAGGATTACAGGCGTGAGCCACGTGCCTGGCTGTACTCTTATATTATTGCTGTTTTCTATATCCCTCACTCTCAACACCTCATTCCCTGAAAAGATAACTCATCTTTGAGTTGAAAAAGAAATCCATTAACTCTTTCACTGCAGAAAATCCTCTAGACTGTTCCTACCAAGGTAATGAGAGACTTAATGATCAGATAGTCAAACACATGTGATGAGAATACATAAAATTTATAGGTGGACTAACCAAACTCCTTTTTGGCTTTATCCCAAATAGGCAGTTTATATGTCTGATAATCTAATTTACCAAGAAATATTTATTTCAAATATTTGATCATAATTTTTTGTTCTCTTATCCTTCCAGTATTTTAATTATGCATATATTACCCCTTTTGATATTGTCCACAGTTCTTCATTGTTCTGAGTTTTTGAGATTCTTCTTCCTCTTTGTGCTTCAATTTGGGAAGTTTCTATTTAAACTATGTTCAAATGCACTGATTCTTTTTTTTCTTCAGCTATGTCCAGTAGGTAAACCTGTTGAAGACATACTTCATTTTTATTACAGTTTTCCATTTCTAGTATTTCCTTTTGTTTCTTATATTAATAGTTTCTATCTCTCTGCTGACATTATCCATTTGGTGTTACATGCTGTTTATTTTTCCATTTGAGCCCATAACATAAATCAGTAATTTTAAATTCCTTGTGTGATAATTCCAATATCTGTGTCTTATCTGATTCTAGTTCTGATGATCTCTCTGTCCCTTCTTCTGGCTGTCCCTTTCTTATCTTTTAGTGTGCCTTGTGATTTTTTGTTGAGAGCCAGATATTATGTATTTCTTTCTTTTTTTTTTTTTTTTGAGATGGAGTCTCACTCTGTTGCCCAGGCTGGAGTGCAGTGGCACAATCTTGGCTCACTGCAACCTCCGCCTCCTGGGTTCAAGTGATTCTCCTGCCTCAGCTTCCTGAGTAGCTGGGATTACAGGCACATGCCACCATGCCCAGCTAACTTTTGTATTTTTAGTAGAGTCGGGGTTTCACCATGTTGGTCAGGCTGGTCTCGAACTCCTGACCTTGTGATCCTCCCGCCTCGGCCTCCCAAAGTGCTGGGATTACAGGCATGAGTCATTGCACCCAATCAATATTATGTATTTCTAATAGGTACTGAAGTAAACAGGCCTTTGGTGTGAGGATTTATGTTAATCTGGCCTGGAGTTGGGTTGTGTTTAATTATTGTTGTAGCTGTAAGTTCCAGAGGCTTCAAATTCCTCTAGTGTCCTTGTTTTTTTCCTCTCTCTTGCCTTTGTGGTTCCCTTTGTATTGCCACTCAGAAAGAGTCTAGATCATGCAGTTCTTTCAACTGTAATCCATTGAAAGTATATTGATATGGTGGTAAAGTATGGAGGAGGGGAGATGTTCTATAATCTTCTAATTAAGTCTCTCTCTTTCAGTGGGCCTATGTCTCAGGGCTGTGGCCTTCACAAGTGTTTCTGTCCCTCTTCCCTGATATAAGATCCCACATCACCCGACCCCTCCTTCTCCTACCATACTCTATTCCTAGTGCCCTACTATGTTTGTTTTGGTTTTCCTTTTGTTTCTTTTAGGTTAGACAGGAAGGCTAGTAAGTGGAGTAGGGTGACAATCCACTCCACCAGGTGGAATAAGGCTTCAGTATTGCCCTATACAGTAGTCTTCACTTATTTGTGGCTGATACCTTCCAAGAACCCCAGTGGATGCCTAAAACCTCAGATAGTACTGAACTCTACATATGCTATGTTTTTTTTTCCTATGCACCTGTGGTAAAGTTTAATTTCTGCATTAGGCACAGTAAGAGATTAACAATAACTAATAATGAAATAGAAAAATTATAATGACATACTGTAATAAAAGTTATGTGAATGTGATTTCTCTCTGAAAATATCTTTACAGTATAGTATAGTGTACTATACTATACTATACTATACTATACTATACTATACTATACTATACTATACTATACTACAGGTAACAAACCATGAAAAGCAAAACTATGGATAAGTGGGGGGAGACTATTGTAGTACAGACTTTACCCTTGGAGAGTAGGCTTTTGTTATAGAGAAGAATCTGGGAGGGTTACACTATTGTTACTCTTTCCATCTCCCTTCCAGGGCCACAAGGGGGGTTTTCTTAGCTCCTTACCCTGAGAACCTGGTGGGATTCCGAGGGAGAAAGACCTCAAAATTGTGGGAAGAAGTATTTAATACCCCTATGATTGTGGATAATGTGTTCTCACTGTCACATTAGTCCACACTCAACTTATAGTAATTCTTCACATTTACCAGTGAAGTAAATGTTGCCACTCTTATTCCTCCAGTGGCTTCTGCTGTATCTCTCTGGATGCACCTGTCTCCAGATCTCAGGGTGTGGTTTACTCTGAAAGTTCAGTTCTCTCATAGATCCAAAAAAGTCATTCATTTTTAGTTTGTCCAGCTTTCTCGTAGGGATGGGAATGGTGACTTCCAAGCTTTTTACACACATCAAAAACAAAATTACCACAGATTTAGTTATAGATCTAATTGCCTCTTATTTTCAACTCATGAATTTGGGCATCCTCCAATTCTACAAAAATAGAACAATAGCTCACCCTGGGCAATAATAGAACAGTGGGTTTTGTAAAGTGGGGACAAGGAAACAGAACAACAGAAAATAAAAAACCTGACTGAGCCCATACCTGTAATCCCAGCACTTGGGAGGCCAAGGTGGGAGGATCACTTGAGGCCAGGAGTTCAAGACCAGCCTGGGCAACATAGTGAGACCTCATCTCTACAAAAATAAAAATAAATAAGCCAGGCATAGTGGCATGTACCTGTGGTCCTAGCTACTCAGGAGGCTGAGGTGGGAGGGTGACTTGAGCCCAGGAATTCGAGGCTGTAGTGAGTTATGGTCATGCCGCTACACTCCAGCCTAGGTGACAGAGCCAGACTCTGTCTATAAAAATAAAAATATTAAAAGCTGATTGGTTAATGTCAGATTACTTTTTACGTAAGAGTTAAAGCAGATGAGACTTCCTTAAGCTGACTCAGGTAGACTGGAGTCTCCTGTTTTCATGAAAAACTGGTCTGTTTTGTGATATGTCTGCTGCTGTAAAATTTCAATTTGTTTATGTGGCATTTAGCATGAGTGACTCCATTTTGATTTGGTCTGGTTTGTTGGAGCCTAATATGGGATCTCAGTCCCAAACAATGGCCTCCATAATTTTTGTTTAACATGTCAGAATGGACACCAGAAATCTACAAACTAAAATAAAATCCCAGGCTGGGAATGGCGGCTCACACCTACAATCCCAGTACTTTGGGAGGCTGAGATCAGAGGATCGCTTGGGGCCAGGAGTTAAAAATCAGCCTGGGCCACATAGTGAGACCCCATCTCTACAAAAAAAGAAAAAAAATTGGCCTGGCTTGGTGGCATACACCTATAGTTCTAGCTACTCAGGAGGCTGAGGTGGGAGGATCCCTTGAGGTGGAAGGAGTTCAAGGCTGAAGTGAGCTATGATCATACCACTGCACTCTAGCCTAGGTGACAGAGTGAGACCCCCATCTCTAAAAAATAAAATGAAATCTTATTTTTTGCCTTTCAGATTGGCAAATATTAAGAATGATAATAATATTCAGTATTAGAGAGGGAGGGAAGAAATGGGCATTCTCATATTGTGCTAATATTGCCTTTCTTGAAGGCAATTTCACACTATCTGAGTTTAAAACGCACAACCCCTTTGACGCAGCACTTCCACTTGTCAGCTTGTAGGAATCCATTCTATAGACAAGCTCACATAAGTGTGAAAATATAGGTACAGGGTATTTACTAAATAATTGTCTATAATAGCAATACACTGGAAACGATCTAAAGTTCCATCAGTAGAAGAATGGTTAAAAAACAACTATGATTTATTTATTCTATGGCTATTGTACAGCACACTAATGAAGTAGATAGATTGATAAACAAAATGGTAACATGTTCATGATATATTGCTGTGTTAAAAATCAAGTTATAGAATAGCATGTAAATGTGATATTATCATGGTAAAAACAAAACAAGTACAATGTGTACATGTGGGATGAGGGTATCAGAAATAAGTATTTGTATCTCCTTAGAAAAATGTGTAGAAGTATAGACATTAAATTCTAGTGATTAATAGCTTCTCCTCTAGCAAAGAGGAGAAAACTTCCATTTTAAAGGAGATTAATACATTTTAAAACAAGTGTGTATTATTTTTGTAATTGAAAACATGCACACACAAATCAAACAGGTTCTATTCTTTGATTAAAGAGAAAGCCGTCTGGGAAAAGATGGCAATAGCCTTTGGTTCATGTTTCTAAGCAATTCTAGGAATCTAAAACAAGTTTTTTCTATCTGAGTAAAAGACCTCTTAGGAATTTAGCAGGGGAAGAAAGTCATTTCTCTGCCAGTGGAATGGGTTGGTGAATCTTGGCATGTGTAACAGTGAGGGCAGGGACTGTGTCTATTTTACATATCTTTGTCACTCTACTGTCTATACCATGTTGGACACCTAGCAGGGTCTCAGTATATACTGGTTGAATTAATTGTGTAAAAAAGTTACAATGTTTCTGTGACAAATTACTATACTATGTGCAATAGGGAAATCTGGCAAGCAGTTAATAGGAAGTTTCTGTGTTCTTAATGAGTATTCTAGAATTTAAGTACTGAAGTTACTAGCACCATAGCAATGTTGAAGAAATGAACCAGACCTAGAAAGAATGCTGCTCACTGACTGAGAATCTTTCTCAAACTGAAATAGCAATCAAATTGCCTGGGCAATTTTCTCTCTGCCAGCTCATAAAAAGGACCACAGACTCAGGAAACGACCTAAAAGTGTAACATTTTAGCTTTAATTTTTGCATTCAAAAAATAATGTAGCCAGTGGGGCCACAGTTAGGATTTCTTGGGGTTATCATAGGTTGTAGTGTTTGCCCACCAACTATTGAGATTAAAAGACAGAGAAGAGACCAGAATTTATTAAGCACCTCCTACCTACTCATTGAGGAACTAGGCACATCGTACCTAATCTGGTGACACTAGTCAATCAGTATATGGTACCTCACTAAATCTCACAACAAGATAGTGAAGTGTTGTCATCATCTTACAGATGAGGAAACTGGAAATTGGAGGACTTGGATAACTTGTCTCAGGACACACAGCCAGAAAGTGGCAGAGCTGGGATTTGAACCCAGATGGGCCTGGCTCCAAACGCCATGCTTGCCTCTCAGGCAAGCCAACCTGGACTGGTTGGCTTTGACATGCCTCACTTATCATATTAACATGAGAAATGTCCCTGTAGAAGACTCCTAAGGGCTTGGTTACAAAGAACTAATTAGACTGTTAGTTCTTTGTAATCCCATCTGTAAAACTAATCCAGAGATTTTACACCCATATGTAAGATCCCCACCCCATCTTTAACTTCTACAAGCCATGGGGAAATGACTCAGTGTTACTGAACAGGACTCTCAAAATGTTGAGTAAACACAGGTGTGCTGTATAATTCTCTGAACCCCTTCCAGGATGCAGACACCCCCATACTAAGACAAATCACAGTCTCAGTGAAGAACTGCTTACGAGGTCATCAGTGATACGGAGACGATCACTTGTTATAAACACCCTCATGGAATAAAGTTCTTCGTTTATTTTTCCATAATATTTGCTAACTCAGATGAAATGATTTTCATCTTTATTTTCACCACAGCAGAAAGTTAACATGCCAGAGTGCTGCAGCTTTCAGCATGTTTAGGCAACGTTTGAGTCCTTCTCTCATGTATCTTATGCCTGGGGTTTGGCCTGGCCTCCATTTAGAGTACATTAAATGCTACATCTATTTCCTTGACACACTCTCCTGGGCCTCTACATGTTGGAATGCCTCACATTTTCTCCTTCTGCTGCCTGCTTTTCTCTCCTCCCATGGCGTTATATATCTTTTACACACCAATCACATCCACTCTTATTTCTCCAGTCTTCATACCTCCAGTCAGATGTCCAACAGACATCTTTATATCTCCAGTCAGATATCCAACAGACATCTTTATATCTCCAGTCAGATATCCAACAGATATTTTTGTAACGGAGCTGCAAAGAATAATTCTTGATTCCTACCTTCATCTCAAACCTGTTCCTCCCTTGCACCCTGAATTTGGTTCTCTATCTCAGTAAACATCGCCACCAAACCTGAACATTTTCCTGGTTTCCTACCTTTCCCTCACCCCTATATCTAATTCTTCAGCAAGTTTGCAGGTTCTACCGCCAAAACATCTCAAATCCATCTACTTTATCTCATGATATTGCCAACATTAAGCCACTGATCTCTTGCCTCAACTACTCTAAGCTGGTCTTCTTGCTTCTATCTGTTTCCCATAAGGCAGCCAGAATGATAAATTTAAAACATAGGTAATATTGATCTTTTGCTTGAAATCACTCAATGTTTCCCAGTTGTATTTTACCAATGTTCTACAGGACTTGCATTATCTAGCTCCTACCAATCTCTACTCCCCCACCTCGTATGTCTCTTCTAACTTGCAGCCCCGCAGTCATGTTGTCCCCCTATTCTTTGAACATACCAAGGTTATTCTCCTTAGGGTTTCCCTTGCTGCTCCCCAGGTTTTCCCCCCAGACTTTCCATGGAGTCTTTCTCATTATTTAAGTCTAAGCACAAATGTTACTTCCTCAGTGGTTCTATGACCATCCTAAAGTAGTTATCCTTTACTTTATCAGTCTCTATCACTACATCCTGTTTTAGTTTCTTCGTAGCACTTATAGTTATTTAAAATTATTTTGTTCAGTTGTTTATTTACATGTTTATTGTATGCTTTCCTCTGTAGAATGACACCTCCATACGAACAGGGAGATTTTCTCTTTTATTCAGGACTGTATCTCCAGAGCTAATTTTTTAAAAACTGAAATAGCAGTAGACATTGCCTGGGCAATTTTCTCTCTCCCAGCCCACAGAATAGTAGATCACTGAATCGCAAAATAACCTAAAAGTATAAAATTTTAGTTTTCAGTTTTTTATTTTAAAAAATAGGGCCAGAATTAGGATTCTGAATCAGAAACAGACTAGCACATAGTAGGTGTTCAATAAAAGTTTGTTGACTGTGGAGTGCACAGTTGCTTGAACATGATTACAAAGAAGTGAAATGCTGCCCTTAACTAAACTGAGGCTATAATTATGATAAAAAGAACACTGTGATGATTTTAAGCAACACTCTAATTAAATGACAAATTCTGGCTTCTATTAAAAATTTGCATTACATTGTGTCATGACTTGTTGGATCACTGATCATATCAGCTGGACATTGTGAAATATTCTCCACTTGAATCCATCCAAAGAAGAATAGTATGGGGGAAATCTGCTTTCCTAATTGTGACTAGTTACCTTTACTGAGCATTCCTGTTTGATTTTCATCACTTCAGAGGTCTAACATAATTTCTAAAGTGCTGAGATGGCCAAATAAGGGCTGCCCTGATTTGTGACCTCCATCTCACCTTCAAAACAATCCCTCTCGTTAGTTAAACTGGACCCTGGCAGTCTTGGCTTCCAGCCAATGAGTCAGTAGTAAAGAGGGCTGATTGCCTTTGAACAGCACTATTCTTCAGCAGAGGTCCATGATGAGGACCCTGATCCCTTTTGTGGGTAGTAGCATCATTTTGCTCCTTCTCTTTCTCCTTTCAAACAGTAATATATTATTTATTCTCATCACTACTTACAAACGTTGTCTGAAAGCAAAGATGCAGAATGCCAACACTCAATAGAAGCTTGAGGTTTCCTTTTGCCTCCTAAGGAGAACTTCTAAATAGAGGCATTTTATAAACAGCTTGCATGTTCTTTTAGAGAGGAAATTGGAGGAACTGGCTGGCTGAATGAATATGAAACATAGGGCTGTATGAAAGCTTTTTCGTCTGATAAATTGTGGGTGAACCTGAAGGAGCAGAGGAGACAGTAATTCTTTTATTATCTGCAAACTGAGCCAGAGACATGTCAAATGGCCTAGAGTATCTTCTTCAAACTGAAGTGGATATTCTTTAACTCTAGGTTAGACAACAGCAACAATATAAAATTAAAAACAGTCTTGAGAAGTTGCAAGGAGGGGTCATTCACTTCCATTAAATTAAACTGGGCAAAATTGTCTTTTGCAGGGTGTAAGAGATTTATTTCAGAAGTTTATGTCAACAAAGAGTGCAAAATGAGTTCAAGTCAGATTCCACATAGATTTGGAAGAAGGAGAACATACAAATCATAACGAATGAAGTAGGGAAAGGTTTCCTGAGAAGTCACAGCAGTTAAATTCTTTGGGTTATTTTTTCGTTTGATCTGGAGAAGGGAATGCAAGATGACTTACACCTGCAAGGGAGTTAGGCTACGCTGTTTGTTCTTGAGACTCAGGAAAGTCAAAATCTCATTTGAGCTTAGTTGAGGTTTGAGTATTTTTTAGGACTAAAACATGTAAAGTCATGGAAATTCAGAGTTAGGGAGGTCCTTGGGGATCTTCTACTCAATTTATAGATGAGGAAACAGGTCTAGAAAGGTCTATGTCCCAAAGCTAAAAGTGAAGTTCATTTTAGGCTTACACCACTCTCCTCTTAATCTCTCTCTCTTTTTTTTTTTTAAATCTACTTCTCTCCCTTCTTCAATTTGGAAATTCTAAGCCTATTTGAAACTATGTAGTAAGAAAACACCTTAGAAAAGGATAATGGGCTGGACTTCATGTCACAGTTGGAAACACATCTCCAATTGCCAAATGAAATACAATTAGGAAAACAAAGTGCAATAGAAGAACTTACTTCTACTTAAGACAAATTTTCATGAGTGCTTCTGTTTTATGTACCAAGGTATTCCTTTATTTTCCAGAGGTTACCAAATGAAGAGAGTAAAAAGAGCTTTCATATGATTTGACGATGGTAATTTAAGTTCTATTTTAATTTCTATTCCTCAAATCTATACCCCTCCACTCCCAAAGTCAAATGCCACCTATTTGGATTCTACCTCTGTGTACTCAAAGAGAAGCTGGAGACAATGAAAGTTCAAGCATGTAGACTGGCATCTGGAATACTTGGACATTGGCATCTTGATTTGCAAGTCATTAAGGAAATATTTTAAATTATTGTAAGTCAGATTATGTCACTGGCCTTCTAAAAACATGATGGCCTCAGAAGTATCCCCTAGACTTAGGCCTGCTATCACTGACATGAACTGAGAAACATAAAAATTTTTTTTTTTGTTTAAAAATAAACCTCATGCTCTATCCTTCTTTTAAGAAAAAAAATTGTAACTCTCTTTACAACCAAACAAGCACTTGTACAAAAAGTGCTCTCTTGAATTAATTATAGTAGTGAACATTGGAAACTATCTTAATATCCAATAATAAAGTGGTGATTAAGTAAGCCATGGCATATAACCTACATAAAATACATGCAAAGATCAAAAGGGATCATTATGGAAACTGCAGCAATATGGAAATGCTTACTTAATAATTACACATTAAGTATCTACTATATTATAGAACTCTTCTGGGTGATGGAAATAAAGGAGTACTTCAAATAGCTTGCGATATGCTAGAGGAATTAGACATGAATAAGCATTTCAGGAAGAAACGATGGTGAGGACAAAGGTGTGGGGGTGTATTCTGGAAGCTCTAATCCATTCAGTATGACTGGGATGAAAGAGGTAGGAGAGAGATGGAAAGGCAGGCAGGAGCCAAATTAAAGGGGCCTTGGAATTTATTCCGTATATAAAGAGTTGCCATTTTAAGTTTAAACAGGATATAATGCATGACTAATCTATGTATACAGTTATGTTTTCCTTAATTAATTGAATACATTCATATTCATATATTCATTAATTCATTTGTTCATTTAAGTCATATATTCATTAATTCATTTAATTTAAGGATCACTTACTGAGTTTGTACTCACTTTGATGAACACAGGTGATGTAAAAATAAATAAAATACGATTTCTATCTCTGAGCCCTAACAATCTAGTGTTAGGATACTGTCATCTAAGAAAATACTAATACAGTATGATAAGCACTTCAAAGGAGCCCTCTGCAAGGTGCACAGAAACAAATGCTTTGGCAGAGAGTGAACAAAATGGCTTAGATAGTCTTAATAGAGAATGATTATAAGTCTGGAAAACAAAAAACACATTAAAAATTTCAACAAAGAGTCCAGGGGCAGTGGCTCATGCCTGTAATCCCAGCACTTTGGGAGGCCGAGGCAGGTGGATCACAAGGTCAGGAGTTCAAGACCAGCCTGACCAACATGGTGAAACCCCGTCTCTACTAAAAATACAAAAAATTAGCCAGGCGTGGTGGCGGGTGCCTGTAGTCCCAGCTACTTGGGAGGCCGAGGCAGGAGAATGGCTTGAACCCGGGAGGCAGAGCTTGCAGTGAGCTGAGATCACACCACTGCACTCCAGCCTGGGTGACAGAGCGAGACTCCGTCTCAAAAAAAAAAAATTAGCCAGGTGTGGTAGCGTGTGCCTATAATCCCAGCTACTTGGGAGGCTGAGGCAGAGAATTGCTTGAACCTGGGAGGTGGAGGTTGCAGTGAGCCAAGATTGCACCAATGTACTCCAGCCTGGGCAACAGAGCGAGACTGTCTCAAAAAAAAAAAAAAAATTCAACCAAGAAAATTTAATATAGGGAATTGGTTAACCAGGTCTGGAGAACTAAAAAGGCACAATGGGCACACTGAGGTTTCACAGAGGCAGTAACTTGAGGAAGCAGCTGCATCCCCCTAGGTCTGAGTAAGCAAAAGGAAGAGATTGGGGTTATCTGAATTTAGAAGCTTGAAGACATCCTCATAGACATAAGACTCAGACCTCAGGGAAGGGGACATTAGCTGGTAGTGCTTGTGTTTCTGAGGAAGGTGGGATGAAACCTGGTTATGAGAGTGCCAAGAAGCTGGATACTGGAAACAGCGGCTGCTGTCAGGATGAAGGGTCATTAGTGGGTAACATGGACAGGAACAGCAAGCAAATAGAAAGGAACGAGTCCCTTCATCCTCTCTTGCCTCATGGTCTTTCTTTAGTGTCCCACACAGACAGAAACCAAAAGGAATTCTGCTGGCAAAAGAGAAAGGTGGTTTGCATAGTCCCAACCCCAGCATCACAAAACAAGGTAGACAAAGGTGGGTTTGGAGATGACAGAAAATAGCTTAATCTCTAGCACAAGAGTTTAAAATCTTTTAAAGTGAGGAGGCTGGCTTAAGGAAGGGCATTTCAGGCAGAAGGGAACCACATGTGCAAAGACATGATGCCATCCAAGTGCTTGGTGCTCTTGGGAATTACATGTACTGAAAGCAGTTGTAGCTGGAATACGAAATAAATTGGGGAACTATCGAGAAGTACAATTGAAACTATAGAAAGGGACCTTGTGTTCTGAGGGGCAGGGAATTCCATGTTAAGAGGAAAGCAGGATAATATTTTTAAAAATCTCATTGTATTTTTCCTTTTCAGTAATTTCAGGAGTTTTTTCAACCTTACAGCCATTAAAAACAGATAGATTCTGAGGCTTTTTATCATAGAAAAGCAAAGTACTATATTTGATACAGCATAGAACAAAGAGGTCATTGCTTAGATTTTTGAATTTCAAAACAGTTTTTTAAGTCTCTAGGGATACAAAATATCCCAAGGGCAAGCTCTTTTGGCTTGCAGAAGTCTGACTTTTTGAGACAGAAAGATTGATTCAAACTCCAAAGTTTTATCAAGAGGAGAAATGAAAACCAAAGTTTATTCTCAGTATCCAGAGTAGGGATACACAGGATAGGATATAAGGTAAGTTTCTTTCTCACAGGACAAAAGAAAAGCCTTCAGCAGCTGAGGAGGAACCAACCACAATGTAAAATTCTAGTGTTGTCACTGTGTTCATTTCTGCACTCCACCTCTGGGCTAAACCTGGTTGGGTTGAAGGAGTGTGTATAAGGATGTGAAAACATCCTAAGACATTTAGCAAGAAATCCCAGAACAAAAAGTGTATTCCTCAATCCCCCAGCTGCAGCCTGTTCGAAATACCTGCTCCTCAGAGAAGCCCTGTGTTGACATGGTGTCACAATGGTACCTTAAGATGGGTATAGGTAGTGGATCACAAGACAACATACGCATTTTAGAATCAGTCTGCTGATTTTAAATGAATATCCTATTTGGATTTTTACTAGAATTGCATTGAATCCATTCAATCTCAACCCACTTCATTCTGGCTTCAGTTGCCAGGATGCCACTGAAATTGATCTTGTCAAAATCACCAAAAATCCCCAAAAAAGCCATATCAAATGCAGTGGCTTTTTCTTCATTCTCATTTTACTTGACCTCTTAATAATATGCAACACAGATGAGAATGGTCTCCTTTTTTTGACTAATTTCATGCTCAGGGCTGGGGAAACATCACACTGTCTTGATTTTCTTCCTAACCCACTGAACTCTTCTCAGTTTTTATAGCTGGCTCCTTCACTTCTGCCTGATATCTGAAATTTGGGGTACCATATGACCTGGTTTTCAATTTTTTTGTCAACTTCACTTTTGCCTTAGTTGTTCTCTTCTGGTCCCATGGTTTTAAATGTTACTATGTGCTAATGACTCCCAAATACACACACACACACACACACACGCACACACACACACACACACACTGATCTGAACTTCAGACTCATATATCCAATTGCATACCTCACATTTCCAGTTGGGCTTTTCTTTGCAAACTTAATGTACATTAAAAATAATTCCTAGGTGGGAGGATCATTTGAGCCCAGGGATTAGAGGCTACAGTGAGGTAGGATTGTGCCACTGCACTCCAGCCTGAGTGACAGAGCAAAACCTCATCTCTAAGGAACTCTTGAGTTCTGCTCTAAAGAATTGATTTTCTCCCAGTCTAAGTAAATAACTCTATCATACACCCAGTTTCTTAATCCCAAAAAACTAAGATCCAAATCAATTTGGAGCCTCCCCTTTCTCTTATCCTCTGCATCTAATCCATTAGCAAGTTGTAGGTGCTACCTCCAAAATATATTACGAATCCATCTTTTTTTTTTTTTTTTGAGAAGGAGTCTCGCTCTGTTGTTGCCCAGGCTGGAGTGCAGTGGCGCCATCTCTGCTCACTGCAACCTCTGCCACTCGGGTTCAAGCACTTCTCCTGCCTCAGCCTCCTGAGTAGCTGGGATTACAGGCATGTGCCACCACGCCCGGCTAATTTTTTGTATTTTTAGTAGAGACGGGGTTTCACTGTGTTAGCCAGGATGGTCTTGATCTCGTGACCTTGTGATCCGCCTGCCTTTGCCTCCCAAAGTGCCAGGATTACAGGCTTGAGCCACTGCACCTGGCCATGAATCCATCTTTACTCCATCTTCTCTGCCATTTATCCTCATCTAAGCTGAAATAGCTTCATAATTGATATCTCTGCTTCTGTTATTGCCTCACCATAATTTACTCTCCACTAGGTAGCCAGAATAACCTGAGTTAGAACAGAACATGTGCTACCTCTGCTTAAAATCTTCCAAAGGCTTCTTGTACTTAGATTGAAATCCAAACTCCACACTACGACCTACAAGGTCCTACTGAGCTGACCCCCACCTACCTCTTGGTTCCCTGCTCACCAAATCCATCCCCATTAGCCTCCTTTTACTTCCTCAAATATGCTAAGCTCTTTCCCATTTTTTAAAGGCCTTGGCATGTGCCCTTGGCTCACTGCAAGACTTTTATCTCCTCATCATTCTGCCATCAGCTCAAATAACCTCAGAGGGGCCTTTCTTACCTCCTAAAATAGTGCCACCCACCACAAAACATTTGAAATTATTTATTGGTTTACATGTTTATTTCTTAGCTTGGAATTAAGTTCTTTGAGGGCAGGGCCTTGTCTGTCTTAGTTATCACTGTATCCCTAGAACCTGGAATAAAGGCTGGCACCAAAGAGGTGCTCAATAAATATTTATCAAATGGATAAAAGCCTCTCTCAGAGGGAGTGTGTGCTGCGATAAAGAAAAAGAACAGCTGACTATGGCTTGTAGAGTGTCTTGCTTTTTATTTTTTTGTAAACCACTATGCAAAAATGGGCATGCAAATGGACCTGGTAGAGAAAGGGGCAAAGAAAAATGAAAACAACTGATGTTAGGAATAAATGTTAATGTCATTTCTTTCCACTATTGTTATTCTACTATTTGTTTAATAAATCAAATTAGTAGAGAAAATTAACTTTTCATTCATATATTGTCATATTGAAATGGGCTACAGTCAGCTTATAAAAACAGAGTATTTATGATTTTGGAAGAAGAAATAAAACCTCATCTGAGTGTTCCTTTTCACCTTGTCTGACAATCTAATTTATGTTCAAAACACTAAACTTACACATTTATTTAAAAATCTTAAATAATACTCCATCTCCACTGCTACCATAATTTAATTTATAAATACATATTTCATGTCTAATCTATTTTGAAGGAGAGATTTGAAAAATTCTCAATATTTATATTATTTTTCTCTTGGCTTTCATTATTGTTTTAGTAATATTTTATTTGGATGTATGAATGAAAATAGACCAGGGCTAATACTCTGCTTAACAAACAAAATGTATTGGAATAGTCAATAAATGATAATAAATATGTGCCCTACAGTTGGTTAGTGTCTAACCATCTAAAGTGGCCCTGCCAGTAGCCTACAGATTTACTGGCTATCTCAGAATATGACTTTCAACTGGGAGCCCCTCCTCTCTGCATAGTCCATTTTTATTTATATAGCCATCAAAATTTATTGCTGAGACTAGATTAAAATGCCACTTTGTATACTCAATAATCATCATTTTGCTTTTTCCATTTTTAGCTTACTAGAAAAAAAAATGCTTAAATGTTTAAATGTCTCCATATATGGAACTATAGAGTTTGTTTGTTTGTTTTCCTATGTGAAGTGTAATGATTTTCAGTGCCTCTCTGGGTACTTTTGGAGATGGCAACAAATCTAAGCCAAGAATCCACGAAAGGCCAAATTCTTCCTTGGTCCATTTGTCTTTGGACAATTTTAAGAACACTCTATCAGTTTCTCAATTTTGTTGATTAGCAATCAGCTGATTTGGCATTCTTGGTCCACTGGGCTTATCCCATCCCCAAAAGGTAGGCATTGTCATTCCCAGAAAAGTAGTGCTACAGGCATCATGGGCACCTGGGACCTCAGTGGCCCTCTGGCCTAATTTTTCTTTAGGAAGATGAAGAGCCTGAGATAGAAAAAGTTGATAGAAGTAGTCCAAGCACACACAACTCTCAGCTAGTTGATGGCAGGGACAATATTGAATCTGAGATTCCAAGCTCTTACTTTTTTTGCTTTTCTCTGTTATATCTTACTACATATTTTACTGCTATTGAAAACACAGACATTATCTTGTATGAATACATTAAATTGCTCTGTCCCAACCTTATCCACATTCACTGGGACAATCAGTAGAGTTCTTTGAGCATTTAATGTGATCTACTACATCTTTAGGCAGGGAAATTCATTACTAGCTCAGAAATACAAACTGGTGGTTTATTGGACATTGCTTATGAATCTGGGCTTCACCACTAATTGTGTGAATTAATTAACTGGTCAACTAATTCTCCAATATGAAATAAGTGGGTTGGATAAGCGGCCTATGATGTATTTCCCAGCTCTTGTACTCCCCAGCTCTTGTACTCAGAGTTTTTATGAACTATCATTGCGACTCCCAATTATCTTGTTGGTAGGTGCATTTGGAACACATAATAATCCTTTTAGGTCTCGATTAAATGAGATCATGTTTTTTTAGTGGCTTAGCCAGTTTTGCTTCCTTATTTTTCCCATGTTGCTTTCAGTGCTTAGTACCCTAACCCTCTAATACTGTTTTTTTCCTCCAAATTACCACTAAATATATGGTGACCTGTCATTCTGTTCTGGCTAGTCTGGTCATTTTGTTTTGGGTCAGGGAGAGGTCTATTGCTAAAATCAGTAGAGAAGAAAATCTCCCAGGGGTACTCTACAGCATCCCAGGGACCAAGTCAACGGTTGTCAGACTTAGGACAATCAATATGCCTCTGGTTAAACTAGGTGTTGGTGCCTGGTCCTAAGGCCCTATGAATCCTTATGGGGAAACTGATTTCAGAACTTAAATAGATGCTTAGGACAGATCCTCTTTCTTGGAGCTTTTGAGTAGAGTCACACAAGGTGGGCCACAGACAGAAGAGAGCATCAGAAACTCAGAGGCATGATGTGTAAAGGCTTAAAACAGAAGCAATGAGGTAGGAGAAGACATGAAGTGGAGAAAAGTTACAAAAGGAAGCAAAATAAGGAAGATAAGAGAATGGCTGAGTCACAGTAATTGTACAGTCACTAGATAGATAAACAAACCTGAGGTGATGTCCAGATGACCAGAGCTCTTGTCATACTGTGAGAGCTTCAGAACTATTATTATACCATGTTCTAGTTCTCTGTGAGACCGGGCCACCTACAAGAGTCTTCTTGTAGCTCCATAGTTTTCCATGTGTTTTTCTAACAATTTCTGTCTCCTCAAGTAACCTAAGTATGCTCTGTACCTTGCCAAGTAAAAGAGCCTAAGTAACACGGTATCTTTGTCAAGTCCACACCCTAAACTGTTGGAGTGCCTGCATATTGCATGGGAGTAAGCACGCATACAGTGAGCCAGCATGCAGTAAGCCTTCAGTAAAGTTTGCTGAATAAAGCTGAGGGGTGTGTGATTACTTTGGGAATGACTGAGTCCATGTTAGGCTGGCAAAGAGTATTTCTATATTTGGATCAAGGTGTACCCAAAGTTATCTGAAAACTTGCGGGCTGGAGCAAAAGTGAAGCTTTGTGAGTAAGTGAAGGAAGAAATAGTTTAAGTGCAACATTACCAAGAAGGGCCTCAACTCAAAATATTTTTGCCTCCAACTTGCCATACTGCCTAAAATATAGACACGATATTAACTCCTTCAATGGAAGGCACTGGCTATCTAAGTGCTCACTTATAAAGTATTTATGTTCAGAGACAGGAGTAACACGTAAAACTTATCATATTTCATATCTTAGTGTGCATTCATTCAGCAAACGCATTTCTAGCAGATTTTTATCCTACGGACTGAGGAAATATGACTCTTGATGGTGTCAGGTCATGGAGTGTTGGAAGGTGGTACTTTTGGAGCATGGAGCACTGCTGAAAGAAATTAGGATGACCTAATTCTTGTGTGGAACAATATACATTCTGGTTACTCCTAGTGAAGGAAGAGGGAAGGAAACGGTAGGGATGTGAAATTCTTCCAGGCCTCATTCTAGATGACCCCAATTACCACATACAATACAAAAAGGGTAACAAGGATGATATGTGTTATATGACAAAGATTCTAGGTTTTGAAATAAGAAGATCTGAGCTTTATCCTCTACTGCTGTTTAATATATATGAAACTTAGGATTTCTGGGCTTCAGTTTCTTCATTTATAAAATGGGAGATAACAATATATCATTCTTCAGAGGGAGGTGGTAGAAACCATCTGAGAGAAATGGTGGTCAAATGATTTCAGTAATTGCAAACTGCATGTGTTGCAGTTCAGCCTGGAAGGAGCAGGGATATAAGAGTGACCTTAGTTGAGAGTAGGCCCTCCCTGCTGCTAAGGCTTCCTACCTCTCCTAGACCCAGGAAGAAGTACATGGATTCACTTTTCTCCCACCTCACATGACTATGGTGGTTACTCATCAAATCAAAGTAAATCTAGAGGTTTTTGCTGAGGAAAAGTTATGCTTTCTTTCCTGATAGAAAAGAGCACTGGCATTAAAGGCACTTGAGACATTTTTTTCCCCTCATCCTTTTCTCATCCTTTCTTTTCTAAATCTCTTCCAACAGATAGGTATAGTAGTTACAAAGCTTTAGTTGCAAATTACAGAAAACCTGAATCAAGCTGGTTTTAAGTAATATTGGAAAGTTAATGGTTTATATTACTAAATGGTCCAGTGATACATTTTCAGGTAAAGCTTGATCCAGCAGCAAAATGATGGCATCTAGGGCCTGGTTTCTTCCAATTGTTTCTCTGTTCTGTTCTTCATAGTAATTACTTTATTTTAATGCTGCTACTCATCATGATCCTAAGATAACTGCCAATTGATTCAGTGCTCTTGTCTATCAGGAAAGAAAGCATAACTTCTTCCCAGCAAAAACCTCTAGATTTACTTTGATTGGATGAACTTAGGTTACACATTCCCTTGGAACAAATCTCTAGCTAGAGGAGATAATATATTGGAGAGTTTAACCTAAGGCACATTAGCCATTCTGGGGCTGAAGGTGGATTCAGTTGTCCTAAAACCCCATGGATCGCAAAACAGTTTATGGGCTGATAAAGTGAATGGGGAGAAATGGATACTGAGGAGGTGCCACTAACAAAGACCACTATTACAGGTTAGAAGAAGATGCCATCCTTATATGTAAAGCTGCAGTGTCCAAATGCTTACAGACTTTGTCATTTGAAAACTAGAGCACATATTGTTTAAACCAAATTTGGTGTGTCTACTGTAACAGAAATTGACTTTCATCAATACGCATGAAAAGCAATCATTAACCTTTGGATTTTGTGATTTTATAAAGCATAGAAATCTATACTTCTGTGCTCTCAGGAGGGAAGCTTTTTTGTTTATACATTTTGGCCATTTTCAACATGCTCTAAATTGAAATGGAGAATGTACTTTTTTTTTTCTTCTAGTGTAACATTGAATAAGTAACAGCACAATGCAGGAAGTCAGTCTAGCCACAGCAAATCTGTACTTGTTTTTGTGAGAGGATGGGAAGAATGAATATTTGCCCTGTGGCATCAATTTCCTGTTTAATGTTCTCCAAGAGGCATTTGGAAAATGCCCAGCAACACGGATGTACGTAAATGCCACACATAACTTGTTTTCGTGAGTGGAAAGAGGAGCCTATAAAATTATGACAAGTCTGGTTTACCCTCACCTCCTGAGAGTTGGTGAGTCACTCTACCTTTAACTTAATGATTTGGAGGATGGATTATTCCAGAGTTTGGCACTGGAAGAACAAGCAGTATAGGAATAGCATGGCTTTTGGCTTCTTAGCCCAAGTTCTTATTCATTTAAGGCTACTTTTATCCTAAAGTTTGCCATATTCCTGCTGGAAATTGCCAATAAGAAATGTATACGTGGCCGGGCGCGGTGGCTCACGCCTGTAATCCCAGCACTTCAGGAGGCCGAGGCGGGCGGATCACCCGGTCGGGAGATTGAGACCATCCTAGCTAACTCGGTGAAACCCCACCTCTACTAAAAATACAAAAAATTAGCCGGGCGTGGTGGCGGGAACCTGTAATCTCAGCTACTTCGGAGGCTGAGGCAGGAAAATGGCGTGAACCCGAGAGGCGGAGCTTGCAGTGAGCCGAGATCGCGCCACTCTACTCCAGCCTGGGCGACAGAGCGAGACTCCGTCTCAAAAAAACAAAAACAGAAAAGAAATGTATACGTACCAGGACAGCCTTTATAAAGCAAGCAAAGAAACAAAATCCCTTCCAAAACAGAACCTATCTTTAAGATTTGCAGACACAAATTTGTTTTCAAACCACAGAAAAACATATGTACATGCCACATAATATCTCTTAAGGCATGGGCAGATGTGCTCTTACCCCAGACCACTCACATACCAGTTTTGGACATCTTATTTAAAAGGTCATGATGTGGTTGAAGAATCAAAACCTATTTTTGTTCAACAACTAATCTCTAGGGTTACTATAGAATTTAAAACCTTGACTCCGAAAATTCAGATATAAAGAATCTGTCCTCTAACTTCCCTTTTGAGCTACCTCCTGACATAAAGATGAGAATAGTTATGATCTATTAAGCACCTAGTCTGAACAAGAAATATCTTTCTATATGTTAATGCTAATCCTTAAAATACCTCACAATTTGTTCCATATCCCCTCATCTTATAGATGAGGAAATTGGGACTTAAAGAACATAAGTAACAGTCTAAGGTCACTCTGGTAGCTAGTGGAGCTGCATTCAAGTCTAGATCTGTCTGGCCATAAAGCCCAAGCTCTTTTCTCAAATTTAGAAATTGTCAATCTAGAATTCCTAAATGGGCCTCAGAATATTCTCAAGAGCCTAAAATTCGGTGCAAATCTGTAAGTATATGTGTATATGCATTTTTCTGGGGAGAGGATCTAAAACTTGTATCAGGTTTATCAGCTATATTTACAGAGCCTATCACAGTCTTGAAGACAGTAGGCACATGATAAATATTTGTTCAATAAATAATATGGGTCTGTGACACTAAAATAGGTTAAGAACCATTGCTTTTATTATGTGTCCCAGTACTGCTGTAGCTTGTCCCATTATCTATGCTATGATTTAACAGATTTGAATTTCCAGTGCTACTGCCTTTGTTTTGGACACATACATTCATTCTTTTTTTAAAAAAAGAAGATTTAAAATTCAGAATCTAGCTGATATGCCACTTAAAACTATTTGATATTTATATTAAAAAATTAAAAACTTTTAGACAGTATTGTCCAAGGATGATTTTCCTTAAACAGATCACAACAGTGCAAAGGACTGCAAACTATTTAGACTAGCAGTACGGAATAGAAATATAATGTGAGTTCCAAATGCAAGCCACATTTGCAATTTTAAACTTTCTAGTAGTCACACTTTAAAAAGTAAAAAGAAACAGGTAAAATTAATTTTAATAATATATTTTATTTAAATCACTATATCCAAAATATTATCATTTCAACCTGCAAGCAATATCAAAGATTATTGAGTTATTCCACATTTTTTTTTTCATGCTAAGTCTTGGAAAGCCAGTGTACATTTTACATTCAATTCAGAAGGCTCCCTTCTTCATACTTGGTGGCCACATTGGCTCATGGCTGCCATACTGAACAGTGCACGTAGAGACTCAGGTGACTGAAAGAGGTGGACAAGGTTGATGAAGGCCGCAACGAAGTAGGAAGAAAGTGCAGCAGGTTTTGGCATGTGAGGAGACACTTCAGTGATCCAAAGTACAATGATGTTAGGTCAGGCCGCCAGCTCATATTGCCAAAATTGCAGCTTTGTAGATGATTATTAAGATGGGCCCAAGAAAACAGTATAACATTCAGCATTTCAGCAGAAGTCTTTTCCTATTTCCACAGTCACCTTTTCTTGGAAACAGACACGCACATGGGTGCACATGTAGGGGAAGATGTGATGCAGAGTGACTAAAGTTTCGCCTAGTAATTATAATAATTTTGTTCTTTTAACCACACCTCGAGCAAAGGATCTGTGAGGTGTTTATTTATTTATTTATTTATTTTTTGAGATGGAGTCTTGCTCTGTCGCCCGTTGCTGGAGTGCAACGGCGTGATCTCAGCTCACTGCAACCTCCGCCTCCTGGGTTCAAGCAATTCTCCTGCCTCAGCCTCCCGAGTAGCTGGGATTACAGGCGCCTGCCACCATGCCCGGCTAATTTTTGTATTTTTTAGTAGAGATGGGGTTTCACCATGGTGGTCAGGCTGGTCTCAAACTCCTCACCTCAGGTGATCCACCTGCCTCAGCCTCCCAGAGGGATCTGTGAGTTTTATTGTGTGGGGTTTAGGCAGTCTCTGGCCCCTTAGGAGAGAAAGGAGAAGTAGAGGTCCAGAGTTGCATTCCTCCATTTCACTGATAAAGGAAGGAGGCTACAGAGAGCCTGAGAGTATAGACTGCAAGACCAGACCATACCTTAAAAGAGCCCAGGAAATTCTGTTCCACACCCTGACCAAGCTTAACTCACAGATCCTGTAAGTGCTTTCTGAGGCCCCACAAAGGCTTATCCTGCTCTGTGCTGTGGCTTGCCTCTTCTGAGGCCAGACACATGGCACACTTAAAACACCTTCTGCTACCAGGCAGGGCAGTTGTGTTATCTTGAAACCCACTTTGTTGGGCCTCAGAAAGCACTTACAGGATCTGTGAGTTAAGCTTGGTCAGGGTGTGGAATTCCCTGGCCTTAAATTAAAAGCATTTATTTTAGACCGAATGGTAGATGTTTTAAACTTTAAAAGAAAAAAAAATATGAAGACCTATATACAACTTGAAGAAAACTGAGATACCATTTATGAGATACATCCAAATTATCAGAGAGTAGACTGGTGCGAGGTTCCACGTGAGTGGAAAAAATTTCTCCAACACCGTTACTCACCACCACTGTTACCAACACCATCACCAGCATTACTACTACCATAATTGTTACTATTATAGGCGGTCTTCCATATCCACAAGTGCCACATCCATGGTTTCAACCAACCACTGATGGAAAATATTTGAAAAATAAAAAATAACAATGCAACAATACAAGTAAAAAAATACAGTATAACAACTACTTACATAGCACTTACATTGTATTAGGCATTATAAGTAAACTAGAGATGATTTAAAGTATATGGGAGTATATGGGTCGATTATATGCAAACACTATATTATTTTACATAAGGGACTTGAGCATCGCAGATTTTGGTGTTGGGGAGGTGCTTCCTAGAACCAATTCCCTGTGGATACTGAGGGAAAATTGTACCACCATCATCACCACCACCAACATGCCTCTCCTTCCATTTATCTGCTCCATGTGGTTGGGAAAAGGACCTAGGAAAATAACATTTTGTGGGGAGCTTCTTTTGCACTTAGGGCTACATCTTCCCAGCAGGTTACAGGGTCATGGTGTGGTAGGAATTGGAAAGTGCAGCATCTGTAAACCAATCCACAACCCAAACAATTTTTTCCTATTCTATAATGATGAAAAGTCACTTGCTGAGCTACCATCGAACAGCAGAATAGAAAAGTCTAAGAAAGCAATTAACTAGCAGGGTGAAAATACAAGTCAGAGATGACTGCTGCTGAAACCCCATGGGGAGTAATGAGATAAGAATTCTTAGGACTTAATTCATAACAGAGACAGTCAGAGTGTGGAGGAGTGGATGGGTAGGCAATGACTCATGTTCCCTGCCCAGGGTACAACCTCAAAATAGTGAGACTGATCCTACAGGCATATATGAAAACCAGTCTCAGAACTGCACTCACTAGTCATGGATGATCTTTGTGCTGGTTAATTTCTAAGACTGCTTTTGTAACAGAGTGGTGCCCTGATCACAGCTAGTTTACAATCAGAAGCAGCTGAGGAGGCTGGTTCTTCAACATGTATGATCTTGAGCAAGCTTCCTAATTCTCTGAACCTGTGTCTTCATCTGCAAAATGAGAATAATTCAGTATAAATTAGAAAATGCATAGTTAATTACATAGAATCTTCAAAACATATTGGGAATGATGGTGATAATGTGGACCTTGTTTACTAGCAGAATGCTTGCCTTATCTCTATTCATCTCCTCTACATTCCTAGGAAATAGGTACTATTATTATCTCCATTTTACAAATGAGCAAGGTTACTAAAGCTCAGCAAGGTTAATGTCACATAGCTTGCAGAAAGATTTCTTCTACTATACAACTTGATCTCTTTAACATGTAAACTGTGTAATTTGCAATAGTTTGAAAATCAATGGAAGATGAAAATGATCCAAACCCCAAAAATAAATACATATGGGAAAAGTTACGATCTGGACCAACTGCATTCAAAGGAAATGCAGTTTTATTAGTTTCAAGGACATACAGTAACCAGAAAATGACTAACAAGTGCTGGCAGTTCGGGCCCAGACTTAGTAAATAGATAAAAATGATTAGCATATCTAAGAAGTTCTTGTCTTGCTTTCTATGATGGTTAATACTGACTGTCAACTTGATTGGATCGAAGGATGCAAAGTATTGATCCTAGATGTGTCTGTGAGGGTGTTGCCAAAGGAGATTAACATTTGGCAACAGTCAGTGGGCTGGGGAAGGCAGACCCACCATTAATCTGGTGGGCACAATCTAATCAGCTGCCACTGAATATAAAGCAGGCAGAAAAACGTGAAAATGCAAGACTGGCCTAGCCTTCTAGCCTGCATCTTTCTCCTGTGCTCGATGTTTCCTGCCCTCAAGCATGGGACTCCAAGTTCTTCAGTTTTAAGACTCGGACTGGCTCCCCTTGCTCCTCAAGCTTGCAGACAAGCCTATTGTGGGACTTCGTAATTGTGTAAGTTAATACTTACTAGACTACCCATTATATATATCCTATTAATTCTGTACCTCTAGGGAACCCTGACTAACATACCTTCATTTTGAATAGAGTGTTTTATAAATAAAAGAAAACTGAAGTGTTGGAAAACAAATTATTTTCTCTGGTAAGTAAATGTTTTTCAACTATTACTTAAAATGTTTATTTACTTATTAAGCATTTTTTTTACAGATAGCATAAAAGTACACTTCAATCCCTGCAGAAATAATAAAAAAATTAGAGATTAAAAATATCCAAATTGTTTTATTGTAAATGTTAAAATTTCTAACCAGCTTGTGTTTTAATTCTTTAAAATATAATGTTCTAAATAAATGTAAATTTCTAAAATGTTTTTCAAATCTCAGTTATCCAAACTTCACAAAAAAGATTTATTCTGGTATCAGCTATGTCCTTTGTTATTTTACAGAGTTTTTGAGAAATGCAATTTTTTTTGAAATTAAATACTTAGGTAATTTCTGAGTACTCTTTATAATAGAAAATGGAAAGACAGAGAAGAAAGTGTTCAGACTATAGGCTTTGACAACACTGGTGGTAAGTCTGCCCTCAGTCATGAACCCAAGACTTCCATTCACTTTGGTGTCCCAGACATGGCCCAACTTGGGTGTGGAATCTTTTAGCTATTGCTGTTAATCCATGTAAACTATCTCAGTGAAATGTGTTCTCTTTAAAAGTTAATCAATCATTGCAAAAGAACAATGAGTTTTTTTAAATTAGATATAGTGGGCCCAAACCATGCCAAATATTTTGTGGTTTTCTGGGAATACAGAAAAGGTAGTTATTGGTATTGAAATAAATGCAGATCTCAGTAAGTCCCAGCTGTTGAACATATGATCACTATTTGGGAGAACAAATAGCAATATTTTTTCCATCCCTGGAGTACATTCTGCTCTTGATATGCATGCATAACTACAATAAACAATTAATGGGAGTTACAGAGAAAGGAGACTAAAGGACTACATTTCTTTTCTGTTGCCTAAATGAAACTTCATTTGGTTGATATCTGTCTAGAGTTAGATTTCCATATGATATAAATGCTGCGTTAGTATTTTAATTCCATTTTGATAGGATGTCTTTCTTTAAAAAAGCCAACGAAACATCTGTAATAAATTTTTATTAGGTAGTACTTGTTTTTTATTACATATTTGTGGATATAACTAAATTTAATTCTAAACAAACAAGTACTAAGCACCTGCTTTATGACCAGCACTATAACCTGAGAAGCAAAGGAGAAGCACCAGGCACTGCCCTTGAAGAACATTAAGTTTGAGTAGACAGGTAAAACATGTTTATCCAAAATCACAGATATGTAGAGTTGGAAGGTACCTCAGAGGTAATACAATCTTGAGTTTGCATATTGAAATTCCAACACAGAGTTAACAGAAACAAGTGAAATATCCGAACAAGTTGAGCATCATATCATGTTGGTGTCTACACCTGATGTTAAGGGACAGCTGCTTTCTTTCTCAATGAGCTTT
Source organism: Homo sapiens (assembly GCF_000001405.40). Classification (NCBI taxonomy): domain Eukaryota; kingdom Metazoa; phylum Chordata; class Mammalia; order Primates; family Hominidae; genus Homo; species Homo sapiens. Next base: position 156,791,044 of record NC_000003.12, read on the forward strand.
CTGCCACCCCAAAATGTGGGTCTATTCTGATCTTTTTCAGAGTGTATATAATTCCAAGCTTTCCAAAATTTCTCAATTTTTAAACATTGTCAACTAATTTGAGTTTTACTAAGTCTGAATGAAACACATAGGTGGGCCTTATCCAACTAAGACAGAGCAGGAACCCTCTTAAGAGTCTGCTGGGCACCTCTCACCATGCGCTCCAAGCATGGAAATAAAGGAAAATCTTGAGTTCCTTCAAGGGAAATTCCAAGCACCTAGCGAGCCTCCAGAAGTAAATGAGCAATTTAGCCCTGGCGCAGTGGCTCACGCCTGTAATCCCAGCACTTTGGGAGGCCGAGGCGGGCGGATCACCTGAAATCAGGAGTTCAAGACCAGTCTGCCCCACATGGTGAAACTGTCTCTACTAAAAACACAAAAAATTAGCTGGGCATGGTGGCATGCACCTGTAGTCCCAGCTACTTGGGAGGCTGAGGCAGGAGAATTGCTTGAACCTGGGAGATGAAAGCTGCAGTGAGCCAAGATTGCGCCACTGCACTCCAGCCTGGGTGACAAAGCAAGACTGTCTTAACAAAAAAAAAAGGAAATGAGCAACTTGATAAGCAATAAGGTAACAGTAGCTTAAAACAACAGCCAAGAAAGTTATTCATTAGATGTTTGATTCCCTATAGAAACTAAAGATACTAATAACACCCTAACATATGTCCCTGAGTTATTTTTCAGAAACTTGGACACTATTAAATTGAAAATGCTGTCTGCTGACATGTAGACTTCAGATAAGGGGGAACTGAGGACTGAACTATGACCTCTGTTCTTTGTTCTAAATTTCTTTCTGAGGAGCCTGGAGGAAGTCACATCCACAGGCTCAACATTCCTTTCTGCGGGCTCCAAATTGTTAGACAAAGCTTCACCTTCTTAACCAAAAAAAATCAGAAAATCTTTGAATCTACCTATGACCAGTGGGCCCCTGCTTTGAGATGTCCGTCCTTTTTAGGTCAAACCAAAGTATAGCCTTTATGTGTTGATTCATGACTTTACTTAAAACCTCTGCCTTCCTGCCTTTAAAAACCCCTACATGCAAGCCATCGGGGAGTTCAGGTCTTAATCATGAGCTTCCCAATTCTCCCTGCTTGGCACCCTGCAATAAATGCCTTATTTTCTTTCACTGCAAATCTCAATGTCAGCGTTTGGCTTTGCTGCACCGGGCAGGCCAACCAAAGTTTGGCTCAGTAACACAATCTGTGGCCTGCCATTTTGCAACCTCTGGTCTGCAAATGAAAGGCCTAACCCCTTGATTTTACAGATGTTGAAAATGGTCTGTCCAAAGTCTGAAATTATTTGCCAGGACTCCCAGTCCAAAGCTTTTTTCACATAACTATATCCTCTCTCAACAAGAAAATAACTAGATGACTCAAAAAGAAAAACACTGTGTTATAAAGCAACATGTTAAAAATAAATTAAAGCACAAGATAATATAATGAAAACTACAGGGGTAAATCCTGTGGGGAAGAGAAGTAATATAATGCTCATGGCAGGAAGAATTTGAGAAGGCCTTTTTTTAAGTGGTATTTGAGCTAGATTTTGAAGAAAGTGACTAATAAAAATTGACAAAAAGAAAGAGTGAACGGAATTCAGTAGAAGAAAACACATGTCTAAGGATTGGCAAATAAATATGCAAGACATCACAGAGAATTTGTTGGCTTAATCGGAGAGTAAAAATTATGTCAGCATAATTCATTCAACAAATATTTATTGGGTTCTGCGTGTCAGGCACTGTTCTAGGTCTTAGGAATACAGCAGCCAGTAAGAAAGCCAAATTCTAGGCCCTTGTAGGCTATTTATTCTAGTGGCACAGATAGATAATAAGCAAGTGAAAAATAATATGAAGTACTATGAATAAAATACAACTAAGAAATGTGACAGTAGTGGCTGTACGTGTACAATATTAGACAGGATTGTCAGGGAAGGCCTCGCTGAGGAGATGGCATTTGGACTGAGTCCCAACAGAGGAGAAGTCATGCAATGACCCATGTGAAGAGCTCTCAAGGCAAGAGAGAAGCTAGCACACAGGGCCTGGCTAGGAAGGGACAGGAAGAACAGAGCATGGCTACAGCAGAGTGAGCTGTGGTGAAGATGGCAGGAAATGAGGTCAGAAAGACAGGCAGACACTTCTTAGGCCTGGGTAAAAAGTCTGGAATGAAATGAGGTTTCCTACAGGGAAGCAGTATAAGTTGATTATAAATGGAGAGTTTCCAACAAGAAAGTAGCATTATTTGATAAGAAAAGGAAGTAGATAATAGAGATCCTTGAATTGAAGCTGACGGAATATAGTCAATTTCTGGGAGATGCTATAGATTTCAGTGGGCAGAACAAGAATGAAAATGGTGAATGAGTCTCTTCTGTTTACTGAGTGCAGAATGGGTTGGGGTCAGGAGCTCTGGGTGAACCCTGGTGTAGATGCCCAGGTATAAGGGAGGATTATAATTCAGTCAGGAGTGGTGGAAATGAAGAGGAGGAAGTATCATAAACACTAAACAGAATGAATGGATATAAGTTGGAACAAATGAAATAAAAAAACTGTTGAGAGAAACATGCACGTTTCAGTGCTGGGAGGCCATTTTAGGAAGTGGCCTTAATGACTAAGATGAGAGAGAACTATCAAGATGTAAACTTTTAGGGAATCACAAGACATGTATTACAAGCAATTAGAAATATAAAATTAGAGGCCTTGGGGGTGACAGGTCAAGGCAGCAGAGAGGTTTGGAACTACTCTTTGTATCAATAAAAATGGAAGCTAACAAGAGGTTTAACTCCCAGAAGGTAATGGAAAGGAAGAGAAAGAAGTAAAAAAAAGAAAAAAATCCTAAATATATCCACAGCAAGGGTGAGAGTTCAGTGTCGCTAGGTGTTTATTCTGTTTTATTTTTTAAATTGGTCTGTTCAGTCAAGGAAAAAAGAACAAAGCCCCTTTGTGAACTCAGCGCTGGAAAAAAACAGCTTGCTGGAAACAGACAGCTATTATTTATCAATGTAATAAACACTAATATGTTTTATTGTAAGAAAGTGTTATTTGAAACAAAATTTAAAGACACTTAAAATTTACACTCAGTTGAATGGATTCTCTGTAATCTTTACTTACTATTGATGATTACTCAATGTCTGAATGTAAATTTGAGTCTTTTCCTGGATTCTCTAGCCTCCCTACACAGTCTAAGGCTGATAGTCCTGAACTTGAAGGCTCTGAGTTTACAAATCAAACTAAACAAAACTTCAGCCAGACTTAAAAAAACAAACAGCTCTTTACTTTAACCATAGAAAAGCATTAATTTTATCTTTCAACAAAAATAAAATTTGATAAGACCTTTAATAGTAGAGGAATAACTGTTTTAGCATAGCATAGAGCAGGAGATCATTTAAGGAACAAAACAGTTGATTGTTTTATAGGAAGACCCTTGACTATTGTCAGTTCCTCTTAAAAATAAGAATCAAAAGCCAGGCGTGGTGGCTCATGCCTGTAATCTCAGCACTTGAGGTCACGAGTTCGAGACCAGCCTGGGCAATGTGGAGAAACCCCATCTCTACAAATAATAATAATAAAAAAAAGCCAGGCATGGTGGTGTATTCCTGTAGCCCCAGCTACTTGGGAGTGTGAGGTGGAAGGATCCCTTGAGCCCAGGAGGTGGAGGCTGCAGTGAGCCAAGATCATGCCAGTGCACTCCAGCCTGGATGACAGAGTGAGTCCCTGTCTCAAAACAATAATAGTAAGAATCAGCACGGTAAAATGAGAATAGAGAAAAAGAGCAAGGACCAATTTTGCCATTCAAAATGCCACATGGTGCATTCCCTGAAAAAATTCTGAGAAAATTATACCATTCTGAAAAATTCTAAAGGAATTTCTCTGAACTGTTTTTAAAATGCTTCCACTTTTGTGTTTGTTTTTTGGGAAAATTACTAGTATTGTTTTTGTAACATTAAATATGTTCACCAGTGCTCATCATCAAGAATTAAAACAATACAAATCTGAACACGAAAAAAAATCTCACTTTTTACCACATATCATTAAGAGTATAAAAACTTATCCAACTGGATGCAGTAGCTCACACCTGTAATCCCAGCACTTTGGGAGGCCAAGGCAGGAGGATCACGAGGTCAAAAGATCAAGACTACCCTGGCCAACATAGTGAAACCCCGTCTCTACTAAAAACACAAAAATCAGCTGGGCATGGTGGCGTGTGCCTGTAGTCCCAGCTACTCAGGAGGCTGAGGCAGAATTGCTTGAACCTGAGAGGTGGAGGTTGTAGTGAGCTGAGATTGTGTCACTGCACTTCAGCCTGGCGACAGAATGAGACTCCATCTCAAAAACAAACAAAAAAAAACCGTATCCAGATTCTTTCTCCGCATATATGTAAATGAGAAGATAGGTAGACAGAAGGGTAAAAATGTAGTATGGAGATAGAGAAATACTTTAATGAAAGTTAGGTACTGTGTTGCTATTTTTGGTAAACTGTATTGCATTTCATTTGACCTGAATTTCAGTAGAAGAAAAGGCAAAAAATAAAGGAGGAAAAAGAAGGACTAAAATATCAGAAAACACAAAAAGCATTACAGTACTTTGGCCTGTGGTGCCATGCAATTATCTATGAGGTGTGCTAATGCTTTGATTTAGTAGACATTTATTGGCTTTATGTATGTTACGTTATGTATGTATGTACATGTTTAATACTTCATTTTGATATATTACCCTGATTAATCTATCATGTTTAACCCATTCAGTCATAATGTATAAAATGGCTTTCCATCAAGAGAACATATTTTCCATTGATATATGCTAAAAACTAAGAGAATGTAGTATAGGCAATCCTCTCTTTGCATAGTTCTGATATGCATGAATTTCAGTTACCACATTTTAATTAAATAATACTAGTCCTCCATTAACACAGCTCAAGTTTCAGTTACCATGGTATATTAACTGTAAGTAATCATATAAAGTACAAAGTTTGCTCCTAGCTCTTGACAAATCACTAAGTAAATAACAGACACATATCATGATCCATGACCAATTACATCACTTCCTTCAGAATAGTGTGTGATTGGTCACTGCACATCTGTTATTCAGTTTACCCCCAGAGAGCAAAGTGTACAGCTGTGTTGTCTTCTTGTCAACCAGTGATTAACCCCTGTAACATTTTCTAAAAATGGGTAATCAAAAAAGTGAACTGACTAACAAAGATGGAAGTACAGCAAAGAAATGAAAAGTGAAAGTGCTGGAAGTGAAATTTGAATCCAATGTAAATGGAGTTATAGAAGAAAATGCTGACTGTGGCAATGTTGACACTGCTGGGGTTTCAGAGCTTCTAGATATGCAGCCAGAGGAACTCATCAACATCAGTGAGTAAAGTGGTTGTGATGAAAAGGATGACAATGTCCCAGAGGAAGTGATTCCAGGAAGATATTTCACATTAAAGAAACTCTAGGAGGCCAGGCGTGGTGGCTCACGCCTGTAATCCTAGCACTTTGGGAGGCTGAGGTGGGTGGATCACCTGAGGTCAGGAGTTCGAGACCAGCCTGGCCAACATGATGAAACCCCATCTCTACTAAAAATACAAAAATTAGCCAGGCTTGGTGGTGGGTGCCTGTAATCCCAGCTACTCAGGAGGCTGAGGCAGGCAGAGGTTGCAGTGAGCCAAGATTGCAGCATTGCATTCCAGCCTGGGTGACAGAGCGAGACTCCATCTCAAAAAAAAAAAAAAAAAAAAAAAAGAAAGAAACTCTAGAAGATATTTCATGACATAAAAAATGCAAAGGATAAATTGTTGGAAGCTGATTTAAACCTAGAAAGGTACATAAAATTCGCCAAGGCATAGAAAAGATATGGTAAGTTATACAATGAGAAGAAGGCAAATACTATTGAAACTACTCTTGATGAGTTTTTTACAAAAAAGTAAAATACTTTGATCCTCAATGTTTCTAATGTTTTATAGTATATTAAATGTTAATTTTTACTATTTTTTCATTTCTTTACACATTTGTAATGACTGTAAGAGAGTTTTTAATGTTTTCTCAAAAATTTGTCAGGGACATGGAATAATCATGTCCCACTGATTATTAAGATCACTTCCCATGGCTTCTGCTTGCAGTCTTTTTCATGATCCTGTGCAAAAGTGAGGTCTGCCTATACCTAATTATATCATGCAAATTAGGACTTAAATATATTTTGTCTCCATTTCATGTATCTTGACTGCCTAACTAGATTTTTAAACTACTTAATTGCAGAAATAAGGCACCCTCTAACTTCCACATTGCCTACCTCACTTAGAACATCATTGAATATTTGCCAAGTGCTTAATTAGTACTTACTGATTCACTAATTATTATTATATTGAATGTTAGGGTGTTGATAGTGTGAAGTCATAATAATAAATGTTATTTTTTTCGTTAGAGTATAAACTTTACCCATTCTACTTTCCACTGTTAGGGCTATAAATATGACCTCTAGACTGTGCCCTGCTAGCTCCAGGGTGCACTGTTGCAAACAGTGGCCTGTGGATTTGCTTCATGTACAACCTTTATAATCCACAGGCAGCCCTGATGCACATTCCCAGAACCTAGAACAAAGGCACAGAATATTTGTTGATGAATTTAATTAATAATTACTGTGACTGCACTGCACATTACTTTATGCCAGATGTTTTATATACATTATCTCATTTTATCTTTACAATAATAATCCTATGACCCCAATTTTATAGATGAAAAAAGCTTAGCTCAGAGAGATTAAGTGACCCACCCAGGAAGGACATGTTAGAGCTGGAATACGAATCCAGGGCTGTCTTATTCTAATGTGTCTCAGCCACTACAGTGATGAAAAACTGACATCAGTGCCATCAAATGATGTGGAAATGGATTATACAGAAAGATGATGCAATTAAAAATCTCTTCAAATTCATTTTTTTTTAAATCACAGGCCTATTTTGACAAGGTGAGTACTTCTCATCAAATTTATGTTTGCATAATTTTCCATTTATAATTTCTCTTATGATATTTTTTAAAAAACTAATTCTCAAAAAGAATCACAAAAATGTATTTCTTATATTAGCCATAAGTGGGAAAATATGAGACATAAATGGTAAAAAATTATATTATGATTATTTAAGACAGCCTCTATATTTATAGGTCACTTTAAAAAGTTCTTCTGTTGTATCAAAGCATGTGTGAGTAACATCTGTTACATTTTCAAAAGTTCATGTTTTTTAAAAAGTTGGTTTTCTGCTTTGATATATCACTATACAAACACTTGATAGACACTTCTGGCTAATAAACTATTGATTGCAGGGGAGAAGTATCACTGTGGTACTATATAAACTATAAATATCTATTCATTTTAATTTCTTACCATAGTAACAGCACACCAGATCAACCACAGTAGGCTTTTCATGGGAAATGCCAGGTAGCACATGAAACTTGAAGAGGCCATCATGGACTATATAAGAGGCTGTGATGGAACTGGGTAAACCCACTATTACTAGAGGACTGTTATCACTGTCAACTTAGCAATGCCACTGCTTCACACTTGCTTTCTTTTACTTTGTATGTAATAAAATATGCTTTTGACTATTCTTCTCCCCAACAAACAGATGCATATATACTATTTGGTGGAAGTTTCCATTTGAATCCACTGCTGAACAGATATTGTGCCTTACTATCTAATTTCTGCCCCCCAGCCCCTTCCCCTTTCCTTTCTGAGGAGTCTATGTTAAAACTGCTTTTTAAAATCAGGATTTTATTCTTTGAATTTATTTCTTTGATATTTGTTCTACTTTTAGACTCCTGCTGTGTGCTATTCACAATGCCTTTTTCTGGTAGTTCACTTTGCCTTCCTTCAAACCTTCACAGTTGTCTTCCTTTTCTTTAAACAAGAAGATCAATTCATTTAGAAGATCAATTGCATTTAGTAGATGCTCATGTAATGTGGCACCTTGGCCTATATTTGGGACCTAAAATTATTATATCAATAGTGGTCAGTTAGTGGGGCTCTTCTGTTGACATTCTCTCTCTCAGATATCTCAGCCTCCTTGGGGCTTAAATCATATCACCTCTGTGCAGATTCAATCATTTAACAACTATTTATTGAATACTTACTATATGCCGGGCCTATAGATACGGTGGTGAAAAATAATCCTCTTACTTTCATTGAGCTTACATTTTCATGGGGAGGATATTAAACAAAAGAGTGAGTAAAAGAATAAGCAATATAAATTCTGATAGATAACTGCAACTGTAGGGGAGGAAAAAATTTTCCTCTACTCTTTTAGTTTCTGTACCTGAAAACTGTGAATTCACTGAAGAAAAGCATACACATTTTATTTGATGTTAATAGTGTGACATGGTATGGCAGCTTCACGAGAAAGACATGAAAATCCCAAAGAAGCAGTTGGACTCAGGGATTATATACCATATAAACAAAGGGCAATAAATTGTGGAAAAGAAACTAGACAAAGGAAAGGGGTTTTGGTTCATAGGGGTGGTAAACTACGGGAACATGACTAGGAAATATATGGGTGAAACTAATACAATTTAAGGGTCATTCTTAAATTTTATTCCTTGTGCACACTCATCTCAGTGTCAACGCCTCATCTCTGGTAACAAGAATGTTCTTTTCTTCCTGGTACCAGGAATATCAGGAAGACATTTTTTCTGGAAAAAAAAAAAAAAAAAAAAAAAAAAGGCAGAGAGCCTTTTGCATCTGCTGTCTCTCGATTACCTTTAGATCAAATGGTTAATATGTCAAAGCAGCTCTGATCCCATTCACTATGAAGGCAGTAAGTGGGTACTATGGTGGGGTGGGAATGCACTACTTTAAATAGGGTGATTAGGGATTAGGTTTTTAAGAAATGACATTTGCTCTGAGAACTGACGGCGATATGTTGGTCAGTCAGCCAAAATCCCAAGAAAGACATTTTCAGGAAGAGGAAGCAGTACTGCTACCCTGAGGTAGCAATGAGCTTGTCCTGTTTGAAGAACAGAAGAAGGTCAGGTGGCTAAAGAGGGGTAAGCAAGGGTGAGTGTGGAGGAGGTAAGGCCAAGGAATAGTCAGGGGCTGGATCCTGTGAGGCCACTGTGGGTCAGGGAAGGCACTTGGGTTTTATTCCAAACGTAATAAGAGGGGGCTCCTGAAGGATTTAAAGAGGAGATACATATAAGTCAATGTATATTTTTAAAAGTTTACTCAGAATATGTGTGTAAAATGGATTTTAGGAGGTAGGATAGTGTATTAGTCTGTTCTTACGCTGCTAATAAAGACATACCTGAGACTGGGTAATTTACAAAGAAAAAGAGGTTAAATGGACTCACAGTTCCACATGGCTGGGGAGGCCTCACAATCATGGCGGAAGGTGAAGGAAGAGCAAAGGCACGTCTTACATGGTGGCAGGCAAGAGAGCATGTGCAGGGGAACTCCCCTTTCTAAAACTATCAGATCTTGTGAGACTTATTCACTATCAGGAGAACGGCATGGGAAAAACCTGCCCCCATTACTCAATTACCTCCCACCCATCCTTCTCATGACATGTTGGGATTATGGGGGCTACAATTCAAGATGAGATCTGGGTGGGGACACAGCCAAACCATTTCAGGTAGTAAACATGGGAAGAACAGTTGAGAGCCGAATGGTGGCTTAGACGAGGTGACAGCAGTAGAAATGGGAAAAAGCAGATAGATTCAGAATATATTTTGGAAGTAGAATCACTATGACTGGCTGATGAAGTAGATATAGGAGAAAGAGGTAAGTAAGGAATTTTAAAAAGACTGTTAGGATTTGACTTGACTACTATGGTGTGTACTGAGAAGAGAAGACCGGGGAAGAACAGGTTGGGAGTGAAGAATGAGGAATTCTGTTTGAACATGTTCAGTGTGAGATGTCTATTAGATATCCCAGGGAGATGTCTACAGTAGAGCTTGGATTTCGGGGGAGGTTGGCATCTTGACCCTAGGTTTGAAGAGCAAACAGTTTAAGAAAAAAATAAAATATCTATCTTGAAATCAGACATGCTGGGTTCAGTAGCTCATGCCTGTAATCCCAGCACTTTGGGAGGCCGAGGCAGGCACCTCTTTGAGGTCAGGAGTTTGAGACCAGCCTGGCCAACATGGTGAAACGCTGTCTCTACTAACAATACAAAAATTAGCTGGGCATGGTGACGCAATCCTCCTGTAATCCCAGCTACTCGGGTGGCTAAGGCAGGAGTATCACTTGAACCCAGAAGGTGAAGGTTGCAGTGAGCTGAGATTGAGCTACTGCACTCCAGCCTGGGTGACAGAGTGAGACTCTGTCTCAAAAAAAAATAGATTATATCTTCACTAATTAATGTTTTGGTCAACTGCCACATTTTGGAAAACAAAATGACTGATGACAGTAGGTTGATACTACAGGGTACTTTTGACATTTGCTGTCAACTCAATGTAGACAGTATTTCTCAGAGTAGCATTTTCAAAGTGTGCATCTGGGAATGTTCCAAACAATTTCCCAATGGATTCTAAAGTTAGACTTACTGGATTTAAATCCCAACTCCATCACTTACTAACTTTGTGGCAAATTACTAGATTCTCCATGTCTCAGTTTCCATGTGTATAGAATGGAGATAATAGTGGCTTCGCAGGGTAGATTTCATCAGAGGCCTCTTAACAGTCTTATGTGGAAATTACATGGAGGGAGATACAAGAGCAATGAAGGTTATGTTGTCTATGGGTCCCAAAGCTGACTTAGGCCGGAGCTGGATTGGCCCAGGAGGAGTTGGTTAAGGTGCTCAATTCGGCAATATAAGAAGAACTGAGCCCTTTCTATGGCCTCCTCCATTTTGAGATGTACTATGAAGATAGTGAGGCCTGCTGCCAACTGAGGAGGATGTGGAACAATACCAGTCTTGGCCTTGGGCTATTAAGACTTGCCTTAAGAAAGAATGCATGTTTGTTGTTCAGACAGATACCCATAATGCAGTGGTTCTCAAACTTAAGTGTGCATTAGAATCCCCTGGAGGGCTTGTTAAAGCTGAGATTGCTGGACCCTACTCACAGAATTTTACATTGAGTAGGTGTTGGATGCAGCTGGAACAAATTTCCAGGTGATATTGATGCTCCAAGGACCACAATTTCAGAATCACTGCCCTAATGCATCTTAGAGACCTAGGAAGTTGGTGTGACTGACCTCATAATCTGTACCTGTCACAGGCAGGAGTTATCCATATTGGCAACAATGTTAACAATGAATACAAAATTCTCAAACTATGGGAAAATCCCACCTCTAAATATAAAGTCTCTCAGCTCGAGAGAGAAAATTCCTGGCTTCCAACATCAACTAGATCAGAAATACAGTTGATATAAAGTATATAAAAAAGGTAAGAAACTTCCCTAAAAAGCACCTTTCCCTGTGTTGTACACCATCTGAGGGCTTGGCTTCCCTAGCTGGGACCCCTGCATTCTACATAGGTTGCATTAACTATAGAAATTGGGACCAGACAGTAGCCTGACCAGAATTACAACCTCCATGCCTCATTTGAAATGGCACTTCCTCATGGAGATTTGTGTGATCTACCTTAAGAATTTCATCTGGGGCTTTCAATCATACCTCAGGTGGTCAAATTTGGCCCAGAAGAAAGAAAAGCCTGGGAGTTTCTCATAGTCCTAGTCCCAAAAGACTGTTTCATTTCTACTTTACAGGCAACTAAGAATAAGATAGTTTTTTTCTTTAATTCATTCTTTTTCTCCCTGTGTTGGTCTGTATGGGCTTCTATTGACAAAAATACCATAGACTAGCTGGCATATGAATAGTACAAATTTATTCCTTACAGTTTTGGAGGCTGGAAATCCCAGATCAGGGTGCTAACATGGTTGACTTCTGGTGAGGTCACTCTAGGCTGTAGACTGCTGACTTCTCATTGTATCCTCACATGGGAAAGAGCAGAGAGTAGCATGCTCTCTCATGGCCCTTATAAGGGCACTAATCCCATTCATGAGTGCTCTTACATCATGAGCTCATGTAATCTTTACTTCCCAAAGGCCTCACCTCCTAATACTGTCACACTGGGGAGTAAGGTTTCAAGATATAAATTTGGGGAGGGGAACACTTAGTCCATAATACTATCCTCCTATTTCCTGAAGGAAAGTTACTGTGCAGGTTTGTTCCATTTGGATCCTCTGGTCCTTAATCTTCCTATCAGAGCCTGTATTATATACTTTGGAGGCTTTCTTGATGTCTAATTGGCAGCTAAATCTCCTCTCTCATGCTGTCACAATCTCTTTGACTTTTTTTCTCCTCTCAAACATCCCTATTGCTGTTTTCCCTTTGCTTTCTGGAATTAATGGGTGGATTAGCAGTCAGGTCAAGCTAAATTATGCTGCAATAACAAGTGACCCTGATATTTTAGTGGTTTAAAACAAAAGTGTTTTTATTTACATTAATTCCTCATTATGTAAATAGCAGGTCATCTTCAATTTCATTCCATTCTACTTATTTTTTCCCTGTCATCCAAGCCATTAATAGTTTCTTTGGAATCCACAAATGATCTGAAGCCATCTTTAGTTGAAAAATCGAGAAAGGGAAGAAAGAGGTTAAACGGAGAAAAAAAAATGCTCCTCTCTTTTTAAGAAGCTTAAATTAATGGACTTCCTTATGTATCCACAAAACTATGCTTCAGAGGAAAAGTTCATCTGTCCTGCTCAGCATAGGCTAATGACATTACCATTTGTTGGTGGTCATTTTAGTCATTGATCCTGTTTGCTATGATTGTGTATAGATCTTGGGGTACTTTATGAACACTCTTAACTCCATTGTGTCCAGAAAGTACAAAGGCTTAAGGATGTTTGAAGAGTTATGAAGACTGTTTGAAGAGGATGCATATGCCTATGATGGAAACAAAAGTGGAGAGAATAAACATTTTAAGTGAAGAGAAAATGATGACAGTTGCATGTGTGTAAGGGATGAATTATTTCACAGAAGAAACAGTTTTGAAGGACAAAGAGAATCAGGAAGCAATTGAAGAGCCAGGCTTTTGCAATCAGGAGTAATCAGCAAGAGATGAGGCAAAGTGATTAGCAAAATGGAAAGCCTGGCACTAGGAGTTAGACAATCAGAATCAACACAGATGTCCTTTAGCCCATGTTAATTCGAAAGGCCAAGTGTTTGTTTGAGAACTTAAAGGCTAAATATGTTTGTGGTAGACCAAGGGCAGGCCTGCCTGCAAAATTAGTGGAAAACTACACCCTGCTGCCCAGGTGTAGATAAGGAGAGATTGCACCAGGCTAGGCACAGCAAGCATTTTCAAGATCTGGAATCTGAACATTAGCCTGAATGAAACAGCTTGCTGGGTAACCTTTTTGCCTCATATGGTAGCATAAGTTGTTTCTGGTTGCTAATGTGGCTGGAGGTATGAAAGATAGTAAGCCCACACTTCTGGGCTCCCCTGACCTCCAAGACATCTCATTCTCTCCAGTTGCCAAGACCATCAAATTTATGATGTCTCTGGAAAACAAAGGAGGCAATGGACAGCTGCATCTGCCTTACCTCATGTCTATCCTTTGTACTGCTTACATGCAGCCTTGGAAGTAAATAAAATAAAGCATCTCTGAACTGAACTCAAAATGTCATTCTTGCCCATTCTCTCACCTAGACCAGACTCTAGTCTGACTGTATAAGGTGAAAGTGCTGCCAGGGAAGCTCTTGCTAAAAGCCATGTGTGGTCCATTAGTTCAAGATCTAGCCCCATCTAAATTGTCAAATATGTGGTAAGTGTGGATATTATATCTGCTGAGGTCAAGGGATTACTACCTCAATAGATTTTCAATTCTCTATTTTGGTAGGAAAACAATGCCCAATAGAGAGAGAGAGTGTGTGTGAGTGTGTGTGTGTGTGTGTATTGTGTATAATCAGTAGAAAGAAAACAACTAATCTGACTTAAAAGGTTTAAGAACCATCTAATTCCTAATAGGTGGAAATCTGTTCATTTATTATAAGCTTAAACTTCTCTTAGTCACATTAGACAGTAACAATGTGTCCCAAATCCCACCTGCTTGGCTTCTTTTTCCCCTCTAAATGTCTCTCCCTAGGCACCTTTACAAACCTCCAGGGCTCCTTACAACACAGTGTGAACTGACCCACCTTATGCAATATTAGTAAATTATAGTCCAAACTGGAAACTTATGAATATGAAAGGGAGCGCTATTAGTAATCAGGCCACACACATAATGGGGACTGTCCTGGGAAAACTGGGATTATATTTGCCCTTATAGATATGATAATCCAAATGTTTGACTGTCCAAGGCTCCTTCCAATAAGACCCTGTTCAGTCAACAGCCCCTGTTAGAGAGGCAGCTCTAGGCTCATGGTGACCCTGAGCCACCACACTGGACTTTAGTTGAGGTGGTAATAACCAAAGTTGGTAATAAGCCTGGGCTAGTGACTTTGGGAGACCCTGAGGAGGCTGGGCTTGACATGACGAGCCTGGTCAAGCAGATTCTCTCTTTGATGAATAAAAAATACTAACTAAAAGCCGTCGGGGGGCCAGTGATTCTATTTTTTCTGCCTCCACACGATTCACATGTGGAACATACTCTCCCATTGTCAGTAATATCTGTCATTATACTGCAACAATTCTCAACTGCTAGGGAGTGGGGAGGGAAAATGGCAATACATGAATCTCCAGCTATTCTACCAAAACTACGAATGTACACACCCTTGACCAGGTAATTCCAACTCTAGAAATTTATCCTTCAGATATAATTGCACACTCGTAAAATGATGTATGTCAAAATTATTCATTGCAGTAATGTTTTACTAACAAAATGTTGGCCAAAAAAATCCCTAAATTTTGATCAACAGGGAACTGATTAAATTATGGTACATCTATAAAAATGTAAACAATAATTGTACTAAATGGAATGACCTTCAAGATATATTAAGTGAAAAAAGGTATTAAGAATGAAACATTTGGAGAGGAGATCCACTGATTCAGTATTATCATGGAAATCTGTTAGAACCAAAGGCATACCCATGTCTTTTGCATGCTCTCATAAGCTTTCTAGTAGCTTTGGTGTTTATTAAAAAAAATTCCACTCCAAGAACTCCAAAATATGTGGTTGACCTCTTTCTGTTATTTCTGTTGTTTGAACCTACTTATGCAGTGAACAGAATTACCGCCATGCACAACAGAGAATCAGTCCTCCACACTAAGGAGAAAAATGTATTGATTTGAGGATTAAAATATGTGCAACAGCACATATTTTATTCATTTATTTCCTTATGATTTAAAGCAATTGTCAAGAAGCCTATATGCTTTTAGAGTGGTGGCCTGCTTTAAATGCTGGTATGTATTCTATCATAATTCAAGTATGATTTGGAGGGTTCAACAGTATTTTAACTGAACTGAGAACATGTCAAAATACAACTATAATTGGGAAAACTTTTGGGGAGAGTTTTTTACTTCTAAGCAGAAATGGTTCAAATATGATAGTGTACAATTGCTTGTTTACTTTTATGAAATGCTTCTCTCTGGCCTATGATGTTCTGTTACAACTTTGTTATAACCATTGTTGTCTACACACACACGTGCACACTACTCCTCCTCCTCCTCCTCTCCCACTTCCTCCTCCTCCTCCTCCTCCTACTACTTCTTCAGACATTTCTAAGATAATTTTTCTCCCCTAGGGGAAGATAAGACTTAAATGTTAAAAGGGGAATGAAAGATCATGGGATCTTTGCTAGAATTATAGAATATTTGTGGCTGAAATGGCTTTAGAAAACATTTGTCCAAAGATTTCATTTTATAGATAAGGAAACTGAGACTCAGAGAGGCCAAGTTACATATCCAAGGTCACACAGCTGGATGGTCAAAGGCAGGACTGGAATCCATTTCTCCTGACTCTCAGGTTGAAATATTGCAGATTCATCAGAGGGAGCAAGACTTAAAACAATTTATGAAAAAGGTGCCACTTTGAAAAGATGTTCCCTTGCTCCTGGATACCTTCTAATCCTTCCTCCATTTCCTTATCAGTACTTTTGGTTGAGACCCATAGCCCAGACTTTTCTGTGCCCTTTACCTGCTGCCAACTTCTCTTTTTATCTTCCCCCAACTCTACTCCAATTCTTAAGTGTACTGCTGCTTCTTCCTAGTAGGAAAATATTTTACAAACCTGCTCAGAACTCAAAGGAGGTCACTGGGAAATGGACTGCTTAATGCAAAAGACTAATGGTAGAAATGTAGACAGCAATGGAAGAGGAGCTTTTATGTTTTAAATTAAGTAACACAGGTTGGAAGGCGGGAGAGCTCAGTTGGTAAAGTGATTCTCAGCCTTTAAATAATGGTTTAAATGATGGTTTAAATAAACCATCAAGGCAGCAATCAACTGCCTAACTCTTCAACCATCTGTGTATAAAGTGAAGCTTAAAATCTATAGTAAATATGAGAACTATTATTACAGGATTGCCCTTTAAACCTGTAAAACAGCTAACATTTTCAAAGTCCTTTATAGTTTATAAGGCACTCACGCATCTATTATCTTCTTTGGGCCTTAACCATGTTAGCTCAGTGAGGCAATCCATGTTGTTATTTAGAGGTAAAAACAGAGGTTCAGAATTATAGAGATGTATTCAGAGTAGAGTCAAATCTAGGTTTGATTCTATAAATCTCATGTTCTTTTCACTTCACTACTTTATCCCCCAGGAAGCCTGACAGCTGACCTTCACCGTTTTAGAAATTATGGAAATTGCACCAAAGCAGTTTAGAAGGTTATATTAATATCATTTTAAGACATCATTTCTTGGGTGCTGTGACAGATGAGGTCAGAATGTGAGGCACACACATACATACTGGATAGAACATGGCTGGTTTTAGGTGGTTCAAATATGATAGTACCAGTTGCTTAGTTTTATTTTTATGAAATGCTTCTCTCTTGCACAAACACACATTGAGATTTTATTGATGAGAGAACTGATACCTGTGGGAAAGTGGGCTTCCTAATTTTAAACCCCAGTAGGAGACTTGCCTACCCAATCACAAGATCTGAAGAGGACTCCTTCTGCTCCTGTTCTCCTTAGGGCCTGGAAGAGCAAACCCGAACAAACATTCCCTTCAGACAGCTCAGTCCCCCAACACCCAAAAAAAAGAGAAGGGAAGGGGCTGGATTACTCATGCTGTTACTCTTTCCTAACTCAGATAAGTCACTCTCCCCTTGGGTAAAGTAAATGAGGCAACAAAGAGGAGCCAAGATTATTATGGTAAAAGAGCTCCCTACACACAGGAGAGACATCGGGAGTGGGAAGGCATGTTCCACCTTATTCTAAATTAGTGAAGGTTATAAGACTTAATGTTAGGTGAAACACTTAGGGTCTGGTATAGAGTCAGTAGTTGATTAATGGAAGTCTTTTAGTTTGAAATCTAGAGGCTCATTTCCGGTTCCAGCTCCTCCATTAACTTTGTGGTGATTCAGGGCAAGAGACCACATCTGTCCTGTTCACTGCTGAATCCTCAGACTAATACTAGTGCCTTGCATAGTACTGGCAATAATAATAATAGTATTTTAAAAATAAATTAATTATCCTGTCTGAATTTGTTTCTTCATCTATAAAATGAGGAATTTGATCTTCATGACATCTAAATTTCTTCATGGCTGTAATGATATGATTTTATAATAGTTAGAGAAACTCAGAGAGTCTGATACACCTCTGCGATTTTTCTAGTTTTTTAAAAAAGACAAAAGGATTTACTGCCAACATTGACATTTAACTTTTGTATATTGAATTCCAATATTCAGAAAGGGCAATTCAAGTAGAAAAGCAACATATGTATACTTCTCCAATAATGTTAGAGTTAACTATTTTTTTTGCTATCCCCCGAATATGCTGGTCAATTTTAGTGATAGTGTTAGCATTTTCTTTCATTTCTTAAAACTTAAAAAAAAACCTTTCATTTTGGGGAGATAAAAAGCTAGTCTCTATGAGTAACGTGTCCATAGGTATGCTGCTCTATGGTCTTTTCACTTCAAAAGTTTAGGGTTTTTAGGGAAAATTTATATTCAATGTTGCCAAACATTCAGGTAATTACTTTAGAAAATAATCCTTTTCTTGCCCATTGATCCAAAAAGCAAATCCATTTTCCAATTGTTACCATATCAGAGATTAGAAAAGGGATTCAAATGGTAATGTATCAGAGCACAAAGCTAGTAATTTGCCTAGTCTAGTCCAGATCACTTTTTTTTTTTTTGACTCTTGACTTTATTATTCAATTTCTTTTTTTCATTTAAAGTAGTCTTCTGTGGTTGGGAAGCCTCGCCTCCCAAGACCAGAGTCAGTTGGAGCTGGTTGTTGTTGGAAGGGAGTGGGTTGGGGAACTGGGGTGGGGGCAGGGAGACCCCTGCTCTGCTGGCGGTCCTAGGTGGAGAAGAAGAACTGCGCTTCACAGAGTCCGGGGTGTGGTGGGAAGGGGATGAGGCAGGAGCAGCAAGCTGGGGAGATGGGACCCACCTGTCCCCAGCTTCATTTTCTTCTAATGTTTCCCCACTGGCGACATTCTCTGCAGTCTTGGAGGCCTTCTTTGTTTTCTTTTTCTGGGTTTTTCGACTTGTAGAACTCTGGAGGAGGGCCTTTAGCTCTGCATCCTGGACCTCCATCTCAGACTTGCAGAGGTCAGGCTCGAAGGGACCACTGGTTATCCGCATGGGGCCACTGGGCATGAGCAGAACTGTAAATTTAAACTGGGCAACAAATTCACCCTCCTTCTCATAGAGAACATTAAATGGTTGCAGCAGTTCATGTTTGGCGCACTCCACCACACCCATCTGAGCCTTCTTCTCATCTTCAAATGCTCTTAAAGTAAACGGCATGGCATCAAAACGCGTTTCCACCTCACTGAAGAAGGCACGTGAAGTTTTCATTTTCAGTCCATACTGTTTAGAAGGGTCTTGTTTGTAAATAGTGGTTCTCTGTCCTGCATCCTTGGGCTTGCCCTCTCCTGAGCTGACAAGAACATCCACAGCATACACTTTATGTATGTCAAATTCAGCTTTTTCATGGTCCTTCTTCTGCTGGTCTGTGGGATTCTGGATAATGGTTTTTTCTCCATCAATGACATGCTGCTTCAACTGGTGTGACAGCATACCTTCTACTGGCGTGCAGTTAAATGAGTGGGCAACTTTGTTCCAGGCTTGTGTCACTTGTGTGTTCTGATTTCCAGGTTTGACCAGGCGTAGGGCAGCTTCAGCACAAAGGTGAGCTGCCTTAATAACATCTGCCTTCCTCCCTGTTACTTGGTCCCCTGAGCTACATCAACCACAAAAGTATGAGCTACATTAGCGATGAAGCCATCCACATGGACCCCAAGTTCAATTTTTACCAAGTCACCTTCCTTGAGAATATAATCCTGGTTGCTCTTCAAAGGGGAGAAGTGACATACACAGTTATTTACTGAAATGCTGGTGGGAAAAGCAATACCTTTCTTCATTTCCTTTTCTTTCTTGAAGATTTTCCCTGTTTCTTCCATAATCACGGCATCACCTTTCTCACACAGGCTCAGTACCGACACACCTGAGCTAGATGCTTCCACCAAGGACCGAAGTACCCCTGTTGGCGATGTCACCCTCCATCTTATACTTGGTCACGACCAGGTCCTCAGCGATAGTTTGCTCCTGCTGCTCATCCTTGCCCGACATCTTCCTACTACCACCACTGCAATCTCGTTTCCCCTGAGCCGCCGCTGCCTCTGTCTCCCTTCCCAGTCACAGGCTGTGGTCAGAGTCCCCTCCATCCTCGAGGAGAGGGTGAGGGAAAGCGCGAGCAAGCAAGGGAGCGAGCGGGCAGGCAGGCGAGAACGAGAAGCTGCTCAGATCACTTTTTAAGATGCCTTTGTGTCTTATTATCTTTACAGTTGGGATCTATAAACATGGGCCCTATTATCCACCATGCAGCTAGAAAGTTAACATGCTTCAGAACAGGGCATGCACAAAAGAGTAGAAGTTAGAATTTTTTCATTAGGAAATATAAAATTTTTATTTATATTTGAACATATTTACCAACAAAGGCAAATATCATAAATCTAAAATGAACAGCCTCAAAAGGCACAATGAAAAATACTGCATTAGCAATACTGAACTCAGCAACTCTGAAAGCAAAGGTTCTTCAAGACTCAGATCTCCTTTATGCCCTGCTGTTTCAGTTTGAAGTCTAAAAGACTATCTACTTTGTGTCTGACTTACTTTCCTGTCAGACAGGAACTGGAATTTGAACTTTGCTCTCTAAAAGCCAAAGGCCAACTAATTTAGAAGGAGACTCTCACAATCAATGATGGTTTATTCTAGTTTCATTAGTTCTGTCTAAAGTGATTAAAGGATTTGATTCCCAGATAAACATGATCCTTATTGCTATTTTTACAAACCACATTAATTTCTATACTTAGTTCTGATCACTTGTGGCATTCCTGAGACAAGTCTGGATTCATGTAGCATTCCAACCCTGAGTGCCTTTTCAAGTTTCCAACAGAATCCTGTGCTGGTAAGTGATGATACCTTTATTGTAGTAGCCCCAACGTGTGGAAGTTGTTTCCTGTGACCTAGACTCAGCCCAACCCCTCCACTTGTTGAAACATCTGCAAATACTTTGTTCATTTCAGAGACATCTGACCACAGCTACGCTCCCATCTGGATTGCTTCCTTTTTCCTTATTGCTCATGCAAAGCATCAATAATCTGGAAAGGCATTCAGTAAGAGAAACAGGGAGGGCCTAGGGATTAGAATGGGAGGTTAGTTCTTATGGCTTTTCTCTCATGCTCATTCATTAA
Source organism: Homo sapiens (assembly GCF_000001405.40). NCBI lineage: Eukaryota > Metazoa > Chordata > Mammalia > Primates > Hominidae > Homo > Homo sapiens. The sequence goes on from NC_000003.12 coordinate 156,811,857, forward strand.
TTGATTCATTCAACCATCATCACTTATTGGGTAGTATGAGCAATGCAAATATCAATAAGCAGCAGTATCTGTCCTCAAACAGGGAACAATATATTGCATGCTACATTTATTGTTTCAGGTGGGGAATTATATTAATTTAGAGTAATAAACTATATTTACCAAGTATCTTCTATGAGTAAAGTTCCACAAATGCTTTAATTCTCTTATTTTTGGTAGATACAGTATTTATGGAATATTTTACTTAACATCTTTAATCTGTCTCCCCACCTTGAAACCACATAAAAGTAAAAGCAACACTCTCAAAAGCCTTTTGTAAATAATCATTAATTTAAAAATCTCATAGGAATCTTTACTTAAGTGAAATGACAAACTGCATAGTGCAGAGTAATAAGATTCCTTCATATGTTTCATTTTCTTTAGGCCTTTATGTTAAGCTACAAAATGAACTGTTTAACTATTGCTAGGAATAAACTATATTTTAAAAGGTGTTAATCCAGTTGGATCATTTTTATGCCCTTATAAGATATTAACTGCAAGTTTGTTTTATCATTTATATTATGCACACATTTGTACATTTTTAAAAGTTACATTTAAAAGGTTACATTTATGATAATCACATCATACAAAGATCTAATTAACCTGGAGTTGTTGAGCAATAATTGTACCTTCAAAGTGCCAGGAGATTTAAGGTGTATGCAGGGTGTGGCCCATCCACCCAGAATTTCAAAACCACATGGTTCTTCAGGTCCTGTTGGGGCTCATCTATTTGCACGTCTCCCCTGCAGGAGTTTGGACTAATCAGGTCACTACACCCTGACACAGCAGTCTCCAGTCTCTACCACTCATTGTTTGCAACATGACGTAATGTCAACAGACCACAGAGAAGTTAGCAACAGGGAAGGGAAAACACTTTAATCTCAAGGTCATCCCCAGGGTTCAGCAGGACATATATCCTATATCGAATCATCTGATATCAAATCCTACAAATGAGCTCGGCCAAAAGGTTGAGCCACGCTGTCTGACTGTATCATGTTCTCCAGTTGCAATGCAAGACTGAGGCAATCAGTTGTGAGCTGACAATTCTTCCTGTTTGCTAAAATTGAAAAGACAGGTTGTTGTCTATCATTGCTTTGCTTTCTTTTTGCTGCAAAACATTTCACACAGTATCATTATGCCTTAGCTAGTCTTCATTTATCTAGATATTAGACATCTTGGAAGCTGATAGGGCTTGGTTCACTTCTTCAGCCTTGGCTTCTCCTCATCCCCCAATGTTCCCTGTCTTGCAACTCATAGCAGAGCAATGCTATTAAATACAACAAGAAAATACATGCCAAAGGGCAGGTAGGGGTTAGATGCCTGAGAACTCTGAAGAAAAAGAGAGCTACTGTGGCCCCATGGTGCTTTTATTCAAGATGCCCCTATCTCGGGAGGATGCAAAACACCTGTGTTGGCAGATGAAGCTAGGTCTGGAGTTTTATGCCTACCTACCTCCTCCACCAGGCACCACCATGCAGTCAGCAAACTGCACGAGTGCCTATGACTCTGGTAAAACTTATACACATAGACTTAATATGATGGCAGAGAGAATTAAGAAACATGAGGCCAACTTTAGTGGGGAGAATGATGGGAAGCAAAGTATTGTATGCTTTTGTCTTATGATTTTCTTAACAGGAGACTTTGATGAAGGACTGGTATCTGCCTTCTGATTCCAGTTAAAACTGCCTACCACTGTTCTGCCTTCAACTCCCTTTCCAGAAAGCCCCTCTGTCATTACTTTTCCAAACCCTCTTAAGGACCCTCTACCAAGAGCTTAGAACAGGAAAGGGTTTACGCAAAGATGTGCACAGTGCATTACTATTCCTAAAGTAATGTGCATTAAATAGAGACCAAAAACATTTAAACATTAAGTAATCAGTTTTGTCTGTTATCTGTTCTATCTCCAATGCCTAGACCAATGTCCGATACACAGTGGAGCTCTTAATATATTGATTATATCGCTAGACTTTCATTCACTCGGGAATAGACAATTATACCAAGAAGGTCCCTTATCTTCAAGATTCCACGCATCAAGTTTAGAAAAGTCACCAAAAGTTTGTTTTCTCCTACGCACTTCATACACCAGAGGTCTCCGCACTCAGAAAATACCATCACCACAAATACTACTGTAATAGTATTTAAGTATATAATAGTATATTAATACTATTATTATAGTATTATACATATTACTAAACACTATTATATCATTATTAATTAAATATGCATATTATTAGTTAAGTATAGTAGTACTGATTAAACTTCCATTGCACATCATGAAATATTGGTCCAATGACAAATATTCTATAAGCCAAATATTTTATATAAAGGTGTGCAGCCTCCTACACTGTATTTCAGTACTTGATGGACTACATACAAATGAAAAAAATTGGTGGCACTACTGTATTTAAAATCTATACTTTTGTAATTTTACATGTGGGTTGTCCTAACAGTGGTGTATTATTTTATAATAGTTGAACATATCATCCTCCTCCAAGGATCTCGAAGCACCTGCAGTAAGTAAGGAATAGCTCCCTTCATACCTCTGCCAAGGTAGGTATGTTGTAAGCATTATTTCTACCATACCAAGATCACACATGAGTCAGTGGCAGGGCTGGCACTACTCCCTCATGACACTTCAGTTCACAGGTCTAACCATTAGAGTACTGCCTATACATTAATTCATTCCTTTCTTCATTCATAATATTAATTTGATGCAGTTTGCTAGGCACTAAGGATCAACTCCTTATTTCCTACTGAACTCACATTATATGAACATTACGATTTGTAAAATAAATAAATAAAGTAAAATAAAATAATTCTGGTCTGGGCATGGTGGCTCATGCCTGTAATCCCAGCACTTTGGGAGTCCCAGGTGGGAGGATCGCTTGAGCCCAGGAGTTTGAGACCAGCCCAGGCAACATAGGGAGCCCTTATCTCTACAAAAAATAAAAAATTAGCGCGGCGTGGTGGCGCACCTCTGGTCCCACCTACTGGAAAGGCTGAGGTGGGAGGATCGCCTGAGCCTGGGAGATAGAGGCCGCCATGAGCCCTGACCACCCCACAGCACTCCAGCCTGATCAACCAAACAGACTTGTCTCAAGAGAAAAAAAAAATCTGATAAAAATTTTAAATTCACAACAGAGATTTTTCTGTACCTGGTGATTAATCCTAATTGTTTTATAGTAACTAACATACCTATCAGTGAGCCAAATGTATACTAAGGAAATGACTGAAATACAGAATTTTAAAGATATATGCTCTTACGGCCAGGCGCAGTGGCTCACGCCTGTAATCCCAGCACTTTGGGAGGCGGAGGCGGGCGGATCACGAGGTCAGGAGATCGAGACCATCCTGGCCATCGAGAAACCCCGTCTCTAGTAAAAATACAAAAAAAAAAAAAAAAAAAAGCCGGGCGTGGCGGCGTGCGCCTGTAGTTCCAGCTGCTGGGGAGACTGAGGCAGGAGAATGGCATGAACCCTGGAGGCGGAGCTTGCAGTGAGCCGAGATCGCACCACTGCACTCCAGGCTGGGTGACAGAGCAAGACTCCGTCTCAAAAAAAAAAAAAAAAGATATACGCTGTTACGTTATAGATGTTATTCATGTGTCTGTCTCTAACATGAGGCTTTTTGATGCTTGCCCACACAGCTAATACTTGCGTTTTCTGTGTCTAATTAGAAGTTTCCGCTGGGTATTATTGTTGAGTTGGTATAAGATGTTCAAGACCATGAAAAGATGAATGTAACAGCTTCCTCATGGACTGATTTTTTTTTCAGTTCATCTGTCCTTTTAAGTAATCTGGCTGTTTGTACCCTGACTTTAACTGAATTCACAATTATTCCTCTTGCCAAACCATGCTTCCAGACTTGACTGTATAAATTAAATTTCATGCACGCATATGTGAGCCGTGTGTACTGCCTGTTAAACTAAGTAATATAAACAAATTGAAGGCACATTTGAATGACCTTTGAATTCCGTGTTAGAGTAGTTTTTAAACAGTTATCTACTGGGCAAAGTGTAAGAGACAACCATTTACAGAGGTTATTTTCAGTGTGCTTCTTGAAAACCCATTTGCTCATAGAATTCAGCCTCCTAATCATGCAAGTTGCATTTTGTATGGTTTTCTTCTCTGGCTCCCCACCCTCTTAGAATAGTTCTGACGCCCCCACCGGCGACCACCTGGAAGGGGCTGATCCACCCCCACCTCCCTCTGCGAAGCGCGGAGCGGCTGCGGCCACCCGGCCAGAGCCAGCGCTGAGCTGCGCTGCGCTGCGTGACTGGCTGCATTTCTCAGCCCCGACGGCTGTGGTTACTCAAACTGATCTCATCGCAGGTCGTCACGACACGCGCTTCCCCTCGCCTGCACGCGGCGTGGCGTGAGAGGGGCCCTGGCAGCCGGCGCGCCCACCCCTGATCCTTCGAGGCCCACGATGAAGCCCATCCTACTTGCAATAACGGCCCCGTTCTCATTCTTCAAAAGACGGCTCCCAGACGTCAACAAAGAATCTAACCTACACAGCGCCGGCCCTCGCTCCTTTCAGCCTCAGCGAGCGCTGCCCTTCATTACCCCCCAGCGCACTTCTGGACACTGCGCCGGGTCGCCGGGGTCAGCCGCCCGGCCACGAAAGTCGCCCCCAGCGTGCCCCAGGCGTCAGTGCACGCCGGGCTCCCGGCTCCAGGCAGGCGGGGTGAGGCAGCTCCGCGAAGGCCACTCGCTGGCGACCCCTTCCCGGGTCTCCTAGCCCTGGCCGGGCTGCCCCCGCGCCCGCCCCCGCCCTCGAAATCCAGGCAGTGCGGGAGGCCGCCTTGCTGCTCTCTCCGCCCGCACAGGGCCGCCCGACGGAGCGGGCAGGGAGCAGGCGCCAAGGAGGCCGAGAGGGGCCCAGGGGCGAGGTCGACTCTCAGCCCGCTGTCCCCTTATCCCACGTTTCGCAGCCTGAGGTGTTTGTTGTATATCGGGAACTGACACTTTTCGGCGTTAAAATGAGGGCGTCACCTGCTCGAACTAAAGTCGGTGGAGGGCGTCTGGAGCCGGGCGGAATCTGGGATGCCTCGCCGGATTACGCGGCGGGGTCGGCACGCGAGGCAGGCTCCGGGCGCACCAGGAAGCCCGAGCGTGCACTAAAGCGGCGGAAGCAGGCAGCGGGGGCGGGGCCGGCGGGCTGCAGGCACGCAGGCGGCGCGGCGGCCTGGGGTTGCGTGACCTGCCGGGCTGCGGTCGCACGCACTTCGTGCTTCAGGCGGCCGTCGCCGGGCGGGAGGTGCAGGTGCTGGAGGGCGGCGCCCGGCTTCTACTTTCAAAACACCGCCGGGGAGGGCAGTCACGCTATATTTCTGGGACAGGGAGTGAGTTCACCGGGGGAGGACACAGCGTCCCCTTGTTATCACAACGTGGGTAACATTCGGTAATAAAACGCGCTCGGACAGGATGTATTAAACGAATTGGGAACCGGAGCTGCTCTTTCCATAAGCAATCAAGCTGGGGAAACTTTACAAGGAAAGCTTTAAATTGCGATGCATGGCGCAGGAGTGTGGTTCGTGTGACATGCTTACAGAGAAAGGAACCAGAGCAAGGACGGTGGCTTTGGGACGAAATTTCTGTCCGCTCTGCACAAAGACTAATTACAGAGTCGTGATTTGGGGCATGCTCTCATTCCTCCCGGAAGCTTTCTTTGCAGTGTTTTATTTTAAAATCAGAGGTGGTTGATCTCCCTGGCATACGAACATGAGAGACCTCATTTATATGGTGACTCAAAAGCCCCAAGGACATAAAAAAGGTGCCACGTTTTAAGACACCAGAATCTAAGTTCCTTCTCAAGATCATGTGAGCAAAAAGTGTTTTGCCCGCACAGATATCTATTTACATAATTAAAATGTTTGTAGATTTGCAGATAAATCAAGTTTAGAGGACAAAACAAAAAATGTTACCACGATAGTTTTTAACACAAGAGCACCCCAGTCAACTGAAAGCTTGGGAAATTCCACATTAGTTTATTTTCTATGTACTTAAACTTTGATTTGGTGAATCTATGCTCTCTTATTTCCCTATTATGACTCTTAGGCCTATAGTGCCTAGTTACACACACATTTGTTTTTGTGATACATGTAACATTATAGGAAAGGGGGGATTCTCTAGGGTTAGAATAGACACAATAAACTCCTAGGAAGCTTTCTCAAAAATACATATTCTCATCTCAGCTTACCATATGTGGGAAAAGGCAGCAAGATTCACTGTTTAATTTTAAAATGTTCTACCAGCTGACTGATTCTCACGTGGGATTTTTTTTTTTTTTCCTGGTCTGCCCAGCACGCTTAATTTCTTCTGGGACAGAACTGCCTACCCTTCCTGCCTGGATTGTGCTTCTGCCTTTACTCTTCTAGAATGTAGTTAGAAAGGGAGGTGTCATTGTGTGTGGCCTTGCCTACTTGGTCCCCACACTTGGTCGAGAGGCATATACCTGACTCAAGGTAAGCCAATGACAAACAGCACTTGACTCCTCCTGGCCTTAGTAATTTGGTTAAAGAGATTGCATATCATCCAAGTTGTGCCAAAGAAAGTCATTTCCTGGCAATTTTCTAACAGGAGGGTGGGCATAGATGCCTTCTCCCCAGTTCCTTTTGGTGACAAAATTGGACCGTCAGCCACCACTGCTCTGCCATGTGCAGAGACTGCCAACAATAAAAGAAAATGGAACCAACTTTCATTAAGTGGTAGATTCTAAGGGCTGAGCCTTTTTATGGCTTTTGCAAATTCCACATTGCATATCTGAGGTTCTCAAAGCAATACTGGCTCCTGCTTTCCTGAAACTTGATTGTTTACCTCTTCTGATTCTATGAGAAGAGATATGTATTTATAGAAATAATAAAATATACATTTAGAATGCTGTTTAGAATATTACGGTTTTTTTTTTTTGTAGTTATAACACAATTTTTAACTTGCTTTTTGTCACAGAACAATCTATTGGGACATTCAACCACATCAGCAAAGAACCACATCATCATTTCTAACAGCTGCACACTGTTGTTCGAGTAAATCAATGTATTTCACATTTTAGTATTTCCTGTTTTAAAACATTATAAGACTGTGGTGAACACTGAATATATGTGCTAATAAGAAAGAATTTTCCTAAAGCTTCCAGCAAACGTCTCTTGGAACTTCTAGTCATAATTGGATCATAGACGCATTCCTGATTTAATCACTGGTAAAGGGGAAGGTGCTAACAGAATTGATCTAATCTGAACTCACTTCTGGACTTGGGCTGATTCATGCATGCTTGGGGGTAGGACAGGGGGAGGGCAGTACAGAGGTCTGAATTCCTGAACAAAAGGAAGAAGGAGGATCATGTGTCAACTGTAATAGTTTTGAACATTTTAAGGGGTTTAAAACATAATAAATGTTCTAATTTTTCACCCCAACAGCAGTGTTTAAGATTGCTAATTGCTCTACATCATTGCAAACCAGGGCTACTATACTTATTTTAATATTTTTCATGTGGTTGATAGATCTCATAAAATGCTTGATATTTGATATCAGTAGTCCCTAAGAAAATATCTTTAAGATGATTTGGAACTCATTTAATGGCATTAAAAACACTATCAATGGAGGTAGAACAAAATGACAGAAAAATTTTTATACTTTGTTTCCTGTAAATTCAGTAGCTACTTAAAATAATAGGTATAGAAACATTAACTTCATCTTTACAAAGGGAGAATGAAATCACTTTTACCAATCGCTTATCAAAACAAATGTGAGTTGGAATCTTAGATTCTTCATTAGAATCCTATGAAAATCTCAGAAATGAAGCAATAATTTCACTAAACAAGCAAATAATAAACTACAAAAGTTGTTTTTAAGTGCATAAGGCAGTTACCAATTTTCAGTCTTTGAACTTATTAGCATTTATTAAGTGCTTATTATGGGCCATTTATTGGATGCTGAGTTTAATAAAAGGAACTTGGTTAATTTACATTACAGAATAAGAGCTATCAGTACCACATTTTTAGCATCAAATTCATTACAAGAGTGTTAAGTTAATGCCATTAGAGCTTTATTCTTTTTTTTTTTTTTTAATTGAGACAGAGTCTCACTCTGTTGCCCAGGCTGGAGTACAGTGGTGCAAACTCGGCTCACTGCCAATCTCCGCCTCCAGGTTCAAGTGATTCTCCTGCCTCAGCCTCCGGAGTAGCTGGGATTACAGGCACGAGCCACTGTGCCTGGCCTATTCTTTTTGTTTTTAAAAATATATTCATGTAATAAATACTAAGTTGTATTTGGCACATAGTACAGTTTCGGATAAAAAGCTCTTATCAGTGGTGAACTTGCCACAGGAAATACATTTATAATAATCAAAGGTTTCGCTGTAGTGGTTGACTAACTGTTAATATTTGAGGATATTTATCATTTAAAGGCCTGACTTGTCTCACTGGAAATTTTGTTCAATAATCATATTCTCAGGGCTAAAAAGAATTCAGCACACAATTTATTCCTGCACAGATGACAAAGCATTTGAACTAAAGAGAAATGCTATTTAAACATTGTGACATTTATTTTATTAGGTACTCAAGTTTACACTGTACATATAATGGATTTAAAAAGATACAGAGCTTAAACCCACAAATAGTATTTTGTGGTCTAAACCACCTCCAGACTAGAGTTATTTGTGGTTCAAAATATGCAAAGCAGCTATTTAAAGCAGTTTAAAACTTTAAATGTTAATAATGTTAATAGCAGTTTTAACAAACATGAAATGTTATTAAGAAAGAAAATCCAATCCACATCTTGGTGGGAACAAAATGTGTTGGGGTAAGTAAAACAAAGCAAGTGGTCCCTTGTAGCTGACCATTTTTGAAAACTGGAAGTGACTTCAGAAAAGTCATGAAGACAGTAAGTGTGAGACAAAGTTAGGTTTACAGAATTAAATACTTTTTGGATATTTACATGTTACTAATCCACTATAGGCTGATGTCCCCTGGGTACTGGCTGGCTGGCAAAGTCAACTAACACTGTATGTGAGGCCCAAGTGCTTCCTCTTATATTTGGTCCAAGTACACTTCTGTACTCACATTAGGCCATGCCCTCAGCCATTTCCATTATTTGTGTGAAAATAGACCATAAGCAGGATCTGACTTATGTTTGGAAGGGTTCTCAGTTGGATGAGACATTGTGTATGAAGTGCCTGGCAAATAGAAAGAGCCCAATAAGTACTAGCTTTTCAAAAATGTTAGGTTTTTTTCTTTTGTGCACTTGTGTTGGATGGAACCCAGAAATATTAGTGAAAGCTGTGGTTGCTTCCAACCTGGGAGGCCTGTTTGCAAGTATTTAATTTCCATTTTTGAGGGGATAGAGTTGTACTGGGTTCTGGTTTGCAGGATGAAAATAAAGTTGGGGCTAACTGTAATTTTGCCATGCTCCCTTTGTACAGTTTTAAGCTCACTTTAAAATTAGCAATCTTGGGCCTAGTGCGGTGGCTTACACCTGTAATCCCAGCACTTTGGGAGGCCGAGCCGGTTGGATCACCTGAAGTGAGTAGTTTGAGACCAGCCTGGGCAACATGGTGAAACCCCGTCTCTACTAAAAATACAAAAATTAGCCGGGCATGGTGGCAGGCACCTGTAGTCCAAGCTACTGGGGAGGCTGAGGCAGGAGAATCCCTTGAACCTGGGAGGTGGAGGTTGCAGCGAGCCGAGATCATGCCATTGCACTCCAGCCTGGGTGACAGAGCAAGACTCTGTCTCAAAAAAAAAAAAAAAAAGCAATCTTGTGTGCCCGGAATTGGTGGGTTCTTGATCTCATTGACTTCAAGAATGAAACTGTGGACCCTTGCGGTGAGTGTTACAGTTCTTAAAGGCGGTGTGTCCAGAGTTTGTTCCTTCTGATGTTCAGATGTGTTCGGAGTTTCTTCCTTCTGGTGGGTTCGTGGTCTCGCTGGCTCAGGAGTGAAGCTGCAGACCTTCGCGGGGAGTGTTACAGCTCTTAAGGCAGCACCTCTGGAGTTGTTTGTTCCTCCCGGTGGGCTCGTGGTCTCGCTGGCTTCAGGAGTGAAGCTGCAGACCTTCGCTGGGAGTGTTACAGCTCATAAAGGCAGTGTGGACCCAAAGAGTGAGCAGTAGCAAGATTTATTGCAGAGAGCGAAAGAACAGAGCTTCCACAGTGTGGAAGGGGACCCGAGCTGGTTGCCACTGCTGGCTGGGGCAGCCTGCTTTTATTCTCTTATCTGGCCCCACCCATATCCTGCTGATTGGTAGAGCCGAGTGGTCTGTTTTGACAGGGTGCTGATTGGTGTGTTTACAATCCCTGAGCTAGACACAAAGGTTCTCCACCTCCCCACCAGATTAGCTAGATACAGAGTGTCACACAAAGGTTCTCCAAGGCCCCACCAGAGTAGCTAGGTACAGAATGTCCATTGGTGCATTCACAAACCCTGAACTAGACACAGGGTGCTGATTGGTGTGTTTACAAACCTTGAGCTAGATACAGAGTGCTGATTGGTGTATTTACAATCCCTTAGCTAGACATAAAGGTTCTCCAAGGCCCCACCAGAGTAGCTAGTTACAGAGTGTCAATTGGTGCATTCACAAACCCTGAGCTAGACACAGGGTGCTGATTGGTGTATTTACAAACCTTGAGCTAGATACAGAGTGCCAATTGGTGTATTTACAATCCCTGAGCTAGACATAAAGGTTCTCCAAGTTCCCACTAGACTCAGGAGCCCAGCTGGTTTCACCCAGTGGGTCTCGCACTGGGGCTGCACAGGAGCTGCCTGCCAATCCCACGCTGTGAGCCCACACTCCTCAGCCCTTGGGTGGTCGATGGGACTGGGTGCCATGGAGCAGGGAGCGACACTTGTTGGGGAGCCTCCGGCGGCACAGGAGCCCACGGAGGGGGTGGGAGGCTCAGGCATGGCGGGCTTGCAGGTCCCGAGCGCTGCTCCACGGGAAGGCAGCTAAGGCCCAGCGAGAAATCGAGTGCAGCGCCAGTGGGCTGGCACTGCGGGGGGACCCAGTACAACCTCCACAGCCACTGGCCTGGGTGCTAAGCCCCTCATTGCCCGTGGCTGGCAGGGCCGGCTGGCTGCTCCGAGTGCGGGGCCTGCCAAGCCCACGCCCACCCGGAACTCCAGCTGGCCCGCAAGCACGGCGCGCAGCCCCAGTTCCCGCTCGCCCCTCTCCCTCCACACCTCCCTGCAAGCTGAGGGAGCCAGCTCTGGCCTTGGCCAGCCCAGAAAGGGGCTCCCACAGTGCAGCAGTGGGCTGAAGGGTTCCTCAAGTGCCACTAAAGTGGGAGCCCAGGCAGAGGAGGCGCCAAGAGCGAGCAAGGGCTCTGAGGACTGCCAGCACGCTGTCGCCTCTCGCTTGGATAGAGTTCCTACATTTTTATCAGAATTGCAGGCAACATACCTCTTCTACATGCTTTTCATGGTGGGGGAGGAGGAAACAAAGGAGGGAGCATAAAACTACTTTTTGAAGTGAAGAACGACATTTCCCTGCTGGATACATATTTTATGTAAATTCACAACAGTAACAAAAGCACAGACACTGTGTCCTCATAAACCAACACAAAGTTCTGCAGACCATGTGGAAAGCCCTAGGTTAGTCGCTTTAGAGCGTCTCTATTCCAAAAACTGAGAGCATTTCCTTCCCCAGGGATCACTGACAATACGGGGTTGGGAGCGGGGAATAAAGGGTCATAAAAAGAAGTTAACAGCAGCTTAATTTGGCTATTACTGGATAATTTTTAAAAGTCGAAGTAAAAAGTGAAAATTAGCTCAATTAAAAACTAATGGGGTAACCCAAAACTTTATTTAATATGCCCAATGATGGGATTATTTTAAATTGTACTTCAATTCTAGTATGGACAGTAATGGGGTGGGAAGACAGAGGGAGGGCAAGTGAGAAACCTGAAAAGGGAGAGACCAAGACAAAACACCAACATAGGGCACAGGATTCGTGGCTTTTTTTTTTTTCTTAAACCTATTTTGTAACATCTTGTCACAACACTTCCTTTGCACTATCTTCTTTCAGGAATAACACTTTTTGCTGCTACGCTTTAAAAAATGTCATTCATCACAACTTAACTCTTATCCTTTGAAATTCTTACTGGGGTCTACTGCTTTCCAACTTTCTTTTTCTTTGTTTTCTTTTTTTAAGAGACAGGGTCGGGCTCTGTCACCTAGACTGGAGTGCAGTGGCCAGATCATAGACTGCAGCCTCAAATTCCTGGGCTCAAGTGATCCTCTCACCTAGGCCTTTCTGAGTAAAGACTACAGGTGTGTGTCACCACACCATGCTAATTTTTTTTTTTTTTATAGTGACAGAGTCTCACTATATTGCCCAGGCCAGTCTCAAACTCCTGGCTTCAAGAGATCCTCCTGCCTCAGCCTGCCAAAGCTCTGGGATTATAGGCATGAACCACCACGCCCAGCCCAACTTTCTATGATAATGAAAATGTTCAGTATCTATGGTGTATCATACATTACCTACATGACTACTGAGTACTTAAAATATGGCTAATGCAATATAGCAATGGAATTTTTAAACATACTTCATTTTAGTGAAATTAGTTACATGAGGCCACCTTACTGGACAGTGCAGGTCTAAGGGAAATTTACAGTGGAAAGGAAATTGGTCTCAAAGGCAATATGCAGACAAATAAACACAGATGAAATTAAACCAAGGAGTGAACTGCAGCCTTTGAGCTGGATTTTCTCCCATCCTTAAAGTGTTGCCTTTCCTTATCCTATAAACAAAGTACTCAATAAAGAAAACTAGCCTCAGAACAGAGTGATCTTGCATTAGGTGTGCAAATTCCTGTCCCAGATAGGTACCAGTTTTGGTGCCCTGTATCTAAACTTCCATTATCACAAAATGAGAGCAGTCCTACCCTCACTATCTCTCAGATAAATATGACGAGGATGAATAGCTCTGAAAGTTATTTGGGCTTCTCATAAGCATGTTATAGTTGACCACTTGGTTGACTGTCCTCTAGGCCTCTTAATCCTTTCTTCTTTGAGGGAGTGGAAACAGAAAATCAAGGGTAGGCATTGGGGCAAAAATATCAGTCAGGTTAAATGTACAAGATACATCTACTAGACTTTTTTTTTTTTTTTTTTTTTTGAGACTGAGTCTTGGTCTGTCGCCCAGGCTGGAGTGCAGTGGCATTATCTCGGCTCAGGGTAAGCTCTGCCTCCCAGGTTCACGCCATTCTCCTGCCTCAGCCTCCCGAGTAGCCCAAGTAGCTGGGACTACAGGCGCCCGCCACCACGCCCGGCTACTTTTTTGTATTTTTAGTAGAGACGGGGTTTCACCGTGTTAGCCAGGATGATCTCGATCTCCTGACCTTGTGATCTGCCCGCCTTGGCCTCCCAAAGTGCTGGAATTACAGGCCCGAGCCACCGCGCCCAGCCACATCTACTAGACTTTTTAGTGCCAAGGAACAAGGCACTAGTGTTCAGTACTTCCTGGTGTCATTAATTAGTAGTTATCAATAAGCAGTTTGGTGTACCGATACTGCTCTGCGTCATTTAATCACTTCTCTAAATCTATAGGTTCAATTAATTTTCTTTGTATTTACTTAATCTTATTTTATTCAATAGCAAACCAGTCTCTTTGCCTGCTACAGAGCCATCGATGTTTTCTTTGGTTCTTGGAAGAACTGTACTTCGACCTTATATAATCCTCAGAAAGGCAAGATCTGGACTACGAATGAGTCACCTGCTAATTACACCAATGGCTGCTCCTGCCTTGACCAGTCACAGAGTATCACCCTATCTCGGTATGCTGCTCTGCTTGTCGCGTAGTAGGTCTATAAATACTTGTTTTATGAATGAATGTATGAACAAAGGGAAGTTAGTCACGTGTAAGGGTGGGTAGCCTGCGATAAATAAAGTGTAGACTAGGAGGTCTCAAAATACTTTTTGAACTAAGCCCTTAATCTTCACTACTTTGGACTAGAATGGAAATGTCACCAACGCCTTCCCAATTAATTTGTCCTGGCTGTAATGACTGAAACCAGAACTTCCCTTTACACCCATGACCTCTACAGGCATCTCTTTTTCCTCTGCTCAAGAACAGTAACTGCTCACTGCTGTGTCTACCACATAGGCCCCAGAGCAAGGGGTGATAGGTAGGGCTATAGGCTCCCGACTCCCGACTCCCGGCAGTGCCTCTCTCCAACCCCCCACGAGGCTGGGACAGCTCCCTCCATCTCAGCAGTCGCTACCAAGCACCCGACCCACTCTCGCCCACCTCATCCCTCGATCCCCTTCCCTCCCTCTCACAGCATTCCGCGTAAGACTAGCCCAGCCTTCCGAGCCCCACCACCAGTTTTCCCACTTCCGCCCGGCGCGTGAGACCCTGGGCGGTGCAGGGGAGCGTTGACGACAGACGTGGGCCGTGACGTCGCCGCGCCCTGACGTCCAGCCGACTGGCGGCGCGGTCGCCCGGGAGACCGGGAAAGCCGTTTCACACCCGTCCTAGTCGAAGTCGAGGTGAGGGACGATGGCTTTCCTCAGCCTGGGATGACCCGGTCCTCCAAATGCAGTTCCGGAGTGGAGGCGTGCTCGCACCCGGGGAGAGAGCCAGAAAGCTGAGCCGCGGCGCCCCAGCGAGAGCACGAGGCCCCGGGTCTGGACTCCGCCACCACGCTCCTCTGCGGCCCCTTCCTGGTGTCTGCCAGCCCGCGGGGCCCAGGCGCGGTCCGCCTTCCTCCCAGCCCCGGGGAACGCGCGGCTCTGCTTCCTCACCCCCGCACCCTCCTCCTCCTCCTCTTCCGGCCACTGCAGGTCCAGGGGGAACGGGGTTAGAAAGGGACAGATTTGAAAGCCATTCCAGCAGTTTTGTCTGGCCTTGCGGTTGGTTTCTGTGTGGAAGAGCCTGCCGCTTCAGGAAAGTCTTAGGATGTGAACTCCCGCCTTCACCTGCCCCTGACCTGCTCGTTGTGGGTGATTCACGCCATGGGAATGGTTCTTTACGTAAGGGCTTGAAAGCTGAACGTGAGTTAATGGCCTGACGTGACACTAGTGTGAGAAACGGAATTGGAAACGAACAAGGACGTGTCTGCATTTTAAAAAATGTCTTTTCGGTGATCTTGTTAGAGAGGAGGTTCACAAACACCCACGTAGCTGCAGCCACTTATCACTGCACCTCTTGCCAAAGTGCGGTCCACATACGTGCAATGAGAAAGGATTAAAGGGACTTGTTTGATAACACACGCAAAACTATGTAAGACTAAATTTAAAAAATTACAGATTTTCCCTGTTGCCAAAAGGGAAAGACCCTTCTTTTTTCTTGAGAAACTTAGTATTTGTGAATGCTTCCTCTATTTAATATGTATGCAAATGTTTTTAAAGACCTAGGAATGCTTTTCTTGAGGACCTGGAAGCCATTTCTTTAAAATGTAAACATCAAGGAAGATAGGGCCCCAGTCTCCTTGTCACTTTGGGAGTTTAACCTAGGTGCGTTATTCCTAATTGTAAACACCTGTTTCGTTATGGAGCTGTGCATTACTTAGGAGGAAAGCCGTTAGCTAACACAGGTGGTTACCCCAATTACCAGATGAATTAAAGAGGAAATATAAAAGAATGTATAGAACACTATGTTAAGCCCTCTTACATGAGGACACGTTACCAGTTTCCTTGAGAATGTGTAATGGATTGTGTCTCCTTGGCTGTATAAAAGAGGGATTTCCTTCTCTCTTTGTAACCTCATTAGCAGATTAGCCGTGATGTGCATCAAAGTCTAGTTGAATGCCTAATAAAATTGTTGTCTTTCTGCATTGTGGAGCATTTTCTGGGTTGGCAGGACTTTTAATTTTTAGTTTCCCCCCGATAATCAGAACCTGCCAATTCCTCCCCTTCTTATGCTAAGGCCATAAAGTTGGAATAGATTCACAGACAATGAAGGCACTACACAAAAACTGTTCTACTGGTGCTTTGTTTATACTGTCATTTAGATCCGTGCTCTCAGATAACTTTATGGGTGAAATTTTAAAAGGATGTTTAGATGGTAATTTTTTGGAAAATTCTCCCAATAGAGTTGAAGTTACTATTTCATTTTACTGATGGCAAATCCACCATTAAATGACAGAAATGAGAATAATGAGCCTTCTGGGCTCTTGCCACATGATTATGACAATCTGCCAAACATCAGATTATGTTTGGGCTTATGTTGACATGGTTAATGGTACCTCCATTGCAGACCTCAGTTAACTTTACCACACATGTCATATTATGTTTTATGTGGGAAGACATAAAGCTCATTAGTTTTTGGTTTTAAACAGCAACTCACTGAAATGAGTCTTTGTGCTAACACAGGGAACAAGGAATCTTCTCTTCCACTAGTGGTTGCACCATTTACAAAGATAATGCCACTATAGGACTTTTTGACAACTACGGTTTCCCTGCTACCTTGCTGTATGGCCGGGGTTGCTCTCTCTGATAGAGTACTTTGCTTCTCCAGTCTCTTGTCAAAATCCTGCCCTGATTGAATACAAGCAACCTCAGGAAGCCTTCACTAACTCCCACCTCTCATCTGAAACATAAGATCTTTTCCTTTCTTGAACTCTTAGACTGCTCTTGTCTATGCCTTCTTCCCTGCTATGGAATTGTGCCTGTATCATCTGACTCTGCTGCCACTGCCCTCGCCCTTCTCCTGACTTCTTAGATATGTATAAACAGCCCTTACTCGTGAGGGAAGGATTTAAAAAAAAAAACAAAAAACCCAAAGTGCTCCTCCATTTATCCTCTGGTTTTATGAAAGTAGTGACTGACCTTTATATTGAATGGCTTTTATTAGAAAAAGAAAATCTGTTAAAAGTAAAATATCTGCATAAAATTATATAAATGTCCATCTTAGATAAAATTGGCACTTGGCTTCTTATTTTTTGATCACTCTTCTGTTCAGTGTTTGCATATCATATTTAATATGGTATCTCTAAATGCTCTTTTTCTGTATTTCATCATTTAATCCAGCATTCATGCCACAATTGCTTTTTTCATCTGCTAAAATACTATATTTTCATACTTTTTCTAGCAGCATTTCAGAAAAATATTTGATTTTTAAAATACACTGAAATGTGTATTTAAAATTTTAGTCATTATGTATTTGAAAAACAATTAGTAGTAAATCACAACAGAAATTATTAGACTATAAAGTTCTAACAAAAGAGAAAATATTCTTTCTAACTTAGCAGTCTCTATAGTTCTCTCCTGTTCTATTGGCCCAATAACTAACGGAGAAAACCCTAACTGTACCTTCTAACATTGAGCTGATGAAATAAGCATCTGTTGAAACAGTTATCACCATTCATCCCCAAATACTTCTAGGAGTTTATAAAGCATCTTAATTTGAATGTTCTCTACATTATTTCTGTTCTGACTGTTGCCATCAATGTTCTTAGATTTCCTTTGGCTTCAAAGCTCTCTCACCATATTTTGGGAAGTTATGGATCATCACATTCCCATGCATGCGTTGCCTGAAGAAATCCAAAAGGTATGATATATTGTGTTGCTACAGCCTAACAGTGGGAACATGTAGCAGTTACATAATTCTAAAACCTAGAGGAGTGAATTCATTAATTTTGGTCATAGGATCTGAATGAATTGGTGGAGTGGGAGAGGGAATAATTATTATCATAATGAGCAGAATTGTAGAATTCAATTCAGTATGAAGAATTTTGCTGCTATGGAAGAAGACATATATCTAATTCCAGTACAGTATTTGACCAGGTGGTTGTGGAGCCCTAGTGAAAAGCAGGCATCAGAAACGTCCATGTGTGTTTTAATGGGGCTGGATTTCTAAGCCTCTATTATGGTTTGACCAACATTAATTCTCAGTACTTACTGTGTGCCAAGCACTGTTTTAAGCCCCTTTTATGCAGATGACCCTTGAACAACATGGAACTAAATTGTGTAGGTCCACTTATATGTGGGTTTTTAAAATAAATATATTGGAAAATGTTTTGAAGATTTGGAATGGTTTGAAAAAACTCACAGGCGAACCAAGTAGCCTAGAAATATTGAAAAAATTAAGAAAAAGGCATGTCATGAATGCATAAAATGTATGTAGACACTAGTCTATTTTGTCATTTACTACCATAAAATATGCACAAATCTATTATAAAAAGGTAAAATTTATCAAAACTTATGCACACAGACACTTAAGAAACTACGTGGTGCTATTTGCAGTCAAGAGATGTAAAAAAACATAACGAAGAAGTATTAAATTGTAACTACGTAAAATTAACTGTAATATATACTATACAAATGTAATAATTTTGTAGCTACCTCCTGTTGCTTTTGCAGTGAGCTCAGGCATTGTGATTATCTCCTTAAAACACTGTGTGATAATCATGGCCATGTGAGCAGTTCTTCCCTTCAGGAAAAAGTGATCTTGAAGTTCTTGTGTATTTTTCATCATGTTTAGTGCAATTTCATAAGCTTTGGATAACAACAAAGGACACATTTAGCATGCCACTACCTGATGCTGGAAGTACTTTCAAGAAGCAGAGAAAAGTCATGACATTACAAAGAAAAAGTTGAATTGCTTGATGTGTACTGTAGAATGTGGTGTGCAGCTGTGGTTGCCCACTATTTCAAGATAAATGAATCCAGTGTAAGGACCATTAGATATGTATATATAAAGGAAATTTATGATGTTGTAGCTACAGCTATGCCAACAGGTGCAAAAACCATGTACTTTTTGCAAAATCTCTTATAATGAAAGCATAGTTTTTATGTGGGTGCAGAATTGTTATAAGAAAGGCATACCTGTAGACTCTAATATGATTCAAGAAAAAACAAAGTCATTCCACAGAGTGAGCAGAGAGTGGTGAAAAGTCTCGGAGAGAAAAAAAAATCATTATATGGCAACTTAAAAGGTGAAAGATCTAAAGCTGGATAATTTAATGCCAGCAAAGGATGGTTTGGTAATTTTTGAAAGAGGTTTGGCATAAAAAAGAAAAAGTCAAGATAACAGGGGAAACATCTTTTGCTGACCAAGATGCAGCAGACAAGTTCCCAGATGTCATTAAGAAAATCATTAAGAAGAAAGGGGGTTTTTGGTTTCTTTTTTATTGTTTTTGTATTTGTTTGTTTTGTTTTTTTGCAGTAAAGAAAGTTTAATTGATATGAGGCCACTGTGGCATGTGGCAGATGGAGTTATTACTCAAATCAATCTCCGAAAATTTGCAGGGTAGGGATTTTCAAGGATAGTTTGGCAGGCGGTGGGGCTAGGGTATGGGAGCTGCTGATTGATTGGGGATGCAGTCATAGGGGTGTAGAAAATGGTCCATGTGTGAAGACGGAGAGTCCAAGTGGGGCATCAGTCATTAGAAATACAAAAGCCTGAAAAAACATCTCAAAAGGCCAATTGTAGGTTCTACAATAGTGATGTTAATTACAGGAATAATTAGGGAAGTTGCAAATCCATTGGAATAATGGCTCCTAGTCATTTACACCTACATATTAGCAGAATGCAGACCCCTCTAATTCTCTTAACCTTTTGGCTTTTATTAGTTTTACAAAGATGGCTTAGTTTAAGGGATATTATTTAAACTATAAAGTTCTCCCAAAGTTAGATTGGCCCATACCCAGAAATTGTGTATTAGTTTGTTCTCATGCTGTTAATAAAGACATACCTGAGACTGGGTAATTTATAAAGGAAAGAGGTTTAATTGGCTCACAGTTCCACATGGCTGGGGAGGCCTCACAATCATGGCTGAAGAACAAGGGATGTCTTACATGATGGCAGGCAACACAGAACTTGTGCAGGGGCGCTCCTCTTTATAAAACCATCAGATCTTGTGAGACTTATTCACTATCATGAGAAGAGCATGATAAAGGTTCACCCTCATGATTCAATTATCTCCCACCAGGTCCCCCTCACGATGTGGGAATTGTGAGAGCTACAATTCAAGATGAGATTTGGGTGGGGGCACAGCCAAACCATATCAAATGACCAAGGGCAGTTTGGAGGTTAAAGGCAAGACTGAATTTGGTTAGGTCAGAATTTTCTCACTGTTACAATTTTTGCAAAGACAGTTTTAATCCCCCTCCTTTGGGTTTCATCATACCTTATTTTTAATCTGTGTGTTATGGAAATGGAAAAAGGCCTACAGCCACTGTAACTTCTTCCTGCTCACAGGGGCAGATTTGGAGTGGGAGTTGCCCTCAGGGTAAGAGGAGTGAAACTGTCTTGTAATTGTTGGTATGTATTCATGTGTGCCAGGTTGAGATCCCAAGGTCTGCATAAGAAAACATTGGTGCTCTTATCCACAGCTTTCACACAGCACTTAAGTGAACAGGTGGACTATAAGACAAATAATGAGCCCCAACATAAGGAGAGAAAGTCCTCACTTCAGGAATCCCTGTAGAACTGACCTGAAGCCTTAAGGGATACAGGTGAATGACCCCAAGAATCAATCAGATATGGGGTCATTAGCAGAGACTCAAACATAGTGGATAAGGCTGGAATCTAATAACAGTTGTACTATAGTTTTTTTCTGAAACAATTTTTCTCTCTCCAGTTCCCCATTTCTACCAAACACAAATCATAGTAGGACCAATTTATTTGCAAAATAAGTTCCAGTCCCATTATATTTGGCCTGGTTATTTGCATAAAATGCAGCAAGAATAGTTATTTGCCAAATAGGTTCTTTTTCTAAAAATAATTGGCTTTGCTGGAATTTATTTCATAAGGAATCTCAGATTAGACCTTTTAAAAGTCTCTAGCCCAGCCAAGGATTCATCTGTGCCTGCACATACCTGTATGAATTGGGTGAATTTCTCTCTTCTTGAGGTCCCACAATAACTTGGGATTCCTGGGTCTGTCAGAAAGTGACATTCTTTATTTACTACGGGTTAGGAGCCCTGTAAAGGACAAGGTATGAGACCAGTATTTCCAAGGGGCTGTTATCAGCTCTGTAAGTCAACCTCAGTTACTCAAAGCAGCCTGAAACCATGCCATTTCCAGTCAAAGCCTTGGTAAAATAATCAGTGTCTCCAGTTGTGTCCTGTTGCAAAAAACAAAGCAAAACAAAAAACATTCTTATTGAACTTATGCAAAAAACTATATTGCCATATGCTAAGAAGACTCATAATTAGTTTCAAAATTCTGGAGAAATCACGTAGAGAGAAAGAAATATGCTCCAAAGTTTGCAGATAGAAATATGCTTCATTCAATTGTTAAAAGCTATAAACAGCTCAAAAGGAAAGTTGTTATGTGTTTTGACCCTGAAAAACAAAAAGGATCAGAAACATTTCAAACAAATAGTCATAGAAAGATTATTTCATTATTCTCTTAGTTCAGTCCATACAGTTAATTCCTGTTCTGTTTGATATTCATGAACACTTCAGCTCTTCCTGAGAGTCCTAGAAGTTTCTCCCTCTATATTAATGGCACAATCTTTAAAGATATCAGAAATCTGCATTCAAGAGCACCTGTTAGAGTTCCATAGCTGATTATAAAATCACCTTTTGAAAAGGATCAAAGTAAAAATAACTGTGGATGACAAGAGGCTTAAACAGCTATGGTTTAAGACTCAATTAACAAGGAAATTTGGTTATTTTTGTGGCATACAATTTAATATAACAATTATTATTACTGATAACATACACTAAGTCATATTGAAATTATAGGAATCTTGCACAATTCTGGAACACATACCAATAACACTTTCATATAAATACAGCCCAAAGAAAGCCAAATACCAATTCATACTTGACAGTGCTCACTCTATGATGTCAACATGCCAAATAAGCCAGATGTCTCTTTTGGACTTCAGGGGACCTAATATTGAAAAAATTAATGAAATCAAAAGGACTGAATTTAGAACTTGAAATTTTGATTTTGGAAGGTTTGTCAAATATCAAAGGTTTAGAATACTTACTGTTATAAAATAGTATCATTGGTTATTCATTTAGCAGAAGTGATAACTCAAAAATTTCAAAAGGCAAAAACCTAAACAGCATACCCAATAAAGGTAGCATGTGGCTACCTGAATCTCTCTTTCCCCTTTTTTCCTTTTTTTTTTTTTGCAGTTTACTTAAAAGGCAAAAACATTTCATTGTGGCTCAGTATTACAAAAAAACTTTGTTCAAAAGAGGAAAACCAAATTTTACCTTTTTATTAATGTACTATTAATGTTAGGCCCAATTTTTTAATAAAACCTTATAAACAAATCTATACAGTCTTAATCAGTTTGACCATAAGGTAAGATTTTCCTAAACATCCCCCCATAACTTTTTATAATTTATTACAGGGCAGACCCCCATAACTTTTTATAATTTATTAAAGAGCAGATCAATGTTCTAAGAAAACCATTATTCTGACACATGGGTCCAGATTCTGGCCTTGTAACAGTGTGCTTTTTATTTTAATGTTTTAATTTATAGAAAAACTAAATAATCCCGTTCAACTTTTGGCTACATTGCTCACACCCACAGAGCTTCCTTTACAAGATCAATGTATTATAAATCTTTTACAACTTGCTTAAACCTTCAGTATTGTCATATCTTTTTGGGACAATCCTCAAAAATCTCCAAACTCAACGTGATTACTTTCCTTTGAACAAAAGCCATATTTCCAAGACAAAAACACATTCTACTTCCTTTATATAACTTGTATATAAACTTTCTCTAGTAGTCTCAATGTTAATATGTTAACTCTTAGTCACTTTTATTTCTGGTTAGGAACCTGGTAAGTAAGTAATTTTAACCATGTATCAGATTGCAGAGCCTAGGACAAGAACAGAGCTTTAGACAGTGTCTGACTCTTCCTAGCCTAGTCAGAGGACAGGGCTAACTCCATATGTCCCCAGATCTTACCTAAAATCTAATGACTGAAGAATAGACAAGTCAATTTTCAAAAATATCATAGAAGTAGTTTATAACCTTAAAACGTATAGCAAAGACAGAATTCAGTCTGCCTACTGTAGACCAAATGTCTAAATTTTGAAGATGTTTTTATTTTACCAATAATCTTTAAAACTATACTTAACAAAGATTTCTAAAGTCATCTACACTAAAAGGCATTAAATTTTCTATTTTTCTGACAAAATATTTTATTTTAGGGCTCATTCTTCCCTAAACCAGTTAATTAGAGTTCTTTATGTAAACATCCCACACACAACACATATAATTACATGGAAGGAAATGGATCTGGTAGTTGTAAGATTTTTTTGTTTGCCAGTTTTTAAGTTTCTATTTCCTATTTTAGACTATCAGTTTCTTGATTACCTATTCCCTGCCCTAAACAATTGTCAGCTAGGCAACTCTAAATTTGCATTTCTAAAGGGACAGCTCCTAGGTGAAACAGGATAGAGAACTTATATTTTAAAAGCACAGAGCTGAGACATTAAGCCAAAACATTGTATGATAATAGTTTCTAATATACACAGGCAGGCACCCTTACCAATGGGGGTTTTCTTAAATATGTAAATTTCTAAATTGGATTTGTGGCTTCAGGGTGGAGCCCTTCAAGGAACAGGGCCAAGAAAGCGTGCAGCTTCCAGGGCCTGACAGGCAGAGCTGTAAGATAGAACAGATCCCCAAAAATCAAGGGCTCCGTTTTTACGCCTAATCCTGGGTCCCCCAAAAGAGAAACGCTATAGGACGAGATAGTGATTTTATGGTGTATCTCATTGCAAGGACATTTTTCACTGAGGCTACTGGGCAACCCAAAGCCAATCAGCTCAATCTGTAATCAGTCCATTCCCCAATCCATACTTTCCGGGTCCCCAAGAACATGGTTTTCTTATTCGGTGTGCAAAGAACCAAGTATCACCCTGTAGTAACTCAATTGTAAGCATCTGCCATTAGCCATCCCTAAGAGTATATCTCTTACCTAGCTATTACACACCAAGGCTAAAAGTTCTCTCGTAAAGCCTCTCTCATAAAGCGATTCCTTCCTCCCTTCCTTCCTTCCTTCCTTCCTCGCTCCCTCCCTCTCTCCCTCCCCCCAAGTCTTGCTCTGTCTCACTTTTTTTTTTTTTTTTTTTTTTTTTTTTTGAGATGAGTCTCACTCTGTCACCAAGGCTGGAGTGCAGTGGTGCAATCTCGACTCACTGCAACCTTCGCCTCCTGGGTTCAAGCAATTCTTGTGCCTCAGCCTTCTGAGTAGCTGGGATTACAGGCATGTACCACCATGCCTGGCTGATTTTTGTATTTTTAGTAGAGAGGGGCTTTCGTCATGTTCAAGACTGGCCTTGAACTCCTGACCTCAGGTGACCCCACCCACCTTGGCTTCCCAAAGTGCTGGTTTTACAGGCCTAAGCCACCAAGCCCAGCCAAAGCAAAGTAATTTCTGATATCCTCAAAAGTTAAAAAGGTCGGATAATGTAATGCAAAACAGAGCAGAGTCATAAATTTTGAGAAGGATTTGTTTACTTACAATTTTGTGGGTTTCATGAGGAAAACAGGTTTTTCCCTAAATGGGGCCCGTGGTACCTCCTCTGTTTCTCCTAAGGAATCCCAGGCTGGCAAAAAGAAGTAAATGGAGAAACAATTCAGCCAACCAAGAAGAAAAAAAAAGCTTTTTCTCAAAAAAAACAAGATCCAAGAAGAGAAAAGGCATAAAGACCTTTAAAATATATGTATAGTGTAAATATCAACTTTTAGTTAAGCCAACTTTTAACCATAGAGCTTCGTTAAAGAAATCCTTTTAAATCTTTTATTACTATACTCTAGCCAGGACAAACAGCCTCTGGCTTTTAAGCTTTTTTCCCCCTCAAAGGTCTCCTCCTAAGTGAAACCAGTAAGTCTTATCTAAGATTATGACTTATCGATGGATGCATGAGGTGTCTCCAAAGAGACAGCAAGCATTTTTACAATATGTAGAATAGCCCCTGAGGTAGCTCAGAGAAAAGAAAATTCAAGACAGGAAATCAGAAGCTGTCCATGGAGAAGAAAAGAATCAATAAATGGCAAAAGTCCCACAAGTATCCAACCAGAAAGGACTCATTCCCAAAGCCAGCAATTGAGCCCAGACTGCTACTATAAAAGGGTAGTCTTAGCTACTGAGCTACAGCATGGGGCAGCTGCCATTAGTCTTCCAGGAAGGAGTCTGGGGCAGTCATTTTCAAGCTTGTAAAGGATTGTAACTGCTCAAGAGAATTTTCTGAAGCTAGTTAGGACATTATTCATCCTTTTTAAAAACTTTAATTATGGAGAATAAAAGATTTCTAAAATTCCTTTTAAAAAAAATGGTATACTCAGTTTCAGTAGTGACTTAATCTGAGTCTTTTACAAGCCCAGATGTTAATGTTCCAGGATTTTATCATATAAGCAAGAGGTATTCTTAGAGAGGGGATAGAGGAGATATCTCCATCGTCCCCAAGAATTCACTCTCTGTAATGGGCTTAAGATAACAAAAGATGACAAGAGCCCTGTAGAAATGGGATCTTTTAAGACAAGACTCACCCAAAGGCATGACACATTTGGGATGAAGAGTGTGCTGACTCATCTCAGACACCCGGTCCTCTCATACTGACATGAACTGAAAAATTCCTGCCCTTTGGATGGTGGAGACTGAGAGTGTACCTCCACATGGTCAACAGAGTCAAGCTCCCAAGGACGTAAAACAAGATGAGAAGGAAATCTCGTCCAGTTTTTGTTTCAGGGACGTGCAGCAAAGTTTGTAACTGACCAGCCCACAGGGCCAGCTTGAGCATTGGGCTTATAGGGATCCTAGGCCCTTGTTCTATCCTACGGTGCCCCTCTCCATGACAGAAGACACATAAAGATAAAAACTGAGAGGAAAGGAGTGAAACAATGTGAATATTCATAGCACAAAGTGCACTAGATTTGCTACAGCCTCAGACTAATCACACAAATCCTTTTTCCCATTAATCAGACTTTGCAAAGGAGACAGTGATTTTTACCATCAGTTTGCGCAGAAAGGGGCCAGAAGCCTGGCTGGTAGGAAATTCTTACCCTTTTGCCGGCATGCTAGCTTTCCAGGTTCCTTATCTCTCAGCAGCTTTGGTGATGCTGCTTGCTGTACCATAGCTGTGGGGGCCATGCTGCATTACAAAAGAAAATCATCTCTTTCTGTTTCATGGAATCATAGTCAAAAACCTCATTTTGCAAGATGTAGCCAGGCTACATGGGGGATCCAAAATGACGTTTTTTATTCCAGGCAGAGGAAAATACACATGACAAAACACAGACACCAGTCACCCCGCTTAGCATCCAAGTATTGACCTGGCAAGGCTTAAACTTGCCTCTGTTGGCCCGTGTTGTCTTTGATCCACTCAAAGTGGGGTGGGGTGTTCTCCAACCAGGAGTTTCAACAGGTGATCTTTAAGCAACATGGAAGAGTGGATAGTCACCCTGAGTTAGACCTGTTGAACTTTGTTCATGGCTCACAGAATGTGACCAACCAGACAAACTAGTACAGTCTCCTGGGCTTTCATCAGCAATTCTTTCAGGGAATTCTCTCCATATATACAAATACGCACAATGAGATAAAGACAAACAAAAAGGCCTTCCAAACCAGGATTCCTAACCAAAAATTTCCAGGAGTAATTCTTCTGAACTAACCTCTTATTCTCTAACTGGGGAGACATCTCCCCAAACCCAGAGTCTTCCTACTATTTTGGGAGAGCCAGCTAATACCCCCAAAGGAGCCAAACCAAGACACTTGAAGGAGCAGAACCAAGAACCCCAGTGGAGCCAAACCAACTGGGAGAAGGAAGAAGGTTCTGACCGTGCTTAGAATACTCAGCAGACCAGTTTAAAGATGTCTTTCTAGGAAGGATGTCTTTCTCCACTGCAATTAGGCCCAAGCACTGTGGGTCAGCAGGGCCTCACTGGGCAAGGACAGCACCAGACATGGCCTTCAGTTCCAGAGAAATAAGCAGCTGCCAGAGCTCACCTCCAATTCCAACATACTGGTGGGGGGCTGACAAACTGCAGGCAGGCACCCACAAAGGCAGATCCCAGACAGACCCCCAAACTTATAATAGCCCGATGGGTTCTTCCTCCCACACAGATGAAATCAAGCCACTGAGACCAAGCCATTGCAGTAGAGAAAGAGTTTAATGGAAACGAGGATGGCCATGCCACAGAGGAGATGGAGTTATTACTCAAATCAATCTCCTAAACAGGTTTTTAACACAAACAAAAGTGCCCTATTCTGGAAAAAAAAAGGACACAAAATGCATTAGTAAGGAGGAGACGTGAGCACCAGGATTTAAGGAAGGAAGGGATAGGCCAAATCTGTTGTTTTGTGCAAATGTAGTCAGGTTTATGATCAGGACTGCCCTTATCTATAAAACTGCTAATCTCTAGCCTTGATGGGAAAAGATAAACATCAGGTGTTAGTCTTTTGGTTGTACAACACAAAGGCTTGGACAAGGAGATTGCTTTTTCTAGACTGAGTCCATCAATGCTTTGTCTCTGAAGTCAGGAAGTACCTCAACAGTAGTCTATGGAAAGGACTGTCAATGCTATGGAAGAGAACCCTGACAGAACATTACCAAAACCTTGAAAGATTACACCATTGAAGATGCCATCATTCTTATAGAAAAAGCTGTGAAAGTCATCAGGCCTGGAACAAGAAATTCCTTCTAGAGAAAACTGTCCAGACGTTGTGCATGACTTCAAAGGATTTACAATGGAGCCAATAAAGGAAATTATAAAAGAGATTGTGGATATGGCAAAAAAGGTCAGAGGGTGAAGGGTTTCAAGATACTAATCTTGGAGAAATTCAGGAGCTAACAGACATCACACAAGAGGAATTAGCAGAGGACAACTTGGAGATGATTTTTTTTTCTGAATCAGTGCAGACAATGAGAAAGAAGACATAGTAGAGGCAGTGCTAGAAAACAAATTGATGCTAGATAATATGGCAGAAGGGTTTCAATTATTCGAGACTGCTTCTCACTTCTTTTACAACATGAACCTTCCTATGATATGGGCGCTGAAACTAAAGCAAACGTTGGAAGAAGGATTGGCACTATATAGAAACATTTTTAGAGAAATGAAAAAGCAAAAAAGTTCGACAGAAGTTATGACATATTTCCTCAAAGTTACTCCAAGCGTGCCTGTCTTTTTTGCCTCCCCTTCCACTTTCTCCACCTGTGTCATCCCTGAGACAGCAACACCAACCCCTCCTCTTCCTCTTCCTCCTCAGCCTGCTCAATGTGAACATGAGGATGAAGACATTTTTGATGATCCACTTAATGAAGATTAAATATATTTCCTCTTTCTTATGATGATTTTCTTAACATTTTCTTTTCTCTAGCTTACTTTATAAAATATGCATTAATTGAATGTTTATATTATCAGCAAGGCTTCCTGTCAACAGTAGGCTATTAGTAGTTAAGTTTTTGGGGAGTCAGAAGTTGTACATGGATTTTCAACTATGTGGAGGGGAGGTTCGCACCCCTAATGTCCATGTTGTTCAAAGGTCAACTATATATCAACTCATTTAATCTAATTAACACGCAGTTCTTTAGTTTTTATGCTGTTCTCTTCCCTGTTAGTTCACATCTGTACCCAGGACAAGGCATTTTCCCCATATTTAGCTTGCAATCCATACATTGTTAATAGTATATTTTTAAAAATCTCTTTGAAAAAGATTGACTTAAATTGTGAGTTATAACCTCAAACTTTATCATCAATCTTTCGGGTTTTTCAGTAAATCTAGTTAACTCTTAATTAACAACTAATCTGTTACATTTTGATTAAAATTTGCAGTCAGCTCTCAGATATGCTTTTGTCCATTGTGCATGTACCTTTGGGCTGCCTGTTAGCATTAACCATGCCATCGATTTAACTTGATGCTTACTGTTGCTGCCTGCCCTTCAGATTTATGTAAACTGTAACCCAGCAGGAACAGGAAGAGAAGTCCATTTACATTTACCATAAAAGACCTTTTAAATCATTACATTCAATTATCTTCACCTTTTAAGTTAGGTGTAAAAGAGTAAGCACAGAGAGGGTTCAGCTATACTTGTACTCACCTGAGAAATGGTGCTTATATATATTTGAAGACATGAAATATCCTTCCTCTTGCCCTGAACTAAGTCCCTTTCTTGTACTAGCCTAGGTATGGTGGAAAATAAAAGAAACAAAGCAAAGCAAACAAAATCTACACGAATCAATAGCTGCACTTCAGACCCTAATCACCTCTCAGGCAGAGGATGTACAATGACATGATAAAAAATAGCTCTAGAAGACAGTGTGTGATTTAGTGCCATGTAAGATAGTATCTGCTGTGAGAATGAAGAAGGCAGAAAGAGGAATCCCTGCATGGTGGGATGGCCAGAGGGGGAACTTTATGCTGGTGGTGAAACTGGAGTTGCCTCTTGAAGGCCTAGTATTTCCACAGGCAGCGGGTAAGGCATCCTAGGCCAAAGGAACAGAAGCTTTCTGGTGAGAAAAGCTGGCCAAGTTAGAGAATGTTTAACAACTTCAGTGTTTTGAAAATATAAAATATGTATTTATTTTTATAAGGTTTTTATGAGAGTTATAGAGGGTTTTCTCTCATGTTTGAGATACTTTACAAGTAAATTGTTTAAAAAATACTAAAACCAAGCATTTCATAAATCTGCAGATAAGAGTCTAAAGCAAGAATGGCAGGCAGCCATCCAGGCAGTACAGAGAAGTGGGGACACCAAAAGAGGCTCAGCTGCCTAAGGTCCTAGACAAGTGTGCTAGTCGTAGACTTGGTCATATAAAGTGCAGCTTTGCACTTTTTCAGACCTAAGTTAGATGCATTTATACAACAAGTATTTATTATGCCTATTATGTGCCAGTCCCTGTTTGGGGTGCTTGATTTTAAAGTAGCCAGAATATGTATATACATCCCAAAGCCTATGACAGTACCGTCTTTTAGAATAAATGTGTTACATAACTTCTTACCTATATTTGATTTATCTAGATTGTCTGTAATTTCACTTAATTTCCTAGTGACTGGGCAGTGTATTTAATCAGCTGCGTGTGTTATTCTATACAGAATAATATTAGAGAGAGAGATCGGGGTCCCCAAACCCCTGGCCGCTGACTAGTACCACTCACACAGCCCGAGGTGAGTGGCAAGCCAGTGAGCATTACCGTCTGAGCTCTGCCTCCTGTCAGATCAGCAGCAGCATTAGATTCTCATAGGAGCAGGAACTGCACATGCAAGGGTTCTAGGTTGTGTGCTGCTTATGAGAATCTAACTAATGCCTGATGATCCGAGGTGGAACAATTTCATCCCAAAATCATCCCCATCCCCCCAGTCCATGGGAAAATTGTCTTCCACAAAATCAGTCTCTGGTGCCAAAAAAATTGGGGACTGCTGATTAGATATATAGCTTATAGTGGTAACAGGAGCCATTTAGATTAGAACCATTTCATTTTAATGTGAAGAAACAAAGACTTTTTTTCATAATAGCTTGGAAATGGCTCTATTTCTCTATTGAAGAAAAAAGGACCTGAGATGTGTGGATCAGTGTGCAGTGACAGGTCTTTCAAAGGCTTTTTTTTTTCTTTCTTGTTCTGTTAACTTTTTATGTTACTTTTTATGCTGGCTTCTCTTTCTAGAGAAGTCCCTGCTGTTTCCTTTTTTTTCTGTGTGTAGGCAAGGAAGGTGAGTGTAGAAATCAGGGAAGAGAAGGTGAGAGCCTTTCCTATTTATTTCTTTGTGTATTTTTGCTATGTGATATGGAAACAGATGGCTGGTAAATTAGAATTTGAAAATGACTATGCCACACTGTACTATTAATGCCAAAATGAGCAGTAGTAGAAAAAGGAGAGTTACAAAAAATGTAAAGGTGGTAGGGGAGATGGCTACCAAAGAAAAAGTGTAGAGAAGAACTATGATGATAAAAAGCTACAGTTAGAGAATCCATTGCCTGATTAGAAGGCTAAGATTGTTAAAGCATTTTCCCCTGGTCTCATCTCCTCAGGGAATTTTAGGGAAGAAGGAATAAGATAATCTTTGACTCTCATGTCCAGGTCTTTTTCCTTTTTTATCACAGTTTCTGACTGAGCATAGTATACTTGTCAGACTTCCATCTTCTTAAGTGGCAGAAAATGTAAAAGCGGCCCATGGGCTAGACAGCAAAATCACATTTGGCTCCTTTTTCTACTGCTGCACTCTACAGGTTAATTCTGTATGTATTTAGATCATATCTCTAAATCTGTTCTCTCTCCAGGCTGAGCTGACTCCTACCTGTCCCTGACCTCGGATAACCAGCAGACTTACTAGCATTTTCATCAAGTATTCTGAAAGCAGAATATACTTGAAATTATAGTACTGTTCTGGGTTTAGGATTTTATTGCCACAATTTAAGACTAAAACAACACTTACAGATCAGCAAAGTAATACTGTAATTGTATATCTCTTCCCCTCATGAATGTCAATCCATTTTAGAGACATATGGACTCCTCTTTTTAGAAAAGAGCAATGAATAATTTTCCTTTTGCTGTTTTTGCTTGGGGACATATGTGGAAATCAAAACAACAGCAACAAACTAGTGGAAAAATCAGTTAGTTTGCAGAAAGTGGAACTGATCTTTTGTTTTTTTAAAATGGTGACAAAATGAACACTTGTAATAGGATTTTAACTTCAGGAAATCTTTATTACCACAGGACACAAAAGTAAAAAAAAAGAGACCAGAGTTGTTTATTTTGCAAAACAGAAGTAGCGATACAAGGGCTAGAGAGCGCACTGTTCTCTCAGGGATAACAATCCCTTTCCCCAGCAGTAACAGCTCATTTTGTCCTGTTTCAGTAAAGTAATTTTAGTACTTTGGAACTTTGAAATTTATCCAGAATAACAGTTTTATATTTCCAAGCACAGATGGTCATTGCCAGAAAAAATAAACTTAATTTCCAGGTTATTTTGGGCCACTGTGGCTAGGTTCAGATTTTTTGTTGAGTTGAAGTGGAAGAAAAGGAAAAAGAAAGTGGTCATACAAATGTTAGACCTAGCATCCTGGGAAAGTTGTGATGTGTGTGTGTGTGTGTGTGGACGTTTATGTGTGATGTGTTTTTAAGCAATTGTAGTTTTATTAAAACCTTATGACAAAGGGAATAGGAAGCTGTATAATTTTTGGAGAGACTATTCACTTATTTTTGTGACCCAAGGTAGTTCATTAGAAAAAGCATTTTCTTCAAAATATTATTATGAATCTTGAAAAATCTGAATTTGCCAATTTGTAGTCAAAAATACTTTTGCCAACTGACCATAGAAGGTCATTGAGTTTACTAAGGTGAGGATTCCCAGTGGAAAAATAGGTATTGGAGGAAATATACTTTGGAAGTATATATAGATAGACATAGGCATATCATTTATAATTTACATAGGGTAAAGCCAACATTTCTGATATTGCTCAATAACATGTCTTTATGGATGAATCTCTGGTATTTTAGTCCCAGATTGATTTTTTTCTATTTTTATTATTTTAAAATTAAACTTCTTATTTTGAGATAATTGTAGATTCACATGCAAGGTAAGAAATAACACCAAGAAATCCCACTTATTCGTCATCTAGCTTCCTGCAGTGGTAACATCTGGCAAAACTAAAGTACAGTGTCATAACCAGGATATTGACAATTGATACAGTCAAGATACAGAACACTTTCATCACAACAAGGATTTTTCATGTTGTCCTTTTATCACCACATTCACCTTAACTTCCCCAATCTCTTCCCTACTCCCAGTCCATGGCCCTGGCAACCATTGGTCTGGTCTCCAATAATTTTATGTCAGGAATGTTATATAAATGGAATCATGTAGTGTGTAATATTTTGGGATTAGCTTTTTTCAATCTGTAATTTTCTGGAGTTTCATTAGGTTGTGTGTATCAATAGTTTATTCCTTTTTATTGCTGAGTAGTATTCCATGGTATGAATGTACCAGTTTGTTTAACCATTTACCTACTCATTGAAGGGAATCTAGGTTTTTTTCCACTTTTCAGCTGCTTTACATATAAAGCTGCTATAAACATTCATTTATGTGAACATACATTTTCATTTTCCTGGGATAAATGGCCAAGAGTTCAATTGCTATGTTATATAGTAACTACAGGTTTTTTTTTTTTTTTTAAAGACACTACTAAACTGTTTTCCAGAGTGGGTATACCATTTTACATTTTTTACCTGCAGTATATGAGTGATCCAGTTTCTCCACATCTTTACCAGCATTTGATGTTGTCAGTGATGTGTAGTGAGTGATATCTCATTGTGGTTTTAATTTGCATTTTCCTAATGGCTAATGAAATGATGTTGAATATCTTTTCATGTGCTTATTTGGCATCTGAATATCCTCTTATGTGAAAGGTCTCTTCAAGTCTTTTTGTTCATTTTCTAATTAGACTTTTTTTTTCTGCTGAATTTTGGAAATTCTTTATATAATCTAGGTACTAGTAAGATACGTGGTTTTCAAATATTTTCTCCTGGTCTGTAGCTTGTCTTTTAATCCTCTTTGCAAGGTCTTTTACAGATCAGAAGTTTTTAAATTTGATGAAATTCAGGTTATCAGATTTTCCATTTATGAATCATGCTTTTGGTATTAAATATGAGGTCTTTTCCAGTTTAGATCCTGAAGATTTTCTCCTATTATTTTCCTAAAAATATTTCTTCTAATATTTTCTACTTTTATATTTTATATTTTTGTCCCTACTTGTAGAATATGTGAGGTTTAGGTTGAGGTTCCTTTTTTAAAAAAAAAAATGTATGGATATCCAATTGTACCAGCACCATTTGTTGAAAAGGCTATCTTTCTTTCATTGAACTGCTTTTGTACCTTTGTCAAAAATCAGTTTGGCATATTTATGGAGGTCGTTTTCTGTTCTGTTCCATTGATCTATGTGTCCTTCCTTCTGCCAATATCATACAATCTTGATTACTATAGCAATACAGTGTGTCTTGAAATCAGGTAGTGATTCCCCCCACTTTATTCTTCTTTTTCAGCATTATTTTAGCTATTCTAATTCCTTTGGCTTTACATACAAATTTGAGAATAACTCTTTCTATATATAAAATATCTTGCTGAGATTTTGATAGAAATTGGATTATACCAATTTAGGGAGAATTGATATCTTTACTATTTTGAGTCTTCCAAACATAAACATAGTATCTCTCTCCGTTTATTTAGATCTTCAATATATTTCATCAGCATTTTGTAGTTTTCAGCATACGAATCTTGTACATATTTTGTTATATCTACACCTGAGTATTTAATTTTTTGGAGCAGTTGTAAATATATATATATGTATGTATTGTATTTTCAATTTCAGTGTTCAGGTGCTCACTGGGTATATATATAAATGCAGTTGATTGTTCTGTTTGTATCTTGAAACATGCAACCTTGCTGAACTTACTAGTTCTAGTTTTATTGTCGATTTCTTGGGATTTTCTATGTAGATAATTATGCCATCTCAATTAAGGAGAGTTTTATTTTTTCCTTCTAATATGTATGCCTTTTATTTCCCCTTCTTGCATTGTTGCTCTGGCTAGATATTCTAGCACTATATTGAATAAGTGCAGTGAGGGTGGATATCCTTGCCATTTTCCCAACCTTAGGGGGAAAAACACTGAGTCTTTTACTACTAATTATAATAAAGCTGTAGGGTTTTTTTTTTTGTAAGTGCCCTTTACTAAATTGATTTTTAAATTTGTAAATAAGCAGGTTAACTTAATGATGAGGAAGGGTCCTAATGGCTTTATGAAGTAGTCAGGTGGTCTGTTTGACTAATGAGCTTGAAGTATATATTGCCCTATCTCAAAAACTTTCTCCTAATCTGAATGATATTTACTAAACACTCATTGTTTTTGAGTAAGGGCATCTTACTGAATGGAAAACCTCTTAGAAGGATTAGTATTTCATACTGCTATCACTCTTATCTACAAAGAATAGTTTATTTCCTCCTTGTCTAAGCACAAAAAGCATCATATGGGTGGGAGAAGGAGGCACAATTATATGTATGTATGTATGTATGTATTTATTTATTTGAAACAAGGTCTTGCTCTGTTGCCCAGGCTGGAGTGCAGCAGCACCATCTCAGCTCACTGCAGCCTCTGCCTCCTGGGCTCAAGCAACCCTCCCACCTCAGCCTCCCAAGTAGCTGGGACTGCAGGCGCACACCACCACGCCTGGCTAATTTTTAAAAAATTTTTTGTAGAAATAAGGTCTCACCGTGTTGTCCAGGCTCATCCTGGGCTCAAGCAATCCACCTACCTCGGCCTCCCAAAGCGCTGGGATCACAGGTGTAAGCTACCATGCTTGGCCAAGAGGCACAATTTTGAAATAGAGAATGCCACAGTTGGGCAGCAGGAAGGTACTAAGTAGTTTTCCTAGTTGAAGCACAGACAGGAACTCTGGAAAGGATCTGAAGCCTAATTTAACCTTTTTAAAACATTTACATTATTTTTATATTAAATAACTATAATTTTAAAAGTATGAACACTGCATTTGAGAAGTTTGTTTCATAGTTTATTTTCAAATGGTTCTACATTTGTTTAATATATTGCATTTGTTAATGTCTCCTCCAAAGTGCATCTTGTAGAACACCAGAACATCCTGTTAATGATAGGCCTTTTGTCAAGAATGACAGCATGTCATTATTTTACTTTCAAAACGAGAGGATGATATAATACCAAGTTATAAGAATGAAGCACAAATTATATTTCACAAAAAGCAGATAACTTACTTCATTTGGGAACATAATTACAGTATTTCATATCTTCTCAAGTTTCACAAAAATGCCCTAAGTAATTAGCTCATATAGGCACTAATAATTTGAAAGGGTTATTACATTTTTTTCTATAGCAGTTTTGGTTACAGAACATTATTTACAATTTAATAGCATTGAAAACTTTTGTGCAATGTATTTATTTAACATTGCTTACTTAATGATTCAGGTAAAGTCAGAAGACCACTCTTGTGGACCTATTATTTTAAAATCACATTGTCTTGTTTTCTACATCATAATGAATATCATGTTTTCTCTTTCCTTGCTGAACTTCTAGAAAACCTATTCTCTAAAATGTATTGCTTCACATAAAATACATTTCAGCCTTTTCTCCCTTGACTGCTATGATGAAATAACATTCTAATAGCTTTCACAATGTGAAGTTTATAGCATTTCTGTTTTATTCATCAGGCTGCAAATCTACTCCACCCATCAAGAGTTTTCTTTAGAATAAAGATAGGACACTTTGCCAGGAGCAGGGCAAGAACTGCAATTAATAGGCAAGGATTAATGATGAAAGTGACTTACAGTAAGCAACAATTTTCAAATTGAGAAGAAGAAACTAAAATGCAAGATGGGCAAAAATTTTAAGAAAATATCCATCTGTTCCTAATTAGTTCAGATTTATTGACATGGATGAATTATATTTCTGAGGGCTGATAGTGTCTTTGCATAGGATTGCAGAGCCACTCTTGGTTATGTCTGAAGACATGCAGAGAGTAATAGGATAATGCACAAATGCCATTTCATGTATACAGTGCCCATAAATTACAACCAATGAACTTAATTTCAATCCTAGACAAGATTTAGAATATATTATGAAAGGGTGATTTGTGAGGATATATTAGACAAAACATAACCCTTGGGCCAATTTTATGTTCACTGAGAGCAAGCATGTAGGCTTTGCCATTTCATTTTATGTAGGATTACTAGATCCAGGAACCATATTAGGCATAGAATATATGGACTTTATGAAAACATTTGACAAAGTTTGTCATAATATTCCTGAAGACAGTATAAAATAAATATAGGCTGGTAACAAAGATAATTGGATAATTTAATGATCAGATTAAGAGTTGTACCTGAAATATGCTGAATAATAGAACAGTATCAACCAATGTGATATGACATGCTGTGGAGTTCTGTCCTCAACTTAGTCAATTCAGCATTTTAAAATCAGAGAGTGAGATACATAAAATGACTTATAAGGATCAACTTTGCAAAAGACATAAAGCTTAGAATTTCCTGGATACCAGTGGCAGTAACTAAGGTAATAACCAAAGGCAATAACTATGTCTAAGACATATATATCTATGTTATTTTATTCATTTTTTATTATTATACTTTAAGTTTTAGGGTACATGTGCATTCAGTTAGGAAAAGAGGAAGTCAAATTGTCCCTGTTTGCAGATGACATGATTGTATATCTAGAAAACCCCATTGTCTCAGCCCAAAATCTCCTTAACCTGATAAGCAACTTCAGCAAAGTCTCAGGATACAAAATCAATGTGCAAAAATCACAAGCATTCTTATACACCAATAACAGACAAACAGAGAGCCAAATCATGAGTGAACTCCCATTCACAATTGCTTCAAAGAGAATAAAATACCTAGGAATCCAACTTACAAGGGATGTGAAGGACCTCTTCAAGGAGAACTACAAATCACTTCTCAATGAAATAAAAGAGGATAGAAACAAATGGAAGAACATTTCATGCTCATGGGTAGGAAGAATCAATATCATGAAAATGGCCATATTGCCCAAGGTAATTTATAGATTCAATGCCATCCCCATCAAGCTACTAATGACTTTCTTCACAGAATTGGAAAAAACTACTTTAAAGTTCATATGGAACCAAAAAAGAGCCCACATTGCCAAGTCAACCCTAAGCCAAAAGAACAAAGCTGGAGGCATCACGCTACCTGACTTCAAACTATACTACAAGGCTACAGTAACCAAAACAGCATGGTACTGGTACCAAAACAGAGATATAGACCAGTGGAACAGAACAGAGCCCTCAGAAATAATGCCACATATCTACAACTATCTGATCTTTGACAAACCTGACAAAAACAAGAAATGGGGAAAGGATTCCCTATTTAATAAATGATGCTGGGAAAACTGGCCAGCCATATGTAGAAAGCTGAAACTGGATCCCTTCCTTGCACCTTATACAAAAATTAATTCAAGATGGATTAAAGACTTACATGTTAGACCTAAAACCATAAAAACCCTAGAAGAAAACCTAGGCAATACCATTCAGGACATAGGCATGGGCAAGGACTTCATGTCTAAAACACCAAAAGCAATGGCAACAAAAGACAAAATTGACAAATGGGATCTAATTAAACTAAAGATCTTCTGCACAGCAAAAGAAACCACCATCAGAGTGAACAGGCAACCTACACAATGGGAGAAAATTTTTGCAACCTACTCATCTGACAAAGGGCTAATATCCAGAATCTACAATGAACTCAGACAAATTTACAAGAAAAAAACAAACAATCCCATCAAAAAGTGGGCGAAGGATATGAACAGATGCTTCTCAAAAGAAGACATTTATGCAGCCAAAAAAACACGTGAAAAAATGCTCATCATCACTGGCCATCAGAGAAATGCAAATATCTATGTTATATACTCAAATATATGTGAGTCTAAGATAATATAAGATATATATTTTTATATATTTTATATATTTGTATATATTTACATTTACATCTGTAGTTCTGTACTTGGATCTGAAAAGCCAAATGCTCACATAATAGAATGGAAAGTATTGGTCGCAAGGAATATGGAGCTTAAGGGAGAAAAGAGAAAATAGTAGAGGAAGATTGGGCATGAATTCCAAATGGCAAGTAGGGAAGCCACAACTCAAGAGGGTCTGAAGTGAGGAACTGGAAGAGTTTGGGGTATAAGACAGTGGCTGGTTCCTTATTTTCTCTCTCTTTCTGGAGCTACAGTGTCCTCATCTCAGCTTCTGTCTCTGTGTCTACTCATTCATGTCTCAGAATTTTAGTTATGTTAGTTACTTTGTATCTTGTGCATGACATTTTCTGTCTTATGGCTGTGCCAAAGGTGACCTAAGTGCCTGAATCTTCAACAATTACAGGCCCAGTTGGCTCATACCAGCTTGGGCTTGGTTCTTCTGGGTCTGATGTCCAATCCTGGTTCACCAGTCAGCCATGGCTAGGGTAGATAGGTGGAGGGAGTCTTAGTCACATTGCCAAACATAGCAGCCAGGGCTGCTATGGATTCTCTAAAATGGAAACATAGATAGAAAGGAAATAATTGGTATATTCAGTATAATGAGACGTTGGTTTGCACTGCAGTATTTTTAAAATCAGGGGTTTTATTTAACATAAAGCCAGTTATAGTATATAAAAGCAAAATATAATTGCTAAAAATATTAAAGACCAATCAGATCTAAGGTTGCATTAGAACGTATTACAATGATATTAGTAATGAGATATTAGAATGAGAGAAGTTTGAGTCTTCTCTCATTCTGTTTTAGTGAGACCAGCCACACTAAACTATTGCATCTGGGCACCATACTTTGAAACACATGTAGAACACTGGAAAAAATTTAGAGAAATCTAGAATGAGGAAGAAATTCAGCTGAAGAAATTGTAAGTGTTGACCTAGAGAAGAGAAGACATGGAGTGTTCCTGATAGCTGTCTTCAAATATTAGAAAGACCTTCATGTGAAAGGGGCCTGGGGATGTCCCACATGGTTTCTAAGAGGACTGGAACTGGTGCACACTTCAGGGAGGCGGATTTGTGATGAGCCTAAGAAAGGATTTCCTGAGAGACACAACTGGCAGAAGATGGAACAGAATGCTTTAAAAAGTAGTTTCCCATCATTTGGGATGTTAAAATAAAGGATAGGCAACAACATATTTAAGTTGAAGTAGATTAATGGAATTGAATCCATCTAGAGCTTGAACCAGATTATCTTTATGATTACTTTTATAAATCTATACATTTTATATAGTGGCAAGTAGTTGATATAATCATTAATCTATATCCCATAATACTGTATTATGGTTTTTAATTTAAAATTTTTACTATTAAAGTTTAAAGGAGCCAAATTTTACTTTATAAAAATGTGTTTTTTTTTCTTCCAGTTGACATTTGTGTAATGACATTGGTAGGCAGATATGGTGGCATTACTATTAGTTACAGCAACAGTTTCTATAGTTTCAAGGGAGGTTACTTTAAGAGTAAATCTTGGATAATCCAAGAGTTAATTTCAAATTTAGTGCCCTGGAGCAAGCATTTTATGAAGCCATCTCTTATCCTTTATGAATAGGAAAACAAGCAGAGGCTACTGAGAAATATTTATACCTGAAACAGAAAAAAGAACTATCTCCCTTCTGACTTGGCTAAAATTTCATTTTTCACTGGCCCTATGCTGGCCAAAAGTCACACAACACTTTATCTGAAGGAAGGAAGAGGATCTATCCAATATACATGTGATAGATAAATATAATACAGATGGTTAAAGGCACAGGTGCTGGTTTTAAATAGACCTGAGTTTTAATCCCAGCTTCTCCGCATATCAGCTGGTTATTTAACTTCAGTAGTCTCAGTTTTTTAAAAAAAGTCTGTAAAATGGGTATAACCGTACCTACTAAGAACTGATTTGGGGAGAAGAGATTAGGTTCAAAGTATTTTTCCTATTTGTAGATTTATGACAGAATGTTAAATTTCTGTAAAAATCATAAAATGCTGAAACTGAACAGAAACAGAATTCATTTGGTGAAATGTCATAATTTTACAGATGAGGAAAATAAGATCTGAAAAAGCCAGGAGAACAGAGCAGTTTGCAATTAAAGAACAGTGATTTCCTCCCACTTCGTGGAAAATTCATCTTAAAACCGGAATTATAAAGATTATAAATTTTTCACTATTTTTGGTTTTATTTTATGGAAAATATTTCAAGAGTAAATTTTTCTTAGAGATACCATGGAGAAACAATTGCTCTGAAAGATCTTTTTCTAATCCCAAGATTTTGTGTCAGACTCAATATGCCAGTTTAAAATTTTTTATACAAGTGTTAGCAATGTCGTAATTATTGCTCCAAGGCATAGTATACTATGTATTTACTTCATTCAACCAGCATGGCTACAATATCTTCAGTTGAACTTGTTTTTTCAGAATTAAAAAAATTTGGTAAGTGTATGTTCTGTTTCCTAGATGTTGCCTGAAGAAAAAGTTTGTAAGTACTGTGGAGTCAGCTATCTAATTCTTCATGAATTTAAGGCTATGGAAGAAAAAGTGAAAGCAATGGAAAAAGAGATGAAATTTTATCAAGGAAGTGTAGATCGTGAAAAGAGACTTCAAGAAAAGCTGCATTCTCTTAGCCAAGAACTTGAACAGTACAAAATTGACAACAAATCCAAAACAGAAAGGTTGAGTATGTTTTTCTTTTCTATCATTTATTTAGTTGAAAGACAGCTACAGGAAATAAATACACTTTGAATGTTTTTCTAAAATTTCTCTACATCAGGTATAGTTTATACTTTAATGCATTTGTTTCTTAATTATATTAATAATTACTAAATATAATTATTATAGTTTGCTTTCTTTTGAGGCATATATTTACTATCTGAAAAATTAGAAACCAATTAATTTAGTAACCACCAGCTGAGACATTCAAATTTTTTTCCCAGGTATATATATCTTACGTTTTATTATTAGGAAAATTTATCTATCAAAAATCAGATTAATTTTGGTAGTTTTTCATACATTTATTTTTAAATGGCTTTGGATTTTTAGATTTGTAGAATAAGGCTTTCATGTTTTGAAAAAGATGCCAAGACGTTCAAATTAGTGTGTGATTTTAAATTATTGGAATTGGAAATAAATTAAAGAATGGGTTTCTAATTTTGTAGAATCTAATCAGCAATCTAGCCTGCCTAAAGACACTTCAGTGAGCCTACACAGGAGAGTTTTTGCTGGTGTTTTATAGTTTTTCCTATGAATGAAAATTTCTTGATTTAAAGTATTGACAGTTGATGTTAAGAGACCTTGAGTTAATGAATTTAATGAATAAATTTAATGAATAACATGTCTGTGTAGTGGAAACTTGCTTAAGTCTCTTTGGATTAAATACTTTTATTAAATTTTGTTACAGAATTTTATATAAAAATATATAATTGTATTAAATGCCAGTTGAGCCAGATATTTCTTAGTTTTTTACCAAAAAAAAGTTGTTATAGTTTATTTAATTTCACATCTGAATAATAAAGTATTTTATGATATTTTCATGGAAAAGCTTAAAAATTTGAAGTATTATTTACAATTTTTAATTTGGAGGGGTTTTACCTGTCAGGGATTCTTTTGTTTGGTGTATTCACACCTTACTTTCTTTAATAAAATGTATTATACATGTAAGACATAAACACATGAAGTAAAAGAAGTATAGAGAATAAATAATAAGGCAAGAAAGTCTTTGTACCCTGCTGATTATACTATTACTGGTACCCAGCTGATTGTACTGATTGTATTCTTACTGGTACCCTGCTGATTGTACTGATTGTATTCTTACTGGAGGTAAAAATCACTTTTTTTTTTTTTTTTTTTTTTTTGTGACAGAGTCTTGCTCTGTCACCAAGGCTGGAGTGCAGTGTCGTGATCTCAGCTCACTGCAGCCTCTGCCTTCCAGGTTCAAGCAATTTTCCTGCGTCAGCCTCACAAGTAGCTGGGATTACAGCTACACACCACCATGCACGGCTAATTTTTTGATATTTTTAGTAGAGACAGGGTTTCACCATGTTGGCCAGGCTGGTCTCAAACTCCTAACCTCAGGTGATCTGCCCACCTGGGCCTCCCAAACTGTTGGCATTATAGGCGTGAGCCACTGTGCCCAGCCAAAAATCACTTTTAATGATTTGGTGTATGTCTTGGTAGATCCTTTATTGTACCTTTACCTTTATTACAAATGTATTTTCTTTTCTCTTTTCTTTCTTTCCTTTTTTTTTTTTGAGACAGGGTCTTTCTCTGTTGCCCAGGCTGGTGTGAAATGGCACTATACACGGCTCACTGTAGCCTTGACCTTCCGGACTCAAGCTATCCTGTCACCTTAGCCTCCCGAGTAGCTGGGACCACAGGTGCACACCACCATGCCTGGCTAATTTTTGTATTTTGTAGTTTTTTTTTTTCTAGAGATGCTGTTTTGCTATGTTGCCTATGTTGGTCTCGAACTCCTGGGCTCAAGTAATCTGCCTGCCTTGGCCTCCCAAAGTGCTGGGATTATAGGCATGAGCCACGTGCCCAGCCTTATTTTCTTAATATATGTAGTTTATATCTTTATCTTTTAATAGACTAGTTTTAACATTAGCAGTATAT
Source organism: Homo sapiens (assembly GCF_000001405.40). Classification (NCBI taxonomy): domain Eukaryota; kingdom Metazoa; phylum Chordata; class Mammalia; order Primates; family Hominidae; genus Homo; species Homo sapiens. Next base: position 156,854,922 of record NC_000003.12, read on the forward strand.
CAAACATATTGTTGTGCTGCTGACATTTGCCACTTAACTATATATATTGGAAATTGTTCCATGTTAATGTATGTAGATCTACCTTGTTCTTAACTACACCAACATTTTTGTTACCAAGAATATGCTATAATTTACTTAATCAATTTTCTTTTCAACATTTATATTATTTCCAATTTTTGTTATTACATGTAGTATTTGTATTTATGTTCTTGTGAACATATGTTGTTCCAAAGGATAAATTTCTAGAAGTGGAACTACTGAAAGAAAGCAAATGCCAGTTTAAAATTTTGATGGGTATTATACCAAGTAGTCCCTTGAGAAATTAGCATTAACTTACATTTGGCCAATAGTTGATGAAGTGACCACTTTCCTACATTTTGTTAATATTAGGTTTTTCTTAATTTTTTTCAATCTCTTGAGTGAAAAATGTTACCTCGTGGTTATTTAATTAGTATTTGTTTTTTGCCAATGAAGCTGAACATTTGTTTGTGTATTAGACATTTATATTGATTACCTATACACATATATTGACCATGTTATTGGGTTATTTGCTTATTTTTGTTTATTTGTAGGTGCTTTTAATATAATATTGGCATTATACTGTGTTTATATATGTTGTTAATATTTTCTCATGGTTGCTTGTCCTTTCACTTCATTGTATTTTTTTGCTGTATCTTTTAAAAATTTTAATAATATCCTGTGCCAGGTTCTGGTTGGTTAAGAGTTTTGTGTCAAGTTCTTTTAGTTGCAAACAATGGAAACTTATCTGACACGAACCTAAACACAAAAGAGAATTTATTGGAAGAGTATGAGGTGATAGCTCATTGAAAGAAAGGAAAAACTCAAGAACCCTGGCTTTGGAAATGGACTAGAAACAGAGCTTGTTCAGGGATCTGGGAAATCTGGGGTAAATTCACTCAACTTTTTTTTCCTTGCATCATTCCCTTCAAGATTCAAATCCCAGAAGAGTCTCACTGGCTTTACTTCTTTTATGTGACCACCCTCCAATTCCACCCCCTTAGCCTGATGAAGGGGGGAACCTTGATTGATAGGTCTATGAAGACTTCATACAATGAAAGCAAAGGTATTCACTAAAGAGAAGTTAGAGTACTGTTATCAGAAGAAGAGGGAATAGACTCACGCAAGTAGAAACAACAACATATGTTTAAAACTTATAGTATTAGAATTAGCTTTTTAATCTATTTAGTATTAATTTTGTATATAATTTGAGGTAGATTTCCAATTTCATGTTTGTTGTTTCTCAGATGTCTGGCTGTTGGCCCAATATCACTTATTAAATTCTTCATCCTCTCTCCCTTGACTTGAAATGCCACCTATTAATTTTTCTTCTAGCGTATTTCTGGACGGTCTGTTTTGTGTTATTGATTTATTGTCTATCATTGAGTCAGGGCCACACTTTTAACTACTTTAGCTTTATAATATGTTTTTGATATTTTGTAGGACAAGTGTTTGGTTTGCCTTTCAGGTTACCCTGGCTTTTTAGTATATTTTCTTTTCTGGACGAACTCTAGAATCAGCTTTTCCGATTCCATAAAACATGCTGTGTTATGATTTAGACTGGGATTGCATTTACTTTCTAGAGCAGTTATATTATCTCGATAATTGACATCTTTATAATCTTAAGGCTTCTTATCCAGGAACATGGATTCCCCATTTATTCAGATGTTCTTTAAATCCTTCAATACAATTTTATAATTTTTAAATACATCGTGTATTAGTTTAATCCTTGGACATATTTTTGTTGCTTTTGGGAAAGATGTCTTTTTATTACATTTTTTTGAATGCTATTTATTTCTGTAGCTAGCTTCCTCATTGAATTCTTTTATTAGTTGTTTGAATTTTTTAATTTTCTTGAATATTTGTTATATATGTTTATAACACACACATACCTGTAAAACAGTCACATCATATGCAAATAGTGCCTGTCATCTTTTTATTTCCAATAGTTATACCCTTTTCCTCCTTTTTCTTGTCTTATTAAATTAGATTGGACCTGTAGAACAGTGTTGAATAATAAACTTGTAGAATGCATCTTTATATTTATTTCTAATGTAATGCAATCCTGCCTAGTATGTTTCTGTTTTTAAAAGGACATCTGCTATAGGTTTCTTAAAGATACCTTTTATCAATTTAAGGAATTCTTCCTTTTATTTCTAGTTCTTTAAGTTTATTTAAAATCAGATGACTATTGAATTTTAATAAATGCTTTTCTATCTTCTATTGAGATGATCATATGATTTGTTTTCCTTTAATCTGTTAATATAGTAAATCATACTAATGGATTTTCTAATATGAAGCTAAACTTACATTTTTGATAGAAAGCCATTTTGATCATGTTACGTATTTCAGGGTTCCCAAAGTCTCATGTATTTGCTTGCCTTCTTCATGATTCTTGCCACTGCTATAAGTACTCTGCACTATTCTATTTTTCTGTGAATTATCCCTTAAATATATGTATTTCTATGCATATAGTAAGTGGAAAAACACTTATCACTTGCCATAAATAGAAGATTTAAAAAATAAGTATATAGCTACAGGTTGAGTAACTTTTATCTTTGGATAAAAGCATTGGATAAAAGTACTTTGGTCCAGAAGTGTTTTGGATTTTGAAATATTTTCAAAATACATACCAGTTGAGCATCTAATCTGAAAATCCAAAATGTGAAATGCACTAATGAATGTTTCCTTTGAAAATTATGTTGACACTCAAGAAGTTTTGGATTTTGGATAATTTCTTTATTAAAATCAAAGTGTTTTGTTTCTGTAACACTAACAAAATTGCCCATGCTAATGGTGATATGTGAAATAGTTTATGAAGAGCATTGTTCTTTTGAAATAATGCTGCTAATATTTTACATAGCTATTTGCGTCTGTGTTCACAGGTGAGGTTGGCCTATAGTTTTCTTGTGGCATACAGACTAGGTTATACTTATCTTTTCTAATAAGTTAAGAAGGCTTTTGGCTTTGGTGTGCACCAGACATCTTAAATAGCACATGAATTTTTTGTTCTTTGAAGATTTGGTAGATCTTCATTAAAAATGTATTTTGTAGGGGGAGGGTTGGTTGAATTTTGATGACCTATTATGTTTCCTCTGTAATTATTGGTTTACTTATGGATTTTTTACCTCTTTTTGAGTCAGTTTTGGAAGTGTTTTCTTGGAAAATCAAGCATTTCACTTGCATTTCAAATTTCTGGATGTTTAGTATTATAGAGTATCCTCTTATTTAGAAGCTTTCCTCTGTATCTGTTATGACTCCATTTCTCTTTCCTTGAGTAGTTTATTTGCGTTTGATTGAGAAAGAGACAAGAAAGAGAGTGAAGGACAGAGAGAGAGAGAGCTTTTTTTCCTAGGAAAATAAACAAATTTGTCTATTTTGGCCTTTTTAAAGAACCAGATTTTTGTTTAAATTAATCAAATATGTTCCTTTTTAAAATTTATATTTATCAGGCCAGGCGCGGTGGCTCACGCTTGTAATCCCAGCACTTTGGGAGGCCGAGACAGGCAGATCACCTGAGGTCAGGAGTTTGAGACCAGCCTGGCCAACATGGTGAAACCCCGTTCTCTACTAAAAATACAAAAATTAGCTGGGTGTGGTGGAAGACATCTGTAACCCCAGACACTTGGGAGGCTGAGGTGGGAGAATCGCTTGAACCTGGGAGGTGGAGGCTGCAGTGAGCCGAGAATCATGCCACTACATTCCAGCCTGGATGGCAGAGCGAGACCCTGTCTCAAAAAAAAAAAAAAAAAATCTGTTTTCTATCCTTTCTTTAATGTTTAGTTTTCTTTCTACTTACTTGAGTTGAAGTCTTTGGTTAATTTATTTTCAGTCTCTTTTTCTAATAAATAAATTTAAAGCTATTAAGTTTTCCTGTGGCAACAGTCTTTGGCAACAACAAACTTTTTGATAATAGTATTTTATTTTCATTTACTTCTAAATAAGATGAAGTTTAGTTTTTATTTGCTTTTTAATCCAAGAAATACTTGGAGGAATGTTTTTAAATTTCTAAATGGATAGGTTGTTTTTTGACTATCCTTTTATCTATGTCTATTTTTATTCCAGGTTGAAGAGAATATAACCTATTTGGGAGACCGTATTAAGAGTTTAATAAACAATAAGTTTTGGAAATATTCTGTAGTTACTCAAAAGTGTACATAGTCTCCTTTTAATGGATATAACTTTGTAATAGATCCATTAAATTACACTGGTTAATTGCAGTATTCAAATTACATATATTTGTACTTAGTTTTGTCAGTTTCACTTGAAAAATGATAAGGGAATATTGAAGTCCTTCAAAATGAATATGGATTTATCAGTTTCTGTCTATGTCAAAATTAAGTTCATGGGGGTATATAAAACCATCTTTTTAGATTTTATATGTTTTGCTGATATAGAATATCCTTCTTGACCTTAAATTTTTCTAACACTGGATTAAAAAAATTATAGTTTGTATCTTTACACTTCACAACGTTTTATACTGACTTTTTAACAAATTAATAAACTTTATTTTTTAGAGCAGTTTTAAGTTCACAGCAAAATTGAGTGGATCAGAAAGTTTTCATATAACACAGTCCCCACACTCACACAGCCTCCTCTTCACACCACAATGATACATTTGTTATAGTTGATAAAGCTACATTGACACATCATCATCATCCCAAATATATAGTTTACATTACGTTTTACTCTTGGTATTATACATTCTAAGGGGTTTGACAAATGTATAAAGACATTATCCACCATTGCAGAATACAGAATAGTTTCATTAATACAGAATAGTTTCATTCATACAGAACAGTTTCACTACCCTAAAAATACTCTGTGTTCTACTTATGCATCCTCCTTCCCCGTTAACACTTAGCAACCACTGATCTATACTGTTGGTGTTTGGCTGGAGTACGGCAAGTACTGCCAAGAATACTTTCTGTCATTCAGTCACCCTTCCCCTACTCAGCTAGGTGGATTAAATTTTTCTTGGAGCTCTTTTTTGTCTATGGCTGTTGGTGGTTCTGGGTTGGAGACTTCGACAGCACCTTGTCTGGGATATATGAGAGTCAATAAGAAAACTCATGGATTTTATTGCCTTGGTATTTATCAAGTCCGAAGGTCCCTAGGCCATCTGCCTTCTTTCCACTTTTCAGAGTCTTTCTATGCTGCTTATGTTATGTTCGGGGTGTTTCAGTTGTAAGGAGGATCTGGGAACAATGGGACTACTCCATCTTGGTGGAAATCTTGGGTTGGTTTTTTAGTCAAATTAAATATTATTTTGAGTAACTTAGAATATTTCTAAAGAAGGTAATTGGTTAAATTCTCACAAATATCAGTAGATTACAGAAGTCAGTAGTTACACAATAAAATGCATCTCTAAGTGGCTGTTAAACATTTCCTCTTCAGTTTCTCCTCCGCTTATGCCAAATTGAGACTGTCATGTGGAGAGTTAATCCACAGTAATGTAGGCTTGTTTATGAGGGACAGCACTTAAGAGTTCGGTTGGCAATTATCTCATGTTAGGTGAGCCAGATAAGTCAGTTTAGAGCAGTCAGCCCAAGGATAGGGCTACCTAAGGTAGGTACCAAAGGTCCAGAGATCCAGACTGAGTCTACAGTTTGAGACCAAATTAATGCAGAGAGTGTGTCTGAATTTACAAATGGAGAGAATTGGAGGAAATAAGTGTACCTGGCTGGAGTAGAGGGTGATGGGGCAAACAAGGCAGCTTTTGTTAGTCATTTTCCTTCCTTGCTAAACCTACCTACCTCCAACCTAGACTGGCTGGATCAGTTAGGAATACAATCTATAGTAAGTGGCTTAAATGGACAAAGGTTTATTTCTTGAAGGAAGAAGAAAGGGTATGGGCAGCTTAGTGATGTCACCAGGAACTCAATCCCTTTCTATCTCTCATTCTGTCTTGCTCAGTAAGTAGGCTTTTAGCCTTATACTGGTCTTATGATTTCATCATGGCTTCTGTATCACCAGATATCATGTTTAATTTCTAGGCAGGAATATGAAGGGGGAAGCAGTCAGGGGAAATGCTTATATTAGGAGATCAAAAACTTTTTCAGAAAGTTTCACCTTATGTGCTATTGGTCATGACTGCAGAGGAGTCTGAGGCATTGGCTGCAGGGTGTTGGCTTGTTGCTTCCTGAAACAATATCAGGTACTGTTGTAAGGAAGAAAAGGAAACAGACACTATCAGGGCCTGCCTCACTGGGCCATTAGATTTTTCTCCAGAGTATAATGTGTATGCTTAATTTCATTCACTGAGAGGAAGAAAAATAGTATCTTGAGAAAATAAATACATCAACAACTCCCTTTATAAAAGGTCTTATCTTTTATACATGTCTCATCCAGGCTTCTGCTTTTTGTACTTTTGCAGCACTTTTTGGTGTTTATGGAAGTAGTGTAAAGGGCATTTATGCTAAAAATGATTGGGACAACTTAATTTTGAATAATCAAGATTTGATAGAACAAAGAACTGATGCAGAACTGTAGTTCTTATGGGATGGGGCCTACTTCCTAGGGAACTATTTTCAATCTCTGGGGCCTTTTCAATCCCTCACATCTCTCTTGAGATTCTGATTTGCCCATTTTGGGGTGTGGTAAGAATTCCTACAGTAAAATGAGGACTGTTACTGATGGAAGTCTGCTTGGGCATAGGAACATGGGAAAGGCAGGGAAAAAACGTTGAGTACCATTGTGGAAAAACATTCATTTTCAGGCCATTGAAAAATGGCTCCAGTAGACACAGGGCCATTAAAAAATAATTTTAAATCTAGAAGTTCATATCACTTTTTTTGTCTAGATGTGTAAGTATGAATTTATTACATTGATGTTTGTGCTATGCATTACTTGAACTTTGAGGAACCTAAACAAGCTTATTTATAACATGTAGATCTAAGATCAGCTAATCTTTTTATTATCTTTTCATTTTTCTCCCACACCAACACTAGATTGTGCTCCAGACCAAAGTCCTTAGGTATAGAACATACTATTTTCTTTTATTTCTTCTCTCCATGAACATGTGCAAACAGTAAATAGAAGTTGACAGGGGTTTTTACTATCAGTATAAATAATGTTTACCTGGGTTTCCTTGTTACTAAAACTGGCAAGGTTAAAGAGATTGATACTTATTTAACAATATTGATAGACCTATGTATATGTGTATATCTTTTATTACCAGCATAACTTTGAAAGCCCTTCGTGTATAATTATGATGTTGCTGTAGCAACATGGTTACCAAAATAAGGTACATTTTTTTTCTGCTTTGTCTTTTTAAGGCATTCTTTTTCTCCCAAAGCTTTTTAATCAGCAGTTTCAGGCCCAGCCACTTATTATTTTTTCTATTCACCTTTCCACTTTGAATTTCCCTTGCTTAAAATTAGTTACTTATTATTATAACAAATAAAATAATTTTTATTGGCATAAACATAGTGGGAATTATAAGAATGAATTCGAAGGGAGGCAGTGTATGATGTGGTATAGAGTACAGGCTCTGCTAATACCTAATCCTATGACTTTGCCCCTTAATCTTTCTGTGCTTTGGTTTCATCATCTGTAAAATGGACGGAGAAAGAGCTGCTTCACAGGGATGATACACACATTACTCATTGCTTGGTAGGAATTCAGTTACCTTTCACTTCCCTCACCTTCCTTTTTCCTTTTTCTATGTTTGTTAACTAAGGTTAGTAGCATACTGTTTCTCCCTATAAACATTGTCACTTTCATACCTAACTTGGATATCTAAATATTGACTAATTTCACAAAGGAAGTTCTTGAGTCTAGGAAATATCCTAATCTCAGCTCTCCCACAATTAATTCCAATTTAATTGGTGTTTTAACCAAAGTCTAGCCCAGCTTTGGTTAAGTTCGCAGCCGGTGGAGTTCCACTCAGTGGAGTAGAGATTTTATGGAAAGCATAACTGTAGAACTTAATTATTACTTTTATTTATTATATCCCCTTTCTTTGCAGAAAGGATATGCAGTGATTTAAAAGGGCATAATAAAATTATCAACATAGGAGGGAAAAGGGAGGGAGACGTTGGACAAAAAACAAGAATTTGAATATGTCGACCTCAAGGGTCAAAAGTTAAGTTTGGCTTTCCAGCAAATCCTTTTACCTGAGCTCCAGGGATTTTCATACTCATAGCCTTTTTGTAGGAGTAGGAATAAGGCAGGGGTTGGGGAGGTGGGTTTTTTGTTTGCTTATTTAAGCAAGGCTGACTTTAACATTGGAAGAAATCCCCAGGAAGTCTAAGCGAGATAATTCAGTAGAGTAATTAGGCTCTGGTGAGAACTTCTACTATCTGTGTATCTGAAGCCAGTCCTAATAGGCAATAGGTGGCCACCCCGTCTAATGCTGGACTCCATGCTGCTCTTCATCAAGGAGGCAGCAAAATTATTTTAAAGAATGCACCTCTGGCTTGTCTTTCAGTTAGCTTTTCTCTTGACCCTCATCCCTCCACCCATCTCCTTACTGCCTCACTTACCATAACGCCTGAACAAACAAGTCAGATCATGTTATTTTAGCTTAAGAACAGGTTAATTTTTATTTGTTGCAGGTTTGAATTAATGCACCTTCACAAAAGTGGACAATTTGAATTTTTCTCAGATTCTTTACATATTATTTACATATTTATAACTGGGAACAGCTTTCAAATTGGAGAAAAATGAATTAACTCATTGACTAAAGTATGATCCACAACTCTTATATCCATTTTACAGATGGCTAAGCAAACACAAAGAGATTAAATAATGATGCTCACACAGCTGATCAAATTCTTTATCTTTCTCTTTTATATGATATCACTATTCAGGTTAGTTGAAGAAACCAAACAAATACAGCTATGGTAAGTTATGGTAGAGTGAAGAGACTGTCATTGGAGGCACCTATTTTAAAAGGACAAGGCACACCAAATCTTGAGCCTTGTCTTCTTGGACTGAAGAAACCCAGTTGTACAAAAAGCCATCCAGTGTTAGCAACTCAACCAGGGTTGGTTGAGTTGACAGAACTGTTAGGGAAGCTATCCCTAGAAACATTGTGAAGAACTCAGCAAGAAATCTTCATGTGTTATTTGCCACATTTTAAACTAAAGTGAAGATGTAGTGAGATGGAAAATTATTTTAATCAACTAAAGTGGCTCCACATTTGAAGTCACTAATTTAGACATCCCATTCTTTGTGTACTTCTCATTGTCCAACTTGATCAGTTTCATTGCGTCCTGAAGTCTGCTGATGCCTCTACCTTCTCTCTTTCTTTTTCTGTTGTCACTTTCTTTCTTATCCAGCTTAGATGCCATGTTTGTTATGTCAGTCATCCTTTGACAGTATCTTCAAGTCCCATTTACATTATCCTTCCATCGTATCAGCTGGAAAAACTCCTAATGTGGATGACTCCAGTTAACCACACTCTTCATACAAGTACCCTGGCTGCCAGGAATCTGGCAGTGCCTATTATTTCCTCGTTTTATGGTATTTTCATCTTTTCTTTCTCTACAAACTCCTTCTTTTCCAACAGTATTTCCTCAGGACTCCAAATAAACAAATGAAATCTTCACTTAAACTGAGGCATCTTCCAGATACTTTCTTAGCTCCCCCTTTTCTTGCCATTCTTACTGAATAAATTACCTGGACTTACTGCTTTCATTTTCTCACATGCATATATCCCTCAGTTCACTGTAATTTGGTTTCATTCATCAACATTTCAAAAAAAGTTCTAATTCAGATCATCATTTATTTCCATGTTACTAAATCCAAAAAGTATGCTAGTTATTTGTCTTTCTTGACTTCTTAATAGCATTTGACACAGTATTTTACCCCTTTTATCTAAAACACTCTTATTTCATATCATATTCTCATTTTTTATGTGGCCTTTCATGATACCTATTGCTTTTTATTGTCCTTTTTTGGCCTCTCCACTTCCTCCTGCTATGTAAATACTGGAGACTTCCAGGGACCTGTCCACAGCTCTCTTCCATTTTTATTCTACATTCTCTCTTCAGTTTCCAGTTGCTTTTATTCAGCCCTGAAGCTTTAGTTACCCTCTCTTGAGGTAGGCTTCTGAATCACCACTTGCACTTCTAACATTTCTTGTGAGCCCCAGACTAATCTCTTCAGCTCTCTTTTTAACATCTTCACCTGGCTGTATCACAAGCTTTAATGTGTCCCCAAGTGAACTGTTTATCCTCTTTCTACTTGTGTTCTACCTGCTACTCTTGTGTTCCTAACTTTAGCATATGTTACCCCCATCATCACTCTGCAGCATTAAGGTAGTGTTGAGGCTGGGTTTTGAATCAGATTGCCTGGATTTGAATCCTGGCTGCACCAGTTATTAGTAGCTTGGACTTGGGCAAATTACTTAAATGCCCTTTGCCTCAGTTTTCTAGTCTGTAAAACGGGAATACTAATACTACCTTTGTCATGGAGTTACTCTGAGTATTAAATGGGGGTGTGTGAGATTTGTATCTTATATAGATTTAATAAAACATATGAATGGCTTATATAATGTAATTATGATTATCATCCATCCTGAGCATTATCTTTGATTCTTCCCATATCACCTTCCTCTTAAATATTTCTTGAATCTGTCCATATGTTTATCAATTCATTCAACCACGATGCTAGTCCATTCTTTGTTTGCACATCTACAGTCATCCCTCTATCATCTCCCTCTATCATTGCCCATTTTCAATTCATTCTTTATTCTGCAACCTGGTGGTTGTGTCAGAATGCATATTTGATCATTGTATCTGTCATAGGTTCATGTTTTCTTTAGAATAAGGCTCAAAATCTTCTCTATGGTCTGAGAGTCTGGGTGACCTCTCACCCTTGGTTATCCCTCGAGCCTCACTCTCTTTCAGTCACCTTACACGTTTTTTCCTGTTTTCTAAGAGATTATCTACTTCTTTTTGCTACCTCTTTCTGCTAAGAGATTATATACCTCTTTTTTCAGGGTTTAGCTGAGATGCCAGATCATCAGGAAGACATTTGCTGACCTCTAATGGGGTTCCCATGAACATCCTTTGTTTTCCCTTTTATAATGCTCCTTAAATACAATTATTTGTTTAATGTTTGCATTCCTGGCTAAGTTCCATGAAAACCAGTCTGATTCTTTGCTTTATCTATTTCTATCACCTAACAGTGTCTGGCACATAGTAATGCTCTCAAAATATTTGTTGAATTAATTCATTTATGAGCAGATATGAAAAACGTATGCTTGCTATGTTTGAGGAATTCTCCTTTGTCTGATATTTGTAGGCAGAAGAGCTTAACTTTCTCTCTAGATGCTGGAAAGGCCAGACACTTACTTTCTAAACCTACCTTGAAATTAAGGATGACTTTCTGTGAAGGTTCTGTTCAATGAGATGTGAGTGAAAATCTGCTGGGGGGTTCTGGGAAATTTTGCACCACCTCTTTCCTTTGTTTCTTCCTTTTTCCTCTTCCTCCCCAAAATGCAGAGGACAGGCTGGAGGCAGATTGGTCTTCTTGCAATGGTGAGATTACTGTGAGGATGAGCATGACATTTTAAGAAAGACAGAAGAATTCTTAGTCGTTGATGATATCTTGGTGTCCTTGTCCCCACCCTGAAATGCCTCTCTCCAGACCTCTTACTATGTGAAAATAATTAACCACTATATCGTTAATATACTATAGTCTGGTTTCTGTTATATGTAGCCAAATGCAATCCCTGATAGGTGCATGTAGTGCTTACATAACTTATTTGGTACCTATTGATATGATGTTTTATGATTGTAAATCAGTGGGCAGATGGCTGGATGGCTGGCTGGCTGGATGGATGGGTAGGTGGATGGGTGGATGGATAGATGGGTGAGTAGGTAGATGGATGGATGGACAGCAACCAGTAGATTATAAACTACTGGAAAAGAGAGACCGTATTTTATATTTTTTGTATTCCCCTTCCCCACACCCAACTCTATGCACCCTGCATACTGTCCTTCATATAGTAAATGCCCAACAAGTGTTTCTTGATGATGATGTTGATTGAGGTTTGAAAAGGATATTTCCTTAAGAAGGGCTCTGAGTTACAGGTTTCATTTGGATTCTAAAAATGAAATCTCCTAAGAGAGAAGCCTCTGGACTTAATTTAAAGAGATACATAAACATTTGGGTCAATATTTGCTGTATCTCTGGTAATTTAGAAAATGAAATACTTTATAAAAGTCAGAATAAAGGATGTATCTTGGCAAATGGCCTTGCCAATGATGTTCAAAACAAAAGAACCATTATTAAATGAAAGGATGTCAAGTAGTATAATTCTCTGCTGAGATAGCTTATTATAAGTAAGACGACTATAAAATTTGTAGTCCAAATTGGAAACTTTTTGAGTAAAAGGAGGTGCTATCAGTAATTATTCTTGAACAATAAACTCAATCTGGAACTGTCCTAGGACTTATGATTAATTTTAAGAAAATAACTCATTTCTATATGTCAAAAAAGTCTACAATTTTGATATAGATTTGAGTCATTAGGTTGGTGCAAAAGTAACTGAGGTTTTTGCCAATAGTATGAAACTCTCTGAGGCCATTCCCTTTTCAGTATTTTGTACATGTTTTTCCCCCTGGCCAAAATAAACTACCCATTTGATTTTTCTCTTTGTGGTTAAATTATTTTTATACTTCAAGATTCTTCTTTTTTATATTGTTACCTCCGGTTACTCCAGTCCACAATAATCTCTTTTTGATATTGGATAGCACTTATATTTTTAAACATGCAGCAAATAGGTATATACTGTCTTATTTTGTATTTTGTGTGTGTGTTTGTGTTCTTAAGTCTCAGCTTTTAAATATGTCACTATCTTTCAGAATAGAAACTATATCTTTATCTGCCCTTGTATTACCCACAGGATCTTGCATAATGGTAGGTGCATCGTAGGTGTTAAATAATATGCTGAGTTATTGAGATATGTGAGATAAGTCATGAAGCCAAGATTTTTATACTATATTTCATTTTTATTTTACCACTGTACATAACATAGGAATATTTATATACCTACTGGAAGGTACTGAGCTTATGTGTTGTTGTATATTGTAAATGATTTCCATGTCAAGAAAGGAGAAATGGCAACAGTGTAACTCTTGCTGATACCTCTGTTTTCCATTAACAATAATGCATGTATGCCTATAGATGACTGTCTGCCATGAATTGCATCATTTATACTGGCTTTTAATATGCCTCCCGGCATTTCAGGTTCTGTTCTCAGCAGGCAACCTTACTCACACTGAATTCTCTAATATTTCTACTCAGATAAATGCTTAGAGAACTGTGAAAGGCATTTCTTCCTTTGCATCTATGTGGTTTCACGTAGTTGGAAAGCGGTTTCTTCAAATATAATTTAAAATATGAATCATAATAATTTCCTAGAATGTATATTCCATTTTTCTATTAACGGATGTGAATTTTTCTGTATTGAGTTTTGTCACCTATATATGATTACTCCCGGGCTTTGTCACTGTCTGCCCTCAGAAGATGAGGAATGTATCTTACCTACTGCCAGAGAACAGGCACCCTGTGGAATGCCTGTGCCTGAGCTCACAAAGAGAAGCAAAGAAACAGGTAGAGGAAAAATGAAAAATTACTAATACTTTCCTTACACAAATTGGGGGTAGAGTGTGACAAGGAAGCAGGGAAGAAGGGAGAAGAGATGCATAGAATGTGTAATGATCAAGTCACGGTATTTGTGGTATCCATCACCTTGAGTTTTTATAATTTCTATAAATTTATAATTTCTAAGTTGGGAATATTTCAAATTATCTCTTCTAGCTACTTTAAATATATAATACATTGTTATTAACTAGAGTCACCTAACTCTGCTATCAAACATTGAAACTTATACCTTCTATCTAATGTATGTTTGTACCCATTTACCAGCCTCTTTTCATTCCCCCTCCCACCATACAGCATTCTCAGCCTCTGGTATCTATCAGTTTTCTCTCTACTTCCATGAGATCGACTTTTTTTGCTACCTTCTGCATATAAGTAAGAACATGCAGCATTTAACTTTCTGTTCCTGGTTTATTTCACTTAACATAATGACCTCCAGTTCCATCCATGTTGCTGCAAATGGCATGATTTCATTCTTTTTTATGTCTGAATAGTATTTCATTGTGTATGTATATCACACATTTTCTTTATCCATTCTTCCATTGATGGACAGTTAGGTTGATTCCATATCTTTGCTATTATGAGTAATTCTCCAATAAACATTCAAGTACAAGTATCCCTTTGATATACTGATTTCTTTTCCTTTGGATAAATGTCCTGTAGTGGGATTGCTAGATTGTATGGCAGTACTGTTTTTAGTGTTTTGAGAAATCTCCATACTGTTTTCTATAGTGGCTGTACTAATTTACATTCCTATCAACAATGTATAAGGGCTCCCTTTTCTCTGCATCCTCACCAGCATCTGTTATTATTTTCTCTTTTTAATAAAGTAGCTGTTCTAACTGGGGTAAGATGATATCTCGTGGTTTTGGTTGGTATTTCCCTGGTGATTAGTAGTGATGAACATTTTTTCTTATACCTGTTATCTATTTGTATGTCTTCCTTAGAAAAATGCCTTTGCATGTCCTTTGCCCACTTTTTAATTGAATTATTTGGTTTTTTACTGCTAAGGGTTTTTTTTTCTAATTTCTTGTATATTGTGGATATTACTCCCTTGTCAGACAAATGGATTGCAGGTATTTTCTCCCATTCAGCAAATTGTCTCTTCATTCTGTTGATTGTTTCCTTTGCTGTGCAGAGGCTTGTTAGTTTAATATAGTCCCATTTGTCTATTTCTGTTTTTGTTTTCTGTGCTTTTGAGGTCTTAGCTATAAAGTCTCTGCCTAGATCAATGTCCTGAATTATTTTACCTATGTTTTCTCATGGTAGTTTTATAGTTTGGGGTCTTACACTTAAGTCTTTAGTCCATCCTGAGTTGATTTCTGTATATGGTGAGAGAGGGGTCCAATTTCATTCTCCTGGATGTGGATACCCAATTTTCCCGGTACCATTTATTGAAGAGGGTGTCCTTTTCCCAGTGTGTGTTCTTGGTGCCTTTGTTGAAAATCCTCTGGCTGGAAATATGTCAGTTTATTTCTGGATTTTCTATGCTGTTCTCTTGGTCTATGTGTCTGTTTTTATGCCAATTGCATGTTGTTTTAATTACTGTAGCCTTGTAATATATTTTGAAGTCAGATGGTGTGGTGCTTCCAGCTTTGTTCTTTTTGCTCAGGATTGCTTTGGCTTTTTGAACTCCCTTGGTTCCACGCAAATTTTAAGATTTTTTTCTATCTCTGTGAAAAATGACATTGATATTTGAAAGGGACTGCATTGAATCTGTAGATTGCTTTGGTCATTGCTATGGTCATTTTAATGATACTAATTTTTCTTATTCATGAGCATACAATGTCTTTTCATTTCTTTTTGTCGTCTTTATTTCATCAGTGTTTTGTTCACCTTGTAAAGGTTTTTCACCTCCTTGGTTAAATTTATTTTTAGGTATTTTTTGGAGCTATTGTAAACAGAATTGGCTTCTTGATTTCTTTTTCAGCTAATCCATTATTGGTATATAGAAACATTACTGATTTTTGTATGTTAATTTATGTCCTGCAATTTAACTATTTTTATCAGATCTAAGAGTTTTTTTCATAGAGTCTTTAGGTTTTTCTAGATATTTATATCATCAGCAAAGAGGACAATTTGACTCTTTTCCCAATTTGAATGCCTTTTATTCCTTTCTCTTGCCTGATGCTCTGGCTAGGATATACAGTACTGAGTGGAATAGGAGTAGTGAAAGTGTGTATCCTTGTCTTATTCCACTTCTTAGGGGAAAGGCTTTCAGCTCTTCCCCATTCAGAATGATGTTAGCTGTGAGTTTGTCATATATGGCCTTTATGTTGAGATATGTTCCTTCTATGCCTAGTTGGTTGAGTTTTTATCATGAAGGGACATTGAACTTTATCAAATACTTTTTCTGCATTAATTGAGATAATCATATGTTTTATGTCCTTCATTCTTTTTTTTATTATTATTATTATACTTTAAGTTTTAGGGTACATGTGCACAATGTGCAGGTTAGTTACATATGTATACATGTGCCATGCTGGTGTGCTGCACCCACTAACACGTCATCTGGCATTAGGTATATATCCCAATGCTATCTCTCCCCCCTCCCCCCAACCCACAACAGTCCCCAGAGTGTGATGTTCCCCTTCTTGTGTCCATGTGTTCTCATTGTTCAATTCCCATCTATGAGTGAGAATATGCGGTGTTTGGTTTTTTGTTCTTGCGATAGTTTACTGAGAATGATGATTTCCAATTTCATCCATGTCCCTACAAAGGACATGAACTCATCATTTTTTATGGCTGCATAGTATTCCATAGTGTATATGTGCCACATTTTCTTAATCCAGTCTATCATTGTTGGACATTTGGCTTTGTTCCAAGTCTTTGCTATTCTGAATAATGCCGCAATAAACATACGCGTGCATGTGTCTTTATAGCAGCATGATTTATAGTCCTTTGGGTATATACCCAGTAATGGGATGGCTGGGTCAAATGGTATTTCTAGTTCTAGATCCCTGAGGAGTCGCCACACTGACTTCCACAGTGGTTGAACTAGTTTACAGTCCCACCAACAGTGTAAAAGTGTTCCTATTTCTCCACATCCTCTCCAGCACCTGTTGTTTCCTGACTTTTTAATGATTGCCATTCTAACTGGTGTGAGATGGTATCTCATTGTCGTTTTGATTTGCATTTCTCTGATGGCCAGTCCTTCATTCTTTTGATGTGATATATCACATTTATTGATTTGTGTATGTTGAACCATCCTTGCATCCCTGGGATAAATTCCATTTGATTATGATGTATTTTTTTGATGTGTGGTTGGATTTGGTTTGCTACTATTTTGTTGAGAATTTTTGCATTTATGTTCATCAGGGATATTGGCTTATAATTTTATTTTTAGTTGTGTCCTTGTCTGGCTGTTTTTTTTATCAGGGTAATGTTGGTCTCATAGAATGAGGCAGGGAGAATTCCCTCCTCTTCAGTTTTTGAGAATATAGTTTGAGAGTATTGGTATTAGTTCTTCTTTGAAAGTTAGGAATAGTTCAGCAGTGAAACTGTCTGGTCCTGGACTTGTCTTTGTTGGCAGACTTTTTTTTTTTTACAGATTTAGTCTCATTGCTTATTATTGGTCTGTTCAGATTTTCCATTTCTTCCTAATTCAATTTTGGGAGGTTGTATGTGTTCTGAAATTTTTTCATTCCCTCTAGGTGTTCTAGTTTGTTGGTGTTTATAGTTGTTTATATTAGTCTTTTGTGTTTCTGTGGTATCAGTTGTAACATCTTCTTTTTCATACCTGATTTTATTTATCTGAGTTTTCTCATACTCTGTTTTGGATTAGTCTAGCAAGTGGTTTGTCAATTTTGTTTATCTTGTCAAAATAAACTTTTCATTTCATTGATCCTTTTTATTTTATTTTATTTTTGTAGTCTCTATTTTGTTGAGTTCTGCTCCAATCTTTACTATTTCATTCCTTCTACTTATTTGGGATTTGGTTTGCTCTTGCTTTTCTAGTTCTTTCAGATGTATAGCTAGATTATCGATTTGAAATCTGTCTATTGTTTGATATAGGTGTTTATTGCTAAAAGCTTCCCTCTTAGCACTGCTTTTGCTAAATTCCATAGGTTTTTGGAATGTTGTATTTCAAATTTTGTTTGTTTCAAAGAAGTTTTTTATTTCCTCCTTAATTTTTTCTTTAACCCAAAGTTGTTCAGGAGCATGTTGTTTAATTTCCATGTATTTGTATAGTTTCCAAAGTTCCCCTTGTTGTTGATTTTTAGTTTTATTACATTGTGGTTTGAGATGATACTTGATATAATTTTGATTTTTAAAAATTTATTGAGAATTATTTTGTGTCTTAACATATAGTCTATCCTGGAGAATATTCTATGTGCTGGTGAGAAGAATGTGTATTCTATAGCTGTTAGAGGAAATGTTCTGTATATATCTGTTAGGTCCCTTTAGTTTAATGTACAGCTTAAATATAATGGTTTTTTGTTAATTTTCTGTTTCATGCTGAAAGTAGGGTGTTGAAGTCCTCAGTAATTAACATATTGGAGTCTGTCTCACCTTTTCAATCTAAAATTTGCTTTATATACCTGGGTGCTCTGGTGTTGGTTTAGAATTGTTATATGCTGTTGATGAATTGATCCCTTTATCATTATATAATGACCTTTTTTGTGTCTTTTTACTGTTTTTGACTTAAAGTCTGTTTTATCTGATATAAGTATAGCTACTCCTGTTCACTTTTGGTTTCCCTTTGCATGGAATATCTTTTTGCATCTCTTTCTTTTCATTCTATATGTCTTTACAGGTGAGATGATTTTCTGGTAAGCAGCATATAATTGTGTCATGTTTTTTTAATCCATTCAGCCAGTCCATATTTTTTAAAGGGAACATTTACTCTGTTTATATTCAAAGTTATTATTGATATGCAAAGGCATATTCTTGTCATTGATTTCTGGTTGGTTTGTATATCCTTTGTTCCCCTCTTTCTCCCTTCTTGTTTATCACTGCGGTTTGGTGATATTCTGTAATAATCTTTGAGTTTGTATCTCTTCTTCATTTGTGTGTTTGCTCTACCAGTGGTTTTTATATTTTGTGTGTGTTTTCATGGTGGTATTTATTGTCCTTTTAATTCTGGGTGTAGGACTTCCTTAAGCATTTCTTGTAGAACCAATCTAGTGGTGATGAATTCCCTCAGCTTTTGCATGTCTGGAAAAGACTTTATTTCTCCTACATTTATGAAAGATAACATTACTAGATACAGTATCCTTACTATATTAGTTAGGAGATTTTTTCTTTCAGTACTTTTAGAATATCATCCCATTCTTTCCTGGCCCATAAAGTTTCTGCTGAGAAATCTGCTATTAGTTTGATGGGGATTCCTTTAAGTGATTAGACACTTTTCTGTTGCTATTTTTAGAATATTCTCTTAGTCTTTGACTTTGACAGTTTAACTATAATGTGCTATGGTGAAGACCTTTTTGAATTTATCTATTTGGAGATCTTTGAGCCTCCTGTATCTGGAAGTCTAAATCTCTTGCTAGACTTGGGAAGTGTTCATCTGTTATTTTGTTAAATAGGTTTTCTAATCCATTCATTTTCTGTTGCCTTCTCGTCTACTTGATCTACTCTATTATTTAAGCTTTCAAATATATTTTGCATTTCATTCAATGAATTCTTCAGTTCCAGAATTTCTGTTTTGTTCTTTTTTACAATATCTTTCTCTTTGGTAAAATTGTAATTTGTATCTCAAATTGTTTTTCTGATTTCTTGGTATTGTCTTTCAGTATTCTCTTTTTTTAAAAAAAGGATATCTATTTTCATTAGAATTATATTATTGCTAAATGATTGTACATTTGTTTCATATGCTTATCAGTCATTTGCAGTTTGCTTTTTCATATACTACCTCTGACCATTTTTATTTGGGGGAGGCTTTTTAATAAACTAGTAGTTCTCCTTATAAAATAAAGCTATAATTTTTAACATGTGTTGCAGACATTTTCCCTTGGCTTGTTATATGTGATTTTTTTAAAAAACTTTTTTTTTTCCAATAGTTTTTGGAGCACAAGTGGTTTTTTGTCACATGGAGAAGTTCTTTAGCGGTAATTTCTGAGATTTTAGTGTGTTCATCACCTGAGCAGTATACACTGTACCCAGTGTGTAGTCTTTATCCCTCAAGTCCCTCCTGCTCTTCCCCCCAAGTTCCCTAAGTTCATTATATTATTCTTATGACTTTGTATCATCATAGCTTAACTCCCACTTGTAAGTGAGAACATACAATATTTGGTTTTCCATTTCTGAATTACTTCATTTAGAATAATGGTCTCCAACCACATCCAGGATGCTGCAAATGCCATTATTTTATTCCTTTTTATGGCTGAGTCATATTCCCTGATGTATCTATACTGCATTTCATTTATCCACTTGTTGGTTGATGGGTATTTAGACTGGTTCCATATTTTTGCAATTGTGAATTGTGCTGTGATAAACATGCATGCACAAATGTCTTTTTCATTTAATGACTTCTTTTCCTCTGGGAAGTCAGTAGTGGGATTGCTAGATCAAATGATAGTTCTATTTTTAGTTTTTTAAGGAATCTCCACACTGTTTTCCATAGTGGTTATACTAGTTTACATTCTCACCATCAGTGTAAAAGTGATCCTTTTCACTACATCCACACCAACATCTATTATTTTTTGATTTTTTAATTACGGCCATTCTATCAGGAATAATATGGTATCACATTGTGATTTTGTGTTTCCCTGATAATTGGTGATGTTGAGCATTTTTTTATGTTTATTGGCTATTTGTATATCTTATTTTGAGAATGGTCTATTCATGTCCTTAGCCCACTTTTTGATGGGGTTATTTGTTTTCTTGATGCTGATTTGTTTGAATTTCTTGCAGATTCTGGATATTAGTCCTTTGTTGGATGCATAGTTTATGAATATTTTCTCCCATTCTGTGGGCGGTCTGTTTACTCTGCTGATTATTTCTTTTGCTGTGCAAAAGCTTTTTAGTTTAATTAAGTCCCATCTATTTATCTTTGTTTTTGGTTGCATTTGCTTTTGGGTTCTTGGTCATGAACTTAATGACTACACCAACATCTAGAAGAGTTCCAATGTTATCTTCTGGAATTTTTATTCTTTCAGGTCTTAGATTGAAGTATTTGATCCATATTGAGTTGATTTTTGTAAAGGTAAGAAATGAGCCGGGCGTGGTGGCTCACGCCTGTAATCCCAGCACTTTGGGAGGCTGAGGTAGGCAGATCATGAGGTCAGGAGATTGAGACCATCCTCGCTAACATGGTGAAACCCCGTCTCTACTAAAAATACAAAAAATTAGCTGGGTAAGGTGGCGGGTGCCTGTAGTCCCAGCTACTCGGGAGGCTGAGGCAGGAGAATGGCATGAACCCGGGGGGCAGAGCCTGCAGTGAGCCAAGATCGCACCAAGGCACTCCAGCCTGGGCAACAGCGAGACTCCATCTCAAAAAAAAAAAAAAAAAAAAAAAAGAAATGAGGATCCAGTTTTATTCTTCTACATGTGGCTTGCCAATTATCGTGGCACCATTTGTGGAATAGGGTGTCCTTTCCCTACTTTGGTTTTGTTTTTTATTGTTGAAAATCAGGTGGCTGTAAGTATTTGGCTTTATTTCTGGGTTCTCTCTTCTGTTCCATTGGTCTACATGCCTGTTTTTATACCAGTACCATGCTGTTTTGGTAACCATAGCCTTGTAGTATAGTTTGAAGTTGGGTAATGTGATGTCTTCACATTTTTTCTTTTTGCCTAGACTGGCTTTAGCTGTGCAGGTCTTTTTTTGGTTCCATAAGAATTTTAAGATTGTTTTTTCTAGTTCTGTGAAGGATGATGATGGTACTTTGATAGAAATTGCTTTGAATCTATGGATTGCTTTTGGCAGTATGGTCATTTTCACAATATTGATTCATCCATGAGCATTGGGTGTGTTTCCATTTGTGTTGTCTGTGATTTCTTTCAGCAGTGTTTTGTAGTTTTCCTTGTAGAGATCTTTCACCTCCTTGGTTAGGTATATTCCTAAGTATTATATTCTTTTGTGGCTGTTGTAAAAGGGATAGAGTTCTTTATTTGATTCTCAGCTTAGTCATTGTTGGTATATAGCAGTGCTACTGATTTGTTTACATTGATTTTGTATCCTGAAACTTTACTGAACTCATTTATCAGATCCAGGAGCATTTTGGATGAGTCTTTAGGGTTTTCTAGGTATACAATCATATCATCAGCATACAGCAACAGTTTGACTTCCCCTTTACCAATTTGGATGCCTTTTATTTATTTCCCTTGTCTGACTGCACTGGCTAGAACTTCTAGTACTATGTTGAATAGAAGTGATGAAAGTAATCATCCTTGCTTTGTTCCAGTTCTCAAGGGTAATGTTTTCAGCTTTTCCCCATTCAGTATAATGTTGGCTGTCAGCTTGTCATAGATAGCTTTTATTACCTTAAGGTATATCCCTTCTATGCCAATTTTGCTGAGAATTTTAGTCATAAAAGGATGCTGGGTTTTGTCAAATGTGTTTTCTGCACCTATTGAGATGATCATGATTTTTAAAAAATTCTATTTATGTGATCACATGTATTGACTTGTATATGTTAAACCATCCCTGTATCTCTGATATGAAACCTAATTGATCATGGTGTATTATCTCTTTGATATTCAGTTGGATTTGATTAGCTATTAAATAGTATTTTTATTGAGTATTTTTGCATCTATGTCCATCAGGGATATTGGTCTATAGTTTTTCTTTTTTTTTTATGTCATTCCTGGTTTTGGAATTACGGAGATACTGGTTTCATAGAATGATGTAGGGAGGAGTCCCTCTTTATCTTTTGGAATAGTCTTAGTAAGATTGGTATCAGTTCTTTGAATGTCTTAGAGAATTCAGCTGTGAACCCATATAGTCCTGGATGTGTTTTTTTGTTGGCAACTTTTTTACTACTGTTTTAGTCTCACTGCTTGTTATTGGTCTGTTCAGAGTTTCTATTTCTTCCTAATTTAATTTGAGAGGGTTGTCTATTTCCAGGAATGTATCCATTTCCCGTAGATTTTCTGGATTGTGTGTATAAAAGTGTTCATAGTAGTCTTGAATAATGTTTTGTATTTCAGTTGTATTGGTTGTAATATCTCCCATTTCATTTCCAATTGGGCTTATTTGGTTCTTCTCTCTTCTTATTTAATCTCACTAATAGCCTGTCAATTTTATCTTTTTTAAAAACATCTTTTTGTTTCCTTTATTTTTATTTATTTATTTATTTATTTTGAGACAACGTCTCGCTCTGTTGCCCAGGCTGGAGTGCAGTGGCACGATCTCGGCTCACTGCAACCTCCGCCTCCTGGGTTCAAGTGATTCTCCTGCCTCAGCCTCCTTAGTAGCTGGGATTCCAGGTGTGCACCACCACGCCCGGCTAATTTTTGTATTTTTGGTAGAGATGGGGTTTCACCATGTTGGTCAGGCTGGTCTCGAACTCCTGACCTTGTGATCTGCCTGCCTCAGCCTCCCAAAATGTTGGGATTACAGGTGTGAGCCACCGCACTGCCCAGCCTCATTTATCTTTTTTACTTTTTTTTTTGTTTAAATTTCATTTATTTCTGTTCTGATCTTTGTTATTTCTTTTTTTCTGCTGGGTTTGGGTTTGGTTTGTTCCTGTTTCTCTAGCTCCTTGAGGTGTGACCTTAGATTGTTTATTTATCTTCTTTCAGACTTTTTGATATAAGCATTTAGTGCTATGAACTTTCCTGTTAACACTGTTTTTGCTGTATCCCAGAGGTTTTGGTAAGCTGTTTCATTATTATCAATCAGCTCAAAGAGTTTTTAAATTTCCCTCTTGATTTCATTGTTGACCCAAAGATCATTCAAAAGTAGATCACTTAATTTCCATGTACTTGTACAGTTTTAAGCATTCCTTTTCAAGTTAATTTCCAGTTTTATTCCACTGTGGCCTGAGAGGATACTTAATATAATTTTGATTTTCTTAAATTTATTGAGACTTGTTTTGTGAACTCTCATGTGGTCTATCTTGGAGAATGTTCCATGTGCTGAAGAAAAGAATATATATTCTGCAGTTGTTGGGTAGAATATTCTGTAAATATCTGTTAAGTTTATTTGTTCTGAGATATAGTTTAAGTCTGTTGTTTCTTTGTTGACTTTCTGTCTTGATGATCTGTGATATGGTTTGGCTGTGTCCCCACCCAATCTCATCTTGAATTGTAGCTCTCATAATTCCCATTCATAGTGGGAGGAACTCGGTGGGAAATAATTGAATCATGGGGCCAGTTTCCCCCATATTTGTTCTCATGGTAGTGAATAAGTCTCACGAGATCTGATGGTTTTGTAAGAGGAAACCCTTTCACTTGGCTCTCATTCTCTCTTGTCTGCTGCCATGTAAGATGTGCCTTTTGCCTTTCGCTGTGATTAAACAGTCCATTAAACCTCTTTTTTTTATATAAATTATACAGTCTCGGGTATGTCTTTATCAGCAACATGAAAATGGACTAATACAGTAAATTGGTACCGGTAGAGTGGGTCACTGCTGTAAAGATAACTGAAAATGTGGAAGCAACTTTGGAACTGGGTAACAGGCAGAGGTTGGAGCATTAGGAAGGCTCAGAAGAAGACAGGAAAATGTGGGAATGTTTGGAACTTCCTATAGACTTGTTGAATGGCTTTGACCAAAATCCTGATAATGATATGGACAATGAAATCCAGGTTGAGGTGGTCTCAGATGGGGATGAGGAACTTGTCGAGAACTGGAGTAAAGGTTATTCTTGCTATGTCTTAGCAAAGAGACTGGTGGTATTTTGCTCCTGCCCTAGAGATTTGTAGAACTTTGAACTTCAGGGATATGATTTAGAGTATCTGGTGGAAGAAATTTCTAAGCAGCAAAGCATTCGAGAGGTTACTTGGGTGCTGTTAAAAGCATTCCGTTTTCAAAGGGAAACAGCATAAAAGTTCAGAAAAAAAGTTCAGCCTAATATATGATAGAAAAGAAAAACCCATTTTCTGAGGAGAAATTCAAGCCAGCTACATAAATTTGTATAAGTAATGAGGAGCCAAATGTTAATCACCAAGACAATGGGAAAATGTTTTCAGGGGATGCCAGAGACTTTTGCAGCAGCCCCTTCCATCACAGGCCTGGAGGCCTAGGAGGAAAAAATGGTTTTGTGTGCCAGGCTCAGGGATTCTGTGCTGTGTGCATCCTAGGTACTTGGTGCCCTGTGTCCTAGACACACTAGCCATGGCTAAAAGGCGCCAAGGTACAGCTCGGGTTGTGGCTTCAGAGAGTGCAAGCCCCAAGCCTTGGCAGCTTCCACATGGTGTTGAGTCTGCGGGTGCACAGAAGTCAAGAATTGAGGTTTGGGAACCTCTGCCTAGATTTCAGAGGATGTATAGAAACACCTGAATGTCTAGGCATAAGTTTGCTGCAGGGGCTGGGCCCTCATGGAGAACCTCTGCTAGGACAGTGAAGAAGAGTAATGTGGGGAGAAGCCCCAACACAGAGTACCCACTGGGGCACTGCCTAGTGGAGCTATGAGAAGAGGACCACTCTCCTCCAGACCCCAGAATTTTAGATCTGACAGCTTGCACTGTGCACTTGAAAAGGCTGCAGATGCTTTTCAGCCCATGAAAGCAGCAAAGAGTGGGGCTGTCCCCTGCAAAGCCACAGGGGCGGAGCTGCCCAAGGCTGTGGAGCCTACCTCTTGCATCAGCATGATCTGGATGTGAGACATGGAGTCAAAGGAGATAATTTTGGAGCTTTAAGATTTGACTGCAGGGGATATCACCACCAATCCCACAGAAATACAAACTACCATCAGAGAATACTACAAACACCTCTACACAAATAAACTAGAAAATCTAGAAGAAATGGATAAATTCCTTGACACATACACTCTCCCAAGACTAAACCAGTAAGAAGTTGAATCTCTGAATAGACCAATAACAGGAGCTGAAATTGTGGCAATAATCAATAGCTTACCAACCAAAAAGAGTCCAGGACCAGATGGATTCACAGCTGAATTCTACCAGAGGTACAAGGAGGAAGTGGTACCATTCCTTCTGAAACTATTCCAATCAATAGAAAAAGAGGGAATCCTCCCTAACTCATTTTATGAGGCCAACATCATCCTGATACCAAAGCCGGGCAGAGACACAACCAAAAAAGAGAATTTTAGACCAGTATCCTTGATGAACATTGATGCAAAAATCCTCAATAAAATACTGGCAAACCGAATCCAGCAGCACATCAAAAAACTTATCCACCATAATCAAGTGGGCTTCATCCCTGGGATGCAAGGCTGGTTCAATATATGCAAATCAATAAATGTAATCCAGCATATAAACAGAACCAAAAACAAAAACCACATGATTATCTCAATAGATGCAGAAAAGGCCTTCGACAAAATTCAAAAACCTTCATGCTAAAAACTCTCAATAAATTAGGTATTGATGGGACGTATCTCAAAATCATAAGAGCTATCTATGACAAACCCACAGCCAATATCATACTGAATGGGCAAAAACTGGAAGCATTCTCTTTGAAAACTGGCACAAGAGAGGGATGCCCTCTCTCAGCACTCCTATTCAACATAGTGTTGGAAGTTCTAGCCAGGGCAATTAGGCAGGAGAAGGAAATAAAGGATATTCAATTAGGAAAAGAGGAAGTCAAATTGTCCCTGTTTGCAGATGACATGATTGTATATCTAGAAAACCCCATTGTCTCAGCCCAAAATCTCCTTAACCTGATAAGCAACTTCAGCAAAGTCTCAGCCTACAAAATCAATGTACAAAAATCACAAGCATTCTTATACACCAATAACAGACAAACAGAGAGCCAAATCATGAGTGAACTCCCATTCACAATTGCTTCAAAGAGAATAAAATACCTAGGAATCCAACTTATAAGGGATGTGAAGGACCTCTTCAAGGAGAACTACAAACCACTGTTCAAGGAAATAAAAGAGGATACAAACAAATGGAAGAACATTCCATGCTCATGGGTAGGAAGAATCAATATCATGAAAATGGCCATACTGCCCAAGGTAATTTACAGATTCAATGCCATCCCCATCAAGCTACCAATGACTTTCTTCAGAGAATTGGAAAAAACTACTTTAAAGTTCATATGGAACCAAAAAAGAGCCCGCATCGCCAAGTCAATCCTAAGCCAAAAGAACAAAGCTGGAGGCATCACACTACCTGACTTCAAACTATACTACAAGGCTACAGTAACCAAAACAGCATGGTACTGGTACCAAAACAGAGATATAGATCAATGGAACAGAACAGAGCCCTCAGAAATAACGCCGCATATCTACAACTATCTGATCTTTGACAAACCTGACAAAAACAAGCAATGGGGAAAGGATTCCCTATTTAATAAATGGTGCTGAGAAAACTGGCTAGCCATATGTAGAAAGCTGAAACTGGATCCCTTCCTTACACCTTATACAAAAATCAATTCAAGATGGATTAAAGACTTAAACGTTAGACCTAAAACCATAAAAACCCTAGAAGAAAACCTAGGCATTACCATTCAGGACATAGGCATGGGCAAGGACTTCATGTCTAAAACACCAAAAGCAATGGCAACAAAAGACAAAATTGACAAATGGGATCTAATTAAACTAAAGAGCTTCTGCACAACAAAAGAAACTACCATCAGAGTGAACAGGCAACCTACAAAATGGGAGAAAATTTTCGCAACCTACTCATCTGACGAAGGGCTAATATCCAGAATCTACAATGAACTCAAACAAATTTACAAGAAAAAAACAAACAACCCCATCAAAAAGTGGGCGAAGGACATGAACAGACACTTCTCAAAAGAAGACATTTATGCAGCCAAAAGACACATGAAAAAATGCTCACCATCACTGGCCATCAGAGAAATGCAAATCAAAACCACATTGAGATACCATCTCACACCAGTTAGAATGGCAATCATTAAAAAGTCAGGAAACAACAGGTGCTGGAGAGGATGTGGAGAAATAGGAACACTTTTACACTGTTGGTGGGAGTGTAAACTAGTTCAACCATTGTGGAAGTCAGTGTGGCAATTCCTCAGGGATCTAGAACTAGAAATACCATTTGACCTAGCCATCCCATTACTGGGTATATACCCAAAGGACTATAAATCATGCTGTTATAAAGACACATGCACACGTATTTTTATTGCGGCATTATTCAGAATAGCAAAGACTTGGAACCAAGCCAAATGTCCAACAATGATAGACTGGATTAAGAAAATGTGGCACATATACACCATGGAATACTATGCAGCCATAAAAAATGATGAGTTCATGTCCTTTGTAGGGACATGGATGAAATTGGAAATCATCATTCTCAGTAAACTATCGCAAGAACAAAAAACCAAACACCACATATTCTCACTCATAGGTGGGAATTGAACAATGAGAACACATGGACACAGGAAGGGGAACATCACACTCTGGGGACTGTTGTGGGTTGGGGGGAGGGGGGAGAGATAGCATTGGGATATATACCTAATGCCAGATGACGTGTTAGTGGGTGCAGCACACCAGCATGGCACATGTATACATATGTAACTAACCTGCACATTGTGCACATGTACCCTAAAACTTAAAGTATAATAATAATAAAGAACGAAAGAAAGAAAAAAAAAGATTTGACTGCCCCACTTGATTTCAGACTTGCATGGGGCCTGTAGCCCCCTTTGTTTTGGCCCATTTTCCCCATTTGGAATGGGTGTATTTACCCAAATGCCTGCACCCCCATTGTATCTAGGAAGTAACTAACTTGCTTTTGATTTTACAGGTTCATAGGCAGAAGGGACTTACCCTGTCTCAGATGAGACTTTGGAATGTGGACTTTTGAGTTAATGCTGAAATGAGTTAAGACTTTGGGGGACTGTTGAGAAGGCGTGATTGGTTTTGAAGTGTGAGGACATGAGATTTGGAGGGGTCAGGAGTAGAATGATATGGTTTGTCTGTGTCCTCACCCAAATCTTATCTTGAATTGTAGCTCCCATAATTCCCACTTGTGGGAGGGACTTGGTGGGAGATAATTGAATCATGGGGGTAGTTTCCCCCATACTGTTCTCATGGTAGTGAATAAGTCTCACAAGATCTGATAGTTTTATAAGGGGAAACCGATTTTGCTTGGCTCTCATTCTCTCTTGTCTGCTGCCATGTAAGACATGCCTTTCACCTTCCACCATGATTGTGAGGCCTCCCCAGCCATGTGGAACTGTAAATCCTTAAATCTCTTTTTTAAATAAATTACCCAGTCTCAGCTATGTCTTTTTCAGCAGCATGAAAACAGACTAATACCACCTTTCCAATGCTTTTAGTGGAGTACTGAAGTCCTCAACTATTAATGTTGCCATCCATCTCATTTCTTAGGTCTAATAGTAATTGTTTTATAAATTTGGGAGTTCCAGTGTTAGGTACATATATATTTAGGATTGTGATATTTTCTTACTGGACTATTTTTTACCATTACATAATGTCTCTGTCTTTTTTAACTGTTGTTGCTTTAACATCAGTTTTGTCTGATATAAGAATAGCTATTCCTGCTCACTTTTAGTTTCCATGTGCATGGAGTATCTTTTGCCACCCCTTTGCCTTAAATTTATGTCAGTGCTCATGTTTTATGTGAGTCTCTTGAAGACAGCAGATACTTGGTTGGTGGATTTTCATCCATTCTGCTGTTCTGTATATTTTAGGTGGTGCATTTAGTCCATTTACATTCAACATTAGTATTGAGATGTGAAGCACTGTTCTATTCATCATGTTAGTTGTTGCGTTAATACCTGTTTTTTTTTCCTTCTGTTGTGTTATTGCTTTATAGGCCCTGTAAGATTTATCTTTTAAGGAAGTTTGATTTTGGTATATTTCACGGTTTTGTTTCAAAATTTTGAATTCCTTTTAGCATTTCTTGTAGTAATGGCTTAATAGTGGTAAATTCTCTCAGGATTTGTTTGACTGAAAAAGACTTTCTCTGTCCTTCACTTATGAAGCCTTGTTTTCCTGACACAAAGTTCTTGGCTGACAATTATTTGGCTTCAGGAAGCTAAAGATGGGACCCCAATCCCTTCTGGCTTGTAAGGTTTCTGCTTAGAAGTCTGCTGTTAATCTGATAGGTTTTTCTTTATAGGTTATCTGATGCTTTTGTCTCATAGCTTTTAAGATTATTTCCTTCATCTTGACTTTAGATAGCCTGATGAATATGTGCCTAGGCGATGATCTTTTTGGGATGAATTTCCCAGGTGTTATTTGTGCTTCTTATATTTGGATGTCTAGATCTCTAGCAAGGCTGTGGAAGTTTTCCTCAATTATTTCCTCAAAGAAGTTTTCCAAAGTTTTTGATTTCTTTTCTTCCTCAAGAGCACCAATTATTCTTAGGTTTGGCCATTTAACATAATCCCAAATTTCTTGGAGACTTTGTTCATTTTCTAAAATTGTTTTCTCTTTGTCTTTGTCAGATTGGGTTAATTCAAAAGCCTTGTCTTTGAGCTCTGAAGTTCTTTCTTCTACTTGTTCTAGTCTATTGTTGAAACTTTACAGGGCATTTTGTATTTCCCTAAGGTATCTTTCATTTCCAGAAGTTGTGATTGCTTTTTCTTTATGATACCTATTTCTCTGGAGAATTTTTCATCCATATCCTGTATTTTTTAAAAAATTTCTTTGTGTTGGTTTTTTACCTTTCTCTAGTATCTCCTTGAGTGTCTTAATAATCATCCTTCTGAATTTTTTATTTGGCAATTCAGAGATTTCTTCCTGGTTTGGATCCATTGCTGGGGAGCTGGTGTGATCTTTTGGGGATGTTATCAAATCCTGTTTTGTCATATTACCAGAATAACTTTTTTATTTCCTTCTTATTTGGGTAGACTGTTTCAGTGGAGAAGTCTGAAACTCAAGGCTTGCTGTTCAGATCCTCCTGTCCCATGGGATGATCCCTTGATGTGGTACTCTCCCACTTCCCCTAGGGATGGGGCTTCCTGAGAGCTGGACTGCAGTGATTGTTATTGCTCTTCTATGCCTAGCCACCCAGCTGGACTACCACAAGTGGGGCTGGTGCTGTCCTGTGATGTGATCCATCTTCAGGACTCCCAGCCATGGATACTAGCACCTCCTCTGGTAGAGATGGCGGAGAAGTAAAGTAGACCCTATGAGAGTTCGTGATTCTAGATGTGTTTAGTGTGCTGGCTTTCTTAAATGCTGGTTATGCTAGCAGTGAAGCTGTCACATGGATACACTCAGGACCTCTGGATGGTCAGGATGTTGCAGGCAGTGGAATTAGATTGCCTTCCCTTTCCTGGGATCAGGGTTATTCTGTTGTGAGTTTCTGTAATGGCTTAAGTTGGTTGGCCTACAGCCAGGCAGTGGTGCTATCAAGAGAGCACCAGCTGTGGTAGTAGTAGGGGGCTGTAAGCTTGCCCTAAGATGGCTAAGTTAAGTATTTTGGTTTCTCGGGTTATGGGTGGAGCCACATAGCTCCCAAGAGTTTCTGTGTTTTGTGTTCAGATACCAGGGCTGTAGGAAAATATCATCAGGTTGGGGCAGTTTTAGGCAGGTCTGGGTTCAGACTCTTCATGGGTGAGGCTTGCTGCAACCACTGTGGGGGAGGGGGGTTCTCAGGCCAATGATACTATGTTTCAGAGGGGATCTTGGCTGCCTCTGATGCATAATATAGTTTGCCAGGGAAGTGGGGGATAGCCAGTAGTGAGAGACCTCACCCAGCTCCCACACAGTTGGAGAGGCTGTTCTCACTCCTGCTATGCCCCACTCAGACTTTACCCCAGGCCGTGAGCTACTCTGCTGAAAAACCAAGCATGGCTTTCAAACCTTGCCCCTCCCCATATGCCCACTCCATCAGTGGCGCCTCCTGGGCTCTCCTGCACTTGCTTGTGTCCATAGCAGCTCCCCCTTGTCCCCTGGACTCTGCTAAAGGAAATTTGTACCCAGTCAGAACCACTACCAATTTCAGCTGGGAGCTTCCCACTCCAATTCTGCTGGCTGCCTTCCCCAAGGGTCCCTGTCAGATACAGTCAGGGATGGCTTCACTGGGCTCAAGCAGGAGACTGGGAGTACATGCAAGACACTTCCCACTGCTACTTCTACTTTTTTGTGGGACTCCCTAAATCCATTTCATCTCTAGGTGAGGTTAAAACCTCCCATGACCTGGATTTTCAGATTCCCCAGTGGGGATGTGTATTTGGAAGTAGGTTTTCTCCCCTTCACACTTTGGCAACTCAGTTTTTCACCTGTTTTGCAGTTTGTCGCAGCGTGCTGCTTCCTTCAAAGGATCTGTGCAATCAAACAAGAATTCATATAGTAACGTGAATTTTAATCATATAGTTAATCTAATTTAGAATCATTATATGTGTCTTCCTGGTATGTTCTTGCAGTAGTTCTTGGAGCAAAAGATCATGGTGTGAGTCTCCACATGCTGTTTTGTCCATCCATGTGGGAGCTACACATTAGCTGTGTCTCCTACCTGCCATTTTATGTTATATGTCTGTTTTTCAATATTCTCTTATAGTACATGGAGCTTCCTTAATATCAATATTTTGAATTCCTTTAGGGATTTTGTAATTTTCTTTTTGATTGGGATCTGTTCCTGGAGAATTATTTTCTTTTGCGGGTGTCACGTTTTCTTGCTTTTTTGTGTTTTTTGATTGTCCGTATTTTTATGTTGATATCTGAGTTTCTGGTGTAACAGTTGCTCCTCCCAATTTTTTGAATTTGCTTTTGGAGATTTTCTTGTCACCTCTCTGCCTTCTTGGTGGGCCCTTGAGGTGCACAGTGCAGGTGTGGAGTGAGGCAGTGAGTGTGGCTGTAAAGCCTAGGCTTGGAGCCTGGTAGGCAGAGTGTGGGGCGCACAAGAGCTACAAATTTTACATTAGTAAAAAGTAGAATTGTTTTTTCAGGATATGTTACTTCATATTTAGAAACGTGTTCATAAATATTATGAACTGTTATGTAGATGTTTTGTGTGGCCAACAGAATGATGCTTTGAATTCTGAACACTCTTTTGAAAAATATTTTAATGATTAATTTATACATTCTGATGTACATATTGGTGCAAGTTCCCTGGTAATTGCTCAGGAGAGAGAGCAATCAAACAAGAATTCATATAGTAATATGAATTTTAATCATATAGTTAATCTAATTTAGAATCATTTTTATTAGCGCTCAAAAAATTTAAAACTGAGCATAGTTTTTGTGTTACAGTTCTGGGATTGGGGTAATCTTTCTGCACCTCCCCCAACCATTTGATTAACATTTTATAAAAATTTAGGTTAGCTCACTCATTCATTCTTTTTTCCAGATGGTATATCTTGAGAAATATATTTGAATATTCACCTCTCTATATATCATTTGAATAATTATATGTGTTTTATATCATTGTTACTATTTTGACAAACTCAAGATAGTTGACCATCTATATTTTATCATTAATATGTAGATAAAATCATTATAGAGGTAATCTAGTGATATATATCAGAGAATGGAAAGAATATCACCCTTTCAATATGTAATGTTGTCTAATATGTAGCCTTAGTTCATGTAGCTTTTTAGTATCTTTAATGACACTATCCAGTTGAATGTGATTGCGTAGGAGGGCTCAAAGAAGGTAGCAGAGTAGGAGTGGGGAGAGGATTGGGTTAGGGAACAGACAAAAAAGTAAAGTAAAGCAGTTGGTCAACACTTTTATTTAAAAGGAAATGCACAGTTGATATAAATCGTAATGTTTATGTTCAATCTTAACAGCAAAATATACTTCAGACTCATGCTTAGACTGGAAGTAGAACATTGCCAGCTGAAAGAACGAATGCCAGATCTACAACATTCTGTCACTGAGCCATACATAGGTCTGTGATTTGTTTTCCTTAGCTTTTCTTAATAACTTTGTTTTTGCAAAATAAATATTTTTTTGAAATGAAGTCAATGGATTTATTATGATACTAAGCCAGAAGATTTTGGAGAGGCACAGTGGGAGAAACACATAAAAAGACTGAAAGGGCCTGGTTAGATTTGGGAGCTGCTTATATGAAGAAAGAGAGAGCTAATTAAGCATGCCATGTTCTCTAGCTCCTTTTATTTTGCTTGTGTTTGTTTGTCTTCTCTTTCTCTAACCTTTTGCGTTTAGCCTGTCTTTATTTTTCAAGTTTTCTGTTAAAAGCAGCATTTTCTTTGAATACTTGTCATCATCATCCTTCTATGTCAGACTTTGTCCAGTGTTCTCAGGTTCTTCTCACCAGAATCACATTCCAAACACAAGCCTGTCTTTGTGTCTTTTTTAAAACTCAGTGAAAAGCAAATTAGAATATGAGCTGAAAAACAAAACATACTTTGTTAATGTCTTTGAAAAATTAACTTAAGCATAACCTGTTTTGTAGCTCTTATTTTCTAAAAAGGAAAGCTTATTTTCTAGTAAATGCTAAATCATAGATTTCTTTATTAATAATCTTGTTTTCTTTGGCTAGATATTGTATTCACTCATATGCTTTTATCTAGGAGAATACATTATCATTTTCTCCATTTCCTATCCTCTTTTAAAGAAAAAAGTTGGTTACTGAAGTAAAGCTCAGAGTTGTCACTGAGTTAGAAGAGAGTTATTTAGTACCTCATTTTACTCTGTAATATTTGCCTGATGTTATATGCTATTATGGGAGGGAGGACTGCAACTAAAATCTTTCTAGGGTTGATAGCAAGAATTATACTAAAAAGTTATGTTTTGCCTAATTGTAAGCATGTTTTGTTTGTTGTTGCTGAAAAAAAAAAAACCCAGCAGCAACCACCCTGTACCTCTTTTTTTCTCTAATGCCTTTCTTTTGCCCAAATCTTAAATCATTTTGGAGGCAGTTAGAAGGAGATGAAAATAATTTGCTGTGGGTGCTAGAATATTAAGTGGTCTGGCAAGCATTTGGATTTCTCTCTCAGAAGGAAAAGAGAAACATGCCAACTCTTTACCATGCTGAAATAGAGAAACTAACTGGGGTTGATTCTGAAAACATTTTATGCCCATGAAAACAAATGTTTGTAAGAATTACCACCTAACTCTTTTCCTCTGTGAACCCCTGGGTTTTGTAAGAAGAGACTTAAAAAAAACATATATTTGGGAATATGTGTAAAGTTAATCTCCTGCTTAACTTTTCTTCATGTCCATAACATTTGTGGTTTTTAGCTGCTACTAACTTCTTTTTCTTGGTAATGTCATTCCCCACTCCTCAATTCCTATGAATCCCTCTTAAGCATCTTTTAAATCAAGGCGGAATTCAAAGTACAGTGTACAAGTAAAAATCTATCTTTTAAAATGATATGCAAAGAAATAATCAAAAGGTAAAAAATCAGAGCAAAGGATAGTCCAACTACATAACGTATTAGTAGCAAGTAAGTGTCAGGCTGCCTGAGTTCAAATCTCAGCTTGGGCACTTGCTTGTTTTGTCGCCTTGTTTGTTTGGCTTGCTTGCATCTCTGCCTCTCCATTTCCTCATCTGTCAAATGATGTTGAGATGGATCTACCTAATAGCAAAATTGTGATGTTTAAATATGATAGCTCATGTAAATTATTAAGTGCAATGCCTGGCACTTGGTAAATGCTCAATGCTCAATAGAGTTTTATTTTTGTTTTGTTTTATTATTGTTATTATTTGTATAAAAGTTTTCTTAACTTTAGGAAAATGTTATTTTGAAAAACATTTTAATATCAATAAAATAGCATATAAAGTAACAGTCTGAACTAACTCATTTATTTAAATGCCAAAATAAAGAGAAATGAAATCTGAGAAGTTATAATCAACTCAATATGTATTGTATAGCTTCACAATTCAGAGTGGTTTCCTAAGAGCAATCTAAATCAGTAAATATCTAAATGATAAAATATTAATTCATTTAAGTACGTATAATTGATAAAACCAAGACAACAAATTATTATGTGATTTACTACTTTGTGAATTTGCTTTAATAAACCCCCAAACCTAATGCTATAATTTTTAATTATTTCTAAATATGAATAATTCACATTATATATTTTTCTGAAGTTGGTAAACAGAAATTATATTAATATTTCCAATGTAAAAATGCATGCAGACTTCAGCCTAGCCTTTTGTTCCAACTATCAGAAATTCCCTGTCATTGTATTTGGAATCAGTAAGTTTAATGTAACTTTATATTTACCAGACAACTGAGACCTCTCTGTGTTGGTAATTGAGATCAGTGTGATCAGCTTACCCCAAAGTAATGCTTAAGCAGCATTATTTTGACAGGCCACAGATGAGAAAAGAGGCAGCAACCTTGGATGTGGCCAGTTGTTTTTTTTCTAAAAGTTATCCTTTTTTTTTTTTTTTTTGAGATGGAGTCTCACTCTGTCGCCCAGGCTGGAGTGCAGTGGCATGATCTCGGCTCACTGCAACCTCTGCCTCCTGGGTTCAAGTGATTCTCCTGCCTCAGCCTCCCGAGTAGCTGGGATTACAGGTGTGCACCACCATGGCCGGCTAATTTTTTTTTTTTTTTTGTATTTTTAGTAGAGATGGGGTTTTGCCATGTTGGCCAGGCTGGTCTCAAAACTCCTGACCTCAGGTGATCTGCCTGCCTCGGCCTCCCAAAGTGCTGGGATTACAGGCGTGAGGCACTGTGCAGAGCTGCCATGCTTCTTTTTAACAAAGAGAACTGAAGAATTTATGGGAAACTAGAAAAGCATCTTTGTGTTTGTTTATACTGTTACATTTCAGAAGAATTTAATTCTGGAAAATACAACCCAAAGTTGCATAAGGGTAAGAAAAAAGCATGTGCATTTGCCTTTTGGGGTTATATCATTCCATAGGTAATAAATTATTAGTACTTCAGAATAGGTTCAATACTGTCTAGTTTCTAGGAGTGGAGGAATTGAAGGGCTTATTAATCTTTTTAATCTGGATGAGGGAAGTAAGGACTTAAAGAGTTAGTAAGGGAGAAATATAAGGTTATTGTTTTATGATATGCAATGGAAGGTATCAGTGAAGATTAATCTGAGGGGCAGTGTTATTATCTGAGAGAACAGTTCAAATTAATTATAGTTGTCACTTCCCATAACTCAACTGAATGTGGTTCAGTTTCTTGTGACAGGTACATAGCTTACTTGAAGGGACTGGGCCCTGGAGTTATAACCATCCTTTGGCTAGGACAGGTGTTGAGGAAAACAGCTGAAGCCTTAAGTACTATATAGGTATAGACTTCCACCACCATTCCCCCCACAACATACCTCTCAAATCTCCAAGAGATTTGATGCTTCTGGATGAGTAGTTAACAAGAAAAGTTCAAGGTGAGGTAATAATAAATTGTCCCAACAGATGGCAGGGTTCATTTTGAGGAATCCAAATGTCTGATCACTTAGCCAGGGACAGAGAAATTGAATTGCAAGACTGTACTCGTGGCATGAAAAGAGAATATTAGAGATCTGGTGTTACCAATAAAAGACAAGATTACAAGAAACCAAGTTATAAGCCTACTATTAAAGGTAGCCCCCCGCCCCGCTACCAAAAAAAAAAATCAGCAACAAGAATAAATTGATCCAGAGTTGGACAGGGGTTTTTGAATTCAGGCCTGAAGTCAGGATTGGTCCCAACAATCGGGGAGAGGGGATAAGAAGAAGAAAGGCAGGTGGGTAGGAGGTCTCTAAGCGGGGGAATCATATGGCAATAGGTGTAAGATAGAATAGACGCCACCAGACTAAGCGTAGATAATTGATGTTATATATCAATGAGAGCATCTGTGAGTTGAAGAGACAAGATTCTGAAGGAGAGGACTCAATGGGAGGACAGATTGATAGATGGGATGGGCTCAAGTGATACAACTATTCCTGGACGAAATTCTCGGGGCAATTTTCTTGGGTAAATTCTGGTAGATTGAGTTTCTTAAAATGAAAACATAATTCTTGCTTTAAATCCTCCAAGGGACCCATAACACTGAGGAAAAAATGCAAATTCCATAACATGGCATATATTATCTCTAGTTTGCCTTTGATTTTTGTCTTTATAGGTGAGCAACTAAGAATTAACCAGAATATGCCATCTTCTTTTAAGCTACTGTGCTTTGGCTTAATGCCCTTTTGAAATTTCCTGCTCATTATACCCTCCTCTGCCTCACACTGACCATAACTCATTCTTTACCATTCAACTTCCTTGACTGAGTCCTCCTCTTGTGCATGCATAAAATTTTGTGCATACCTGTTGTTACAGTACTTACCCTTGGTGGTGGTTGACTGACCAATCAATCTTCTTATTAACTGGAGTTCTTTGATGAATGAATATGTGCATGACTAAGATGAGACTCTGAGAGGAGTGAATTATGGCTAAAATTTAGCACAGTTTGGTGGTCAGCTTGTTTGTAGGCCTCAGGCCTACTCATGATAACTTCCTGTTTGCAATGAAGGAGTCATCCAAAAACTTTCAAAAGATCGTTATCTGGCATGTTTCTCAATAGAGCCCTTTGTGGAATACTGGAGCCTTGTAAGGTCAGGATATATAGGAAAATCTCTGTTCTTGAGGGGCTCTGGAATTCTGATTATGCCTTGGCTGTCAAGGGAGGCTTCAGGTTCTGTATTTTGGAGAGTGTATTTTGAAGAAATGTAAAAGAAATAACAGTCTCTATCTTCAAGTTTTTGGTGGAGGAATGGCATTGGGGAGGACTTCTTGGGTGAGATTTTTATTCATGATTCTTGAAGTTCATCATGTGGGCTACTTAGCAGATATCTGGAGGTCAGATAAGTCAGACTTTTTAGATTTCACGATGTAAGGAGTTGTGATGTGACGGAACACTGTTAATTATTTGGTTGTATCTGTGTATATTAGCCTTATTTATATTTTACAAGAAAAATAATAGCATTCAGCTACACTCAGATTATAGGAATAGCATCTGATATAGTTTAGATGTTTGTCCTCTGCAAACCTCATGTTGAAATGTAATTCCCAGTGTTGGAGGTGGGGCCTGGTGGGAGATATTTAGGTCATGGGGGTAGATCCCTCATGACTGAGTTGATTCTGTCCTCACCACAGTAAGTGAGTTCTTCTGATCTAATTGTTTAAAAGTGTGTGGCATCCCTCCCCCTTGCCTCTGCTCTTGCCATATGAGATGCCTGCTCCCCCTTTGCTTTCGCCTTGACTGTAAGTTTCTTGATGCCCTTACCAGAAGTAGATGCTGAAACCATGCTCTTACAGCCTGTAGAACTGTGAACCAATTAAACCTCTTTTCTTTATAAATTACTCAGCCTCAGCAATGCAAAAATAGCATAATATAGCATCTCCAGGTGTAGGACTGTCTATCTTCTCCCATAGTCAAAGAAACTATCTAGATCTGGGGCAGAAAATTGGCCTTGGGGTAATGGACATGGCCCAACTACCCCTTCCAAGTTGGGAACAGGATGGGACACATTGGCTTGCTGAAGAGTCTCCCAATTCTAAAGCAGTGGGCCAAGGGTGAACTTAGAGGCTGAAGTGAAGGGTCAGGAGTTGGAAAGCAGTTTGATGATGAAGAAAGTTTATGGGCAAGTGCCAAAAGCAATCACCTGAAACAGTGTGTAGGAGAAGGAAGTCTTTAATGGAGCAGACTTCATCTTGGTCAGGAGTATCCTCTGAAAGGGATAGCTCCTCTGGACAGATAAAGCCTCTTTGGGACTCACCAGGAAAAGAGTAATGTCTCTTTTTAGATGGGGTACCTGTTATCCATTTGACTTTCCTTCTTTTGCTGATACTTTCTGATACCCTATTGAAGTGAACAACACTTTAAATAAAAGTGATCACATACAATAATTATAAAATTAATACTAAAAAATAAAGCATTGCTCTTCAAGGTGTGTTCCAAGGGATTCCTAAGAAATATTATTGAAAAAGTTATCTGTGATTAAATTTATGTTTGGAAAATATTCTGCATCTATTCTTGGTGACTCATTCTGCATATTAGCATAGTGCTGTAGTCTGAATGGTTGTGTCCTTAGATTTTTATGTAGTGATATTTTTCATAGAATTAGAAAAAACTATTCTAAAATTCATGTGGAACCACAAAAGAGCCCAAATAGTCAAAACCAATTCTAAGCAAGAAGAGTAAAGCCAAAGGCATCACACTACCCAACTGCAAACTATACTACAAGGCTACAGTAATCAAAACAGCATGGTACTGGTACAGAAACAGATACATAAACCAATAGAACAGGAAAGAGAACCCAGAAATAAAGCCACAAACCTACAACCATCTGATCTTTGACAAAGTTTACTAAAACAAGCAATGGGGAAAGGACTCCCTATTCAATAAATGCTGCTGGAATAACTGGCTATACATAAGTGGAAGATTGAAACTGGACCCTTTGCTTTCACCATATACAAAAATTAACTGAAAATGAATTAAAGACTTACATGTAAAACCCAAAAGAAACCCTAGAAGAAAATTGAGGCAATACCGTTCAGGACATAGGCATGGGCAAAGATTTCATGATGAAAACACCAAAAGCAATTGCAACAAAATAAAAATTTGATAAATGGAATCTAATTAAAGCAAAAGAAACAGAAACCAGTGAACTATCATCACAGTGAACCTACAGTCAACCTACAGAATGGGAGAGAATTTTTGCAATCTATTCATCTGACAAAGGTCTAATATCCAGAGTCTACAAGGAACTTAAACAAATTTACAAGAAAAAACAACCCCATTAAAAAGTAGGCAAAGGACATGAACAGACGTTTCTCAAAGGAAGACATTCATGCAGCCAACAAACACATGAGAAAAAGCTCAACATCACTGATCATTAGAGAAATGCAAATCAAAACCACAATGAGGCTGGTGCAGTGGCTCACACCTTTAATCCCAGCATTTTGGGAGGCCAAGGTGGGTGGATCAACTGAGCTCAGGAGTTCAAGACCAGCCTGAGCAACATGGCAGAAACCCCATCTCTACAAACAATACAAAAATTAGGCATGGTGGCTCATGCCTATAGTCCCAGATACTTGGGAGGCTGAAGCAGAGGGATCACTTGAGCCCAGGAAGCAGAGGTTGCAATGAGCTGAGATTGCACCACTGCACTCCAGCCTGGACGACAGAGGGAGACCTTGTCTCAAAAAAAAAACAAAAACAGAAACAAAAAACAAATAAACACCACAGTGAGATACCATCTCATGCCAGTCAGAATGGCAATTATTATAAAGTCAAAAAACAACAGATGCTGGCAAAATTGCAGAGAAAAAGGAATGCTTTTACACTGGGGTGGGAATGTAAATTAGTTCAACCATTGTGGAAGACAGTGCGCTGATTCCTCAAAGTTCTAGAAGGAGAAATACCATTGACCCAGCAATCCCATTACTGAATAT
Organism: Homo sapiens; assembly: GCF_000001405.40. Classification (NCBI taxonomy): domain Eukaryota; kingdom Metazoa; phylum Chordata; class Mammalia; order Primates; family Hominidae; genus Homo; species Homo sapiens. The sequence goes on from NC_000003.12 coordinate 156,895,862, forward strand.
ATATCCAGAGGAATATAAATCATTCTATTATAAAGACACATGCACGCATATGTTCATTGCAGCACTAGTCACAATAGCAAAGATATGGAATCAACCCAAATGCTCATCAATGATAGATTGGATAAAGAAAATGTGGTGCACGTACACTGTGGAATACTATGCCACCATAAAAAAGAACAAGAGCATGTCCTTTGCAGGGACATAGATGGAGCTGAAGTCATTATCCTCAGCAAACTAATGCAGGAATAGAAAACCAAGCACCACGTGTTCTCACTTATAAGAGGGAGCTGAACAATGAGAACACATGGGGGGAAAGAACACACACTGGGGCCTGTCAGGGGGCATGGTGAGGGGAGAGCCTCAGTAAAAATAGCTAATGGATGCTGGGCATAATATCTAGGTGATGGGTTGATCTGTGTAGCAAACCACCATGGCACATGTTTACCTATGTAACAAACCTGCACATCCTGCACATGTACCATGGAACTTAAAAGTTGTTGAAAAAAATAATAAATAAAATGGGCAAACGACATTAACAGATGGCTATCTTCTCAAAAGCAGATACACATGTGGCCAAAAAGCATATGAAAAAATGTCCAACATCACTATTCATTAGAGAAATGCAAATCAACACCACAATGAGATACCATCTCACACCAGTCAGATTGGTGATTACTTAAGTCAAGAAATAACAGAGGCTGATGAGGTTGCAAAGGAAAGGGAATGCTTATACACTGCTGTAGAAATGTAAATTAGTTCAGCCACTGTGGACAGCAGTTTGGAGATTTCTCAAAGAACTTAGAACTACCATTCAAGCCAGCAATGCTGTTATATATACCCAAAGGAATATAAATCGTTCTACCATTTATACATACATATGCATGCATATGTCCATTGCAGCACCATTCACAACGGCAAAGACGTGGAATCAAGCTAAATGCCCATCAGCAGTGGAATGCATAAAGAAAATGTAGTATATTATACACCATGGAATACTACACAGCCATAAAAAAGAACACAATCATGTCCTTTGCAGCAACATGGATGGAGCTGGAGGCCATTATCCTAAGCAAATTAATGTAGGAACAGAAAGCTAAGTACCACATGTTCTCATTTATAAGTGGGAGCTAAACATTGAGTACACATGGACACAAAGAAGGGAACAATAGACACTGGGGCCTACTTGAGGATAGAGGGTAGGAGGAAGGAGAAGATCAAAAAACTACCTATTGGGTACTATGCTTATTACCTGGTTGATGAAATAGTTTGCACACCAAACCCTGTGACACACAATTAACCCATATAACAAACCTGTATATGTAACTTAAAAGTTGGAAAGAAAAAATTCATGGGTTGGAATCTTACCCCAAGATGATGGTATTCGGAGATGGGGCCTTTGTGGGGAGATTATGTCATAGGGCTCCACCTTCATAAATGGTATTAGTGTGTTGATGGAAAGGGTCAAACTCTGTAAGATTTTGAAGAGATTTATTCTGAGTCAAATGTGAGTGCCCATGGCCCATGACACAGCCCTCAGGAGGTCCTGAGAACATGTGCTCAAGGTGGTTGGGGTGCAGCTTGGTTTTATACATTTTAGGGAGGCATGAGACATCAATCAAATACATTTAAGAAATACACTGGGTTGGTCCAGAAAGGCAGGACAACTCAAAGTGGTGGGGGCGGGGGGAGGCTTCCAGGCTATAGGTAAATTTAAACATTTCCTGGTTGATAATTGGTTGAGTTTGTCTATAGACCTGGGATTGTTAGAAAGGAAATGTCCAGGTTAACATGAAAGATTGTAGAAACCGGGGCCTGGTGTGGTGGCTCACGCCTGTAATCCCAGCACTTTGGGAGGCCAAGGCAGGTGGATCACCTGAGGTCAGGAGTTTGAGACCAGCCTGGCCAACATGGCCAAACCTCATCTTTACTAAAACTACAAAAATTAGCTGGGCATGGTGGCAGGTGCCTGTAATTCCAGTTACTCGGGAGGCTAAGGCAGGAGAATTGCTTGAATCCGGGAGGCAGAGGTTACAGTGAGCTGACATTGTGCCACTGCACTCCAGCCTGGGTGACAAAGCAAGACTCTGTCTCCAAAAAAAAAAAAAAAAGAAATTGTGGAGACCAGGGTTCCTTTGAAGTCTTATAATGGCTGCCTTTAGAGACAATAGGTGACAAATGTTTACTATTCAGATCTTTAAAAAGTGCTAGACTCTTAGATAATCTCTTTAGGATTAGGAAGACTTGGAAAAAAAATATCTAGCTATGTTAATAGGGATTCTTTACAGATGCAAATTTTCCCCCACAAAGGACAGCTTTGCAGGGCCATTTCAAGTTATGGCAAGTAAACATGTTTTGGGGTAAAATATTTTGATTTTTTCCTTCTCTAGTAATGTTATGCCAGAGTCAGGTTGGAAAATAAGTCACAACATATAGGGTTAAATAAAACCCATCTGATGAGAATTTATGGTTTGTAGGGCATGACTCCCCAGAACCCTTAGATAGGAATTTGGGCAAGATAAAAAAAGAAAAAAAAATCAGAGCTTAGTCCTCAAATGCATTTATTAAAGAATTCCCAGAGAGAGCCCTTGCCGTGTGAGGTTACAGTGGGAAAAAGACCATCTGTGAACCAGGAAGCAGGCCCTCACCAGACACCGGACCTGCCGGCACCTTGATCTTGGACTTCTCAGTCTCTGGAACTGTGAGAAATTTCTGTTGTTTATAAACCATCCAATCTATGCTATTTTTGTTACAGCCACCCGGATGGACTAAGGTGCATAATAAAATCTCTTAGAAGCATTACAGGAAAAAAAAACCCAAAACTATTATTTCCAGTCTTAGTTTACTGTGAAACCATTTTTGGAATGCGATGGGGAGCTTACTGTAGAACACACTTTGACCACACTAAAATATGGGTTTAAAATGTTAGTAAAGCATTTGCTATGGCAAAGAAACTGCTAAAACAAAACAAACAAACAAACAAAAAAATGGGATGAAGTTCTTTTATCTGAAGCAAAAGGAAATTGAGAAGCTTGAGCTAGGATTCCTCAAAAGGTTTAAATGAAAAAACATCTATAAAACATGTTGCATAGAGCCTTTCGCATAGTTGATGCTGAATCTCTTGTTGCTCCTGTTGCTGTTGCTTTGTTGTTTAATGGGAAAGGAGACAAAAAAGAGCTATTTTTGCCAGCTGTGTGAAAGACAGGTTGCTGTCAGTGGGGTAGACATCAGCTAATTTATTCCTCAACTAAGGAACCACTATAATTTTGGAGCAGTCATGGTTTCTTCTTGCTTTCAGGTTTTCATATGTTGGTAATTATCAGTACAAATTCAAACTTTCACCTGTGGTTTTCACCATTCTGTGTTCCTAGCTCTGTCTATATACATATATATACATATATATATATACACACATGTATATATATACATGTATATATACATATATACATACACACATGTATATATACATATATACATATATACACATATATACATGTATATATACATATATACATATATACACATATATACATGTATATATACATATATACATATATACACATATATACATGTATATATACATATATACATATATACACATATATACATGTATATATACATACATACATATATACACATATATACATGTATATATACATACATACATATATACACATATATACATATATACACATATATACATATACATGTATATATACATATACATGTATATATACATATACGTATATATACACACATATATACACATATATACACGCATATATACACATATATACACGCATATATACACATATATACACGCATATATACACATATATACACGCATATATACACATATATACATGCATATATACACATATATACATGCATATATACACATATACATGCATATATACACATATATACACATATATACATGTATATATACATATGTACGTATATATGTATATATATGTACATATGTGTATATATGTATATGTGCATGTGTGTATTTAGGTGTGCAAATAAAAATAGAATTTATTCTAAAGAATTCCTTAAGTAAATGGCAGGCACTTACCCTTTGTAATTTGCAGAGAAAAATATTTGGGATAGCTAAAGGCTCATTCAAATGGGGTTTAAAAGGATTACAAAACATCTGAAATCCAGCTAGCAAATTTTTGAATTAGGTAGTATGGTAAACTCAAATGCCTAGGAGGTATCTAGAATAAATGAGTAAAACAGACTGGTGGGGGGAACTATACTAAACCAAAAAAATGCATGCTCATTAAAGATAGCAGCTGCTCCAGGAGACTGGTTTTGTGGGAAGAATGTGGGTCCATTGTTTTTGAATTACTTGACTTTTAGAAAGGTGGGGAATCTAGATTCTTACGTAAAATCTCTCCAAGTTTAAATATTTGTGCTTATAAAAAACAACACTCTGCAAGACAGATAAAACATGTTCAAAGACCAGTTTGTGACTTCTGAATTAGGCAAATATTAGACTGCACGTATTGTAACCTAGGCAAATCTTCATACCAACTCAGCTCTAAGTTCTTTTTATCACAGAACCCTTTACAAAGGAACTAGTGTAGTATGCTCTTAGCCAGTCTTATAACTAAGGTGATTTTTGTGAATCTCGTAACTATCCACTTAAAATTAACTTGAGATCACAGTGCTATTATTTGATGATCTAAAAAAAAATCACTTTACATTTCCTAATGGTATTACCAGTAGGCATGAAACTTCCAATGCAAAGATATAGGACTTGAGTTAGAAAATATTTAGTGAAACACTGATAGTAGAAAAACTGGCCAAAAGTGAAGTAAGTTTCCTAATTGTTTGCTAGAGTATTTGGCTTATTATATTTTTGCGTGATTTGATCACTTACAGTTGAAGAGAATTTTCCTCAGAGTATGGCAGGCAGTAATTTGAATTTTGAATAAATACTATACAGTTTTTTTGTGTTTTTATTTTTTAATGGTGAAGTGAAGAGCATACAATATCTTGTTGAATGATTCGGCATTTATAAATGTATAATTGGGCATTATTAACGAAACTCTTTGAATGATCTTTGTTTTGGAAGTAGCCATAATAATTCACACCTTTTTTTGGTTATTTTTAATTTTTTTGAATTATTAAAATTTTTTAAAGAGATGGGATCTTGCTGTGTTGCCCAGCCTGGTCTTAAACTCCTGACCTAAAGTGATTGTCCCACTGCAGCCTCGCCAACCCCAGTAGCTGGGATTATACGTATGATCCACTGTGCCTAGCTTGATTATTACATATTTTGAGAAGAAAATAAAAGTCTTTCTAACAAATTTTCTTTTCTTCCCTTCATTACTGCAGACAACGTCATTCCTTTTTTTTTTCCTTCCTTCTCTTCTTGTCTGCTTTCAGCAGTACTTGTGATGCAAGCATATTCTCTAATTGGAAAGTTCTTCATACTTTCCAGGACACGCAAAGAAGCAGCTGGGTACTTGCCTCTCTTTCTTGCCTCCTTTACCATATTTATCACAATATAACTGTCTTATTGTTTTACACTCTTCATACCTAACCATGAGCCACTTGAGAACAGGTGCCATTCCTTTTTTTCTAAGTGCTTAATTATGCCAGTTATGGTATCATGTACGTAGTGGGCTTGTAATTCATATTTTTGAGTGAATGATTTTTAGTTTTCCTTTTTCTCTCTAATGCAATTACAATTTTATCAGAAGATGAAAATAATAATCCAGAGGTGTTGCATATTCTCTTTTCCTCGTACTGAACCAGTTGCTTCACATCTAAAAATGGAAGAATGGAAAATCTCAAATATTAATGATCCATTTTGTTTTGTTTTGTTTTGTTTTGAGACGGAGTCTCACTCTGTCACCCAGGCTGGAGTGCAGTGACGTGGTCTCAGCTCACTGCAACCTCTGCCTCCTGGGTTCAAGTGATTCTCCTACCTCAGCCTCCCAAATAGCTGGGACTACAGGCGCCGGCCCCAAACCCAGCTAATTTTTGTATTTTTAGTAGAGACAGGGTTTCATTATGTTGGCCAGCCTGGTCTTGAACTCCTGACCTTGTGATCCAAACGCCTTGGCCTCCCAAAGTGCTAGGATTACACGTGTGAGTCACCACACCAGGCCAATGATTCTTTTCTTATAGTTCTCTGCCTTATTTCCGGAAGCTCACATATAATTTTCTTGAATGTTTTCAAAGAAAAACAGACCAGGGTTTAAAACAACAAATGTAATCTAGTGATATTTTGGGGTGCATTAATAAATGGGTTTTGTATTATTTCAAGTGCACTCACTCTTTTCATAGTTTCAAACATGAATTTTTTTATTGATTTGCTGACCTATTTCCTATTCTTTAAAAAAAAATCTTGTTTTCACTGTGCACATTATGGAATACTTGGAAAACAGAAATAGATGAAGATTACCCTTAATATCACTTCATAAAATAACTTATATTAATTTTTAGGAATCAGTCTCTTCTTTTAAAATGGGTTCATTATATTGCCCAGTGAATGTCAGAAATTATTTTTTAAAGTATATTTCAGTGAGAAAAATATTTAAAAGCTGAGTTTCACAATCAAAATATGTTATGTTTTCTGTAATAATTTTAATAAAATTTTAAATCTTTTATAGACATTTTATTATTCAGGGTATTTAGCTGAGGGACAAACATATATCTAAAGATCACTGAAGACATCCTGGACATCATGTAAGACTACTAAAATTTGATTTCTAGAAATTGTTATACATTTCATAACCACCAACAGTAAAGAAAGGAGGCAAGGCCAGCTCCTTAAATGGAGTAGCTATGTGTTCCTATATTTGGAGAACAACTTTTTTCCTTCACTTAAGGTGAGTTCCTGGTAGAAATCAACTTTCACTAATAGCATTCCTCAGAATACAAATCATGTTTCCTGTTAACCTACTGAATACTATCTAGCTTATATTATAAAAGCTTTCATAGCGAAATGCTTGATTTATTTTTATAATATATATAGTTTTAAGAACATTTAATTATACAGTTTAATATCCTGATTTTAAAAAAAGCACCATAATGTAAGCATTTTTCTGTTATTTTATACCTACTATAAACATTATTTTTAATGACAAATATTACATTGAGTAAATAATTTTCTTACTGAACCATTTGTATTACTCTGAGTTTTTTTGCTACTGCAAATTATTGCAGTGATTAGCTTTCTTCAAAACCAAAGCAAACAAAAATGTTTTCTATATTTAGATCTATTTCTTTAGGCTAGATTCCCAGGAGTAGAATTCCTGGGTTAAAGAATTTGAGCATTTTTATGCTTCAAATAGTCTATAAAAATGAATATTCCCACAAATGATGTTAGAAAATGCCTTTCCATTGTAATTTGACAATATTGGTTATACTCACTTTTGATATATCTTTGTTAATTTGTTAGATTAAAATATAGTTTTAATTTCCATTTCTCTGACTTTTAGTGATTTTTTGTTTTTTACTTAGAATAATTATTTCCCTTAATTCCATATTTTTTTCATTTGCTTATTTAACTGTATACTTCCCATTTTTAAGGATCGGTAGAAGCATCCAGTCTTCAAACCAACCTCTTATAAGTTAATTTTAAGGTTGTTATATGATAGATCCTGGGCCATACACTATTAGTTACGACTCTTGGTTGTGACTAAAATTTAGCTTGAACTAGCTTAGGCAAAAAGTGTTTAATGGATGATAGGTTTCAAGGAAAAAATGAACTCTGGGAAGGGCCTGTGTAGCTAGACCTTAGGAATAACCTTAACAAAGGACATTACTACCCTTAAGATTTTCCTTTTGTATTTCATCTCTGCTTCTCTAGAGGGTCAACTTTATTCTCTTAAACTGCAAATCAACTTTCTCATAGCAGGAAAAGTGGTTGTCCACAGTTCATAAGTTTTACTTCTTACATCTACTGCTACCTGAAAGGGATTGCCTATTGTTTTCTCTAGTCCCAAGGAAAGAATCCTACAGAAGAGCTCTGATTGACTCAGTGTTGGGGAGATGTTTTATCCACTTAGCCAGCTGGGTTGGGTCATAGAACATGGAAACTTCTGTGGCAGTCTTATGATTGGTTGAAGCTAGAAGAGGGAGTGGAAAGAAACAGTTCCTTGAATAAAGGGTTAATTCCCCACAGAAAGGTAATTATATTGGGTGGCCAAACAGTGGTTACCCACTGCATGAGAAAGACTATCCAGGGATTTTATATGCTTTTCTATCCTTTAGAATTAATCAATAGAAGAATATTTACCAACGCCTACTGGGCATTGTTACCAGAGCTGGGAGAGAGCAATAAGGGCAGTAAGAAACATTCTTGCACTAAAGAATAAATAATGTGATTTTATTAAGGATACTTTAAAATGATGGTAGCAGTATTTAAGACAATGTTTTATATAAACAACATGATTTTATTAAGAACACTTTAATATAATGGAGATTTTAGTTTTTCTAAAAGCTATCTTATATCCCCTTATCCTCAAGAAAAATACACTAAACCCTTTTGCCTCCTTTTTGTGAAATTATATATAAGCTCTATAATACAGAATCATGTTTTTTTTTTTTTACTTTTTAAAATATTTTTATTTTTTTATTTTTAGAGACAGGGTCTCACACTGTGTCACTCATATTTATTCCCAGGCTGGAGTGCGATGGCATGATCATAGCTCACTGCAGCCTTGAACGCTCGGGCTCAAGCAATACTGCTGTCTCAACCTCTGGAGTAACTGGACTGCAGACACGCCACACTACACCCAGCTAGATATATATATGACAGGATCTATCATATAGCAAATATATATATATATATATATTTGGAGAGACAGGGTCTCGCTATGTTGCCCAGGCTGGTCCCAAACTCCTGGCCTTAAGCACACCTCTTCCTTGTCCTCCCAAAGTGCTACGATTATAGGCATGAGCCACTGTGCCCAACCTATGTATGTGTGTGTGTATTTATTTTTTTTTATTAAGTCAGGGTTAAGATTTTTAACTTCTGTTTCTGCACCAGGAAAACTTAAGAGTACCATATTCAGTCAAAGGAAGATCTATTATTTTAATAGACTATCTAAATATTAAAGAAACAGGAAAATAAATGAAGAATCAAAGACCAAATAGAGCTCAAATTCGATTTAATTAAATGAGGTTAATTTAAAAACCTACATTGAGTCAGTCCAGTGCGGGTACTTTTTTCCTGCCTTTTTGGGAGAGGTGGGGAGAGAGAGATAGAGGGGTGAGGGAATAAATATGAATGTATGGTATCAAAGTCAAGCCAATATTTTTAGAAGATAATGTTGGAATATTGAACTCCCTTACCTGTTAGCAAAGGTAAATATTTCTGATCCTTAACTCAATAGGGCAAGCACCCTTAAGAAGGAGTCAAGCTATAAAGGAGTAAATTTATTATCAATGTACAGATTGTACTAAAAGTACATTGATATTATACAGGATAATGACTCTTCAGTATAAAATTAAGACTATCCTAACAGTAAGGGTATATTTGAGTAACTAAATTAGAATTCATAGGAAGATATAAATGGGTGTCATGTTAATTTTCTAAATAAAAGCAGTATAATACCACTGAAGAGGAAATTAAGTAATTGTATTCCCAAATAATTTGGTTTTAAATATTGCTACTGTTCTATACACTTGTGTGTTAGTGACATTTCTGGTCTTGTGCATTCTCTTTTTGACATTTTTGAAGTTTCCATAGCTCCTGAGAATGGGTACAGTGATTTAGTTTCTGCCTGAAGGGTTTCACAAAGTGCTTATGAGTTCTCTGCAAAATAAGAGTTGTTTCTGGTTGTATTAAATACTAAATGATTTATCTATCAATAATAGTTGGATCCCCCCATTCCCTGCTTCCTTAAAAGGTAGTTTAATTTTCTGAATGAATTTAGGTAGTGGTTAATTTCAAAGGAGCAGGTATAGAAGCCACTTCTCATAATTGGCAGTCGTATGTCAATTTCTGAACTCTGTTTCCCAAGACCTCCTGAAGTACTACCTTGTTTTGATTGATTTCTTTGTTGCAGTTCTAATTTTCCCCTTGATATTTGGATACCTTTGCCTGTCCGACCTTAGTAGGATGTAATCCTGAAAATCCCCCACTTCAGTGAATTTTCAGACCCGGAACTTCCACCTGTCATCTTTGATTGCTGCAAAATCAGTTTGAGGGAAAGACTGCAAATAAATTAATCTTTAGAACCAGGAGCTTGACAAAAAAGAGTGCAGATTACAGGTGGTAAAATCCTCGATGATGTGGCCGCTTTCTTGTGTTTTCTAAAGTGTTTCATTATAGAGTGGAGGGAAGTTAAAAGGGAGTTTTAAAAGTATTTCCTTTTAGAATATTTTCATTATGTGTAATATTAATCGATAATCCACATGAAAATAATTAAGAAGGGACTATAATATCATTCTCTAATTTGTTTTACAACTCAGTGATTCTCACATTATCCATTTTAATTATGTTAACTAAGAAAAACTGAGAAATACTGAAGGATAATAAATGTACTTGTTCTCATGGTTGCATTGGCAAGAGGATTATAATGCAAGTCATCTAACTCCCAGTGCAGGACTCTCTCCACTAGAACATGCTGTTAGTACCCACTATTTTCAGGAACACCCTCTGAGTAGACAACATTATGTCCTTACATCAACATAGTGTTCACATTCTGTGCCGAATTGTGACTGTTAGAGAAAACTGTGTGCTAGCACAGTACATACTGTATTGTAGTATTTCATGAATTATTTCATAAAGTTGATGTGTACGGTAAAAGTAAACATTTGTGCTTTTCCAGTAATGTCATTTTTAACCATATCATTTTGATATGAAAGAAGAAAAGTAGACTAGTATAGCCAAGTCAGAGTGAACTAATGTGACCACACATCTCAGAGAGTTTAGTTAGATGGCTTGAGAAGCTATTTGTATGTAACATTCATTTGGATAAATATATACTAAAGAAGTGACCTTGGAAAGTGTTTCAATGTGCATGTTTTTTAAAAGTATAAAAAGAAAAACGTTTTATAAAAATGGACTGAGAATTCTTTTCTGAGTGAATGTTAATAGCTGGAATGGGCTTCTATTAAGGAATGTTTAATACATATGTTTAATCTTATAATTTAGCAGTGTACTATATAAACTTAAATATCTACTATTTCTACATTTTTTCCATTTATAAACCTGAGATATTTTTACAGACATGTAATGAGACTGTCTGGGCTTTTTAAAACAATTTTTTTAGATTTTTAAGTAACACATAGATACATCTTCATTGTAAATAATCTAAATAATGTAGGAAAGAAAACTAAAGTTCCCATGACCAGTCTTCTCAATCCTGATTCTCTCTGTAGAGATCACCCTGCTTTAACATTGATGAAGATCATTTCTATTCTTTTTCTAAAGTTTTAAAGACATATATGTACATATAGAACTATCGTGAATATATATGGTTTCATGTCATATTTGTTCATCTGTGAATTACAGCTTGCATTTTTCCCCATTGATAAATCTTGGCATTCTTTCCATGCTAGGACATACAAGTCTACTTTATTATATTTTTATTTTTTGTATACTATTCCATAGGACCATAGGTTATTTAACTGTTCCTCTAATACTGACCATTATTGGCATATACTGACCATGAAGACTGTTTCCTTTTTTGCTATTAAAATAATATTTCATAACTTCCAAAATTTAAAACGTACCCATTCTTTTATACCACAATTTGTACCAGAGATATATTTGACACTTATAGATTACTCATTGTACGTGCCCAAGTCATTCTTTTCAAAAAATAAGTTTAGATTTATATAAAGTTCCAAAAATAGTACAGATAGTTTTCAGATACACAACTTCCCACAATGTTAGCACTTTGCATAACTAGGGTACAATTATAAAAACTAAGGAATTAACATTGTTATAATACTGTTAACTAATCTACAGAATTTATTTTGGTTTTATCATATTTTTTCAATAATATCTTTTTTTTTCCAGTCCAGTATTCAACCTGGAATTCCACATTGCAGTTAGAGTTCATATCTTCTTATTAGACTTCTTTGACCTGTGACAGTTCCTCAGTCTTTCTTTGTCTTTCATGGTCTCGAGGCTTTTAAATACTGGTCATTTATTTTGTAGAATATCCCTCAATTTGGGTTTGTCTGATGTTTACTAATTATTGTGATGAGATTATTCATTTTTGGCAAGAATACCACAAAAATGATGTGCCCTTCTCAGTGCATCATATCAGGGTGTGTGTCATGATGTCAGTATCTTATTACTGGTGAAGTTAACCTTAATCACGTGGCTAAACTGGTATTTGCTAGGTTCCTTCACTGTATAGTTATTATTTTTCCCTTCGTAATTAATAAATATCTTGTGGTAGATATTTTGAGACTCTCCGAATATTCAGTTTCTTCTCAACCTTTTACCTGTTTTTTCAGTACTATCAGTAGAGTTTGCCTGCAGTGGCTATTATTGTACAGTTTTAATGGTGATTTTCTCATTCACTCGTTCCTTCTACATGTATTAATTGGAAATTTTCTGTGTAATAAAAGAGCTGTCTTTTATTACTCAATTGTTCATTCAGTTATTTATATCAGTGTGGACTCATTCACTTTAATTTTTTGGGTTATAATCCAATACTATCATTATTTTATTGCTTGATTCTTCTTGTTTTGGACATTAGTAGCTCGCTTAGGTCAACATGTGCCCTTTTAACCTGCCTCTGTCCTCTGTTGAGCTCTTCTTTACTTTCTGGCATCACAAAATGTTCTAGGCTTATCTTGAAGTTTTCTTGCCTCAGCACTGGAATCAACCAGTTTTCTAAAATGCCCTGATTTCTTTAATTGGAGAATGATATTTAGAAACCAGCATCTGGGGATTGGGTATGTTCATTGTTACTTTGCTTCTGAGCTTTCATTTTTTTTGTCATTTGTACCCTTCTCTTGGGTCATAACACTAAGAATATTCATTATTTGTTCTTTAATAAATGAATTTAAGGCCATGCATTTACATCTTGGTACTTGATATGGTTTGGCTGTGTGTCCCCTCCCAAATCTCATCTTGAATTGTAGCTCCCATAATTCCCACATGTTGTGGAAGGGACACAGTGGGAGATAATTGAATCATGAATCATGGGGGCAGTTTCCCCCATACTGTTCTTGTGGTAGTGAATAAGTCTCATGAGAGCTGATGGTTTTATAAGGGGAAAACCCCTTTCACATGGTTCTCATTCTCTCGTTGCCGGCCACCATGTAAGATATCCCTTTGCTCTGCCTTCATCTTCCACTATGATTGTGAGGCCTCCACAGCCATGTGGATCTGTGAGTCAATTAAACCTCTTTCTTTTGTAAATTACCCAGTCTTGAGTATGTCTTTATCAGCAGAGTGAAAATGGACTAATACAGTACTTTTATATGTAGTGCTTCCATTATCCTTTATTTCTAAATAGCTTGTAATTTCCATTTTTATTTTCTATTTGGCCCAAGGATTATTAGATGTATGTTTAAATTTTCATTGCTGGTGGGTCATGCCTGCAATCCCAGTACTTTGGGAGGCCAAGGAGGGCTGATCACGAGGTCAGGAGATGGAGATCATCCTGGCTAACACGGTGAAACCCCATCTCTACTAAAAATACAAAAATTTAGCTGGGTGTGGTGGCATGCGCCTGTAGTCCCAGCTACTCAGGAGGCTGAGGCAGGAGAATCGTTTGAACCCGGGAGGCAGAGGTTACAGTGAGCCGAGATCACGCCACTGCACTCCAGCCTGGGAGAGGCGACAGAGTGAGAGTCTGTCTCAAAAAAAAAAAAAAAAAGAAATCTTCAATATCTTTACCTATTTTTATGTTATTGTGATCCTTTCCATTTCTGTGAGAAAAGTATTAATACATCCCATTATGATTAGTAATTTGTTTTCATTGGATTTTTTAACAGATTTTTAAAAATATATTTTGGTGCTATGTTATTTTTCTTGGTGCATTGGGCTTTTTATAAAGATGAAAATTTCTTTGTTCCACTTAATGCTTTTGCTAATTTTTAACACTAACATATATATGTTATCATTTTAAAAAGCATTTTTCTGGACTATACTTTTATAGCTCTTTATTTTCTACCTTCCTTTGTCAAGTTTTTAAAGATGTGAATCCTAAAAACAATGTTTGGTTAACTCCTTTCTCTTAGTATGCTAAGAGAAATAAGAGAAGTCCTTGCCAAGGTATTAAGTGGGGATGAAAAAAGAGGATTCCTTAAAAATCTATTCTTTTCCCAATTAGGCAGAGGTTTTATTGTTATTACTATTTTAGATTCAGGGGGTACGTGTGCAGGCTTGTTACATGGGTGTATTGCGCGATGCTAGGCTTTGAGGTATGAATAATTCTGTCACCCAGGTAGTGAGCATAGTAACTAATAGTTTGTCAGCCCATACTGCTCTCCTTCCCTCCTTTCTCTAGCAGTCTCCAGTGGCTATTGTCCCATGCATATTTAGTCTTTAGCTCTCACTTGTAAGTGAGAACATGTGGTATTTGATTTTCAGTTCCTGTATTAATTTGCTTAGGATAATGGTTTCCATAACAATAGACACTGTGGGAGATAATTGAATCATGGAGGGATTACTAGGGGTTGGGCTGAAAAACTAACTGTTGGGTACTGTGGTCAGCACCTGAGTAACGGGATCATTTGTACCCAAAACCTCAGCATCACCCATATGTCTAGGTGACAAACCTGCACATATATGCCTTGCATCTAAAATAAAAGTTGGGAGGGAAAATGATAATGGACTCCAGCTGCATCCATGTTGCTGCAAAGGACATGACTTCATTCTTTCTTATGGCTACATAGTATTCCATATATTCCATAGTGTATGTGTACCACATTTCTTTATCCGGTCCATCACTGATGAACACCTAGGTTGATTCCGTGTCTTTGCTATTGTGAATTAGTGCTGTGATGAACATGTCTTTTTAGTAAAACAATTTATTTTCCTTTGGGTATATACCCACTAATGTGGTTGCTGGGTTGAATTCTAGTTCTGTTTTAAGTTCTTTGAGAAATCTCCAAACTGCTTTCCACAGTGGCTGAACTAATTTACATTCCCACCAACAATGTATAAGCATTCCCTTTCCTCTGCAGCCCGGCCAGCATGTTATTTTTTGACTTTTTAATAATAGCCATTCTGACTGCTGTGAGATGGTATCTTATTGTGGTTTTGATTTACATTCCTCTAACGACTAGAGATGTTAAACATTTTTTCATATGTTTGTTGGCTGCTTGTATGTCTTCTTTTGTATGTCTTCTTTTGAGAAATATTTTTTCTCAAAAAATTTTCTTTGAGAAATATTTTTTTCTCAAAAAATTTTCTTTGAGAAATATTTTTTCTCAAAAAATTTTCTTTGAGAAATATTTTTTCTCAAAAAATTTTCTTTGAGAAATATTTTTTCTCAAAAAATTTTCTTTGAGAAATATTTTTTATGTCCTTTGTCCACTTTCTAATGCGGTTATTTGTATTTTTCTTGTTGAATTGTTTAAATTCCTTATAGATTCTGGATATTAGACTTGTTGGATGCATAGTTTGTGAATGTTTTCTCCCATTCTCTATGCTGTCTGTTTACTCTGTTGATAGTTTCTTTTGCTGTGCAGAAGCTCTTTAGTTTAGTTAGGTCCCTTTATCAATTTTTGTTTTTCTTTCAGTTGCTTTGAAGAGTTAGCTGTAAATTCTTTGGAAAAACTGATGTTGAGAAGGCTATTTCCTAGGTTTTTTTTCTAGGATTTTTATAGTTTGAGGTCTTACATTTAAATCTTTAATCCATCTTGAGTTAATTTTTGTATATGGTGAGAGGTAGGGGTCCAGTTTCTTTCTTCTGTATATGGCTAGCCAGTTATCTCAGCACTATTTGTTAAGTAGGGGGTTCTTTCCCAATTGCTTTTTTTTGTCGACTTTGTCAAAGATCAGATGATTGTAGGTGTGAGGCTTTTTTTCTGGGTTCTCTATTCTGTTCCATTGGTCTATGTGTCTGTTTTCATACCAGTACTATGCTGTTTTAGTTACTGTAGCCTTATGGTATAGTTTGAAGTCAGATAATGTGATGCCTTTGGCTTTGTTCTTTTTGCTAGTATTGCTTGGGCTATTAGGGCTCTTTTTTTATTCCATGTAAATTTTAGGATTTTTTTTCTTTTTCATTTTTTGATACATTGATATATTTTGTTAAATTGCTTTCCTGAAATGTACCAATTTATACTCTATTTTCTCTGGAGCCTAGAGTATAATCATTGTAATTTCTTTCAAAAAAATTTTTTTATTTCAATAGCTTTTGAGATACAAGTGGCTTTGGGTTACATAAATAAATTGTATAATAATGAATTTTGAGATTTTAGTGTACCTATCACCTGAGTAGTGTACATTGTACCCAATATGTAGTGTTTTATCCTGTGCCCCTCTCCCAGCCTCCTCCTTCTGAGTCTCCAGTGGTTTTCTAGCCACTGGGATAATATTCCAGGAAGGAGTGTAGCTGCCTCTGCTGCACAGTAGAGTTCGCATAAGGAGTGGGGGGTAGCAGGTGGCAGTATGTCTCACCCAGCTCCTATGCACTGGGCAAGGCAGGTTTCTCACTTGCAGTATTCACTTACAGTAGCTAGTTAAATTCCAGACAGCCTATGCTCAGAACTCAAAACTGTCCCAGGCCCTGCCTATCTGCTGTCAAAGTCCAGGCACCCAGTTCCTGTGCCTGTGGCTACTGCACACTTCCCACTCACGCCTGGGTTCTGGCCAAGGGAGTTCATCCCCACTCGAGGATTGTATTGTGAATTTCAGTTGGTAGCTTCTTTCAACCTGCCACCACTGTTTGAATTAATTGGCAGACTTTCATGAGGTTCCCTTTTTATATAGAATCAGGCGTGGCTTCCCTTGGTCCATACTAGAGACTGGGAATGTGCGCAAGGCTCTTCATTGTGCTGCTCTTACTTTTATATGTCCCACCACTCACTATATCAGTTCCAGTGCTGTGTAGGGTTAAGGCTACACAGGTTCCCTGGTATGAGTTTATATCCTGGAGGCAGACTCCCCTACCTCACACTCTGAGGACTTATAGTTTTTTACCTGGCTCATAGTGTAGGCTGCAGCCTGCTGCTTCTTTCAAAGGGCCTGTGATTTCCTTCCATTTTCCTATTAAGGTCCTGCATTGCTTCTTGGAAAAAAGTTAACAGTGTGAATCTCTACTCACTATTTTGACTTTGCAAGTGGAAGAGGCATTCTAACACTGCTTCTAGTTTGCCGTCTTGGAAAATAAAATAGAATAGCTTTTTTCTATTTCTGTGAAAAATGACATTGATAGTTTGATAGGGATAGCACTGAATCTATAAGTTTCTTTTTGCAGTATGGCTATTTTAACGATATTGATTTTTTCAATCCATGAGCATGGAATATTTTTTCATTTATTTGTGTCATGTCTGATTTCTTTCAGCAGTGTGTTGTAGTTCTTGCAGAGATCTTTCACCTCCTTGATTAGATGTATTCCTAGGTATTTCCTTTTTCTGTGGCTATTGTAAATGGGATTGTGTTGCTAATTTGGCTCTCCACTAGAATATTATTACTGTATAGAAATGCTACTGATTTTTAATTTTTTAAAGGTGTATTTAGGCTTCTAGATGTTCTTTCCCACCTGACCTGCTCAAAACATATAATTAACTTTCCCTGAAAGAATTCTGGATGTTGTATCTCTGATCTCAGTGGTACTAGCTGTAGCTAAGGATAGAGAGTGGTAAAAGGGAGGTGGTGAAATGAAAATAAAGAAATTAAGTAAAAGTTGACTTTTGGAATAATGGCATCATATCCCCTGAAATGGCACAAGTGCTTTCCCTTAATTCCCAGAACTTTGTCAAGAGATTGGGAGAATGTCTGGTAAAGAGGAAATATCCAGAGATTTTATCAAAATAACTATTTGCTCACCTGATCATCCCAGAATAAATCTTGTCATTTAACAATTTCTGCACACACACAGAAGCTTATAGGCAGCATTTCAGTCCTTTGTTTTTAATTTTTTTAGGAGAAAATGATAAAATAAATACTCATTTACACAGATTTTAAAATTATCAAGATTTTATTATTTTATCATTTCTTTTCTTTACTGAAGTATTTTAAGGCAAATCATAGTCTCCTAGTCTATGTGCTATTTTATCTTTACTTACTTCACTGTGATGTGACTTTTTAAAAACATAATCACAATATTATCATTCCAAAATTAGCAACAGTTCCTTGGTATTCTCTAATTCCCAGTCCATAATTAAATTTTCTCAATTCTTTAAAAAAATTTTTTACTGTCATTTAAAAAAATATTTTAAGTTCTGTGATACATGTGCAGAACGTGCAGGTTTGTTACATAAGTATACACATGCCATGGTGGTTTGCTGCACCCATCAACCCATTATCTACGTTAGGTATTTCTCCTAATGCTATCCCTCCTCTAGTTTCCCCACCCTCAACAGGCCCTGGTGTGTGATGTTCCCCTCCCCGTGTCCATGTATTCTCATTATTCATCTCCCACTTATGAGTGAGAACATGAGGTGTTTGGTTTTCTGTTCCTGTGTTAGTTTGCTGAGATTGATGGTTTCCAGCTTCATCCATGTCCCTGCAAAGGACATGAACTCAACCTTTTTTATGGCTGCATAGTATTCCATGGTGTATATGTGCCACATTTTCTTTATCCAGTTTATCATTGATGGGCATTTGGGTTGGTTCCAAGTCTTTGCATTGTGAACAGTGCTGCAAAGCCGCTGTCAATTTGTTTTAATTGAGTTTCATGCAAGGTCCATATGTCATATTTAGTTATTAAATTTCTTGCTTCTCTTTTATCTATGAAGGCCTCTCTTCCTTTTTTCCCTTTGTCTTAATTAGCTTGTTGTAGAAACCAGTCCAGTTGTGCTTCTAGTACCTCATTTTTTAAAATTACGCTTTTATTTTAGGTTTGGGGTACATGTACAGGTTTGTTATATAGGTAAACTTGTGTATGGGGGTTTGTTGTACAGATTACTTCGTCACCCAAGTACTAGGCCTAGTATCCAATAGATATTTTTTCTTATCTTTTCCCCCTTCCACCCTCCACTCTCAAGTAGGCCCCAGTGTCTATTGTTCCCCTCTTTGTGTCCATCCATCCTCATCATTTGGCTCCCACTTATAAGTGAGAACATGTGGTATTTGCTTTCCTATTGCTGTGTTAGCTTGCTAAGGATAATGGCCTCCAACCCCATCCATGTTCCTGCAAAGGACATGATCTCATTCTTTTTTTATGGCTGTATCCAATCTGTCGTTAATGGGCATTTAGGTTGATTTTGTGTCTTTGATATTGTGAATAGTGCTGCAGTGAACATACGCATGCAAATGTCTTTATGGTAGAATAATTTATATTCCTTTGCGTTTATACTCAGTAATGGAATTGCTGGGTTGAATGGTAGTTCTGTTTTTAGGTCTTTGAGGAATTGCTACACTGCTTTACAATATGGTTGAACTAATTTACACTCCCACCAAGAGTGTATAAGCATTTCCTTTTCTACATAACCTTGCCAGCATCTGTTATTTTTTTTTTGACTTTTTAGTGATAGCCATTCTGACTGGTGTGAGATGATATCTCATCGGTGTTTTGATTTGCATTTCTCTAATGATCAATTATATTGAGTTTTTTTTCATATGCTCATTGGCCACATGTATGTCTTCTTTTGAGAAGTGTCTGTTCATGTCTTTTGCCCACTTTTTAACGGGGTTGTTTGTTTGTTTTTTTTCTTGTAAATTTGAGTTCCTTATACATGCTGCATATCGGGCCTGTTTTAGATGCGTAGTTTGTAAATTTTGTCTTCCATTCTGTAGGTTGTCTGTTTACTCTGTCGATAGTTTCTTTTGGTGTGCAGAAGCTTTTAAGTTTACTTAGATCAAATTTGTCAATTTTGGCTATTGTTGTGATTGCTTTTGATGTCATTGTCAAGAAATCTTTACCTATTCCTATGTCCAGAATGGTATTGCCTAGGTTGTCTTCCAGGTTTTTTATAGTTTTGGGTTTTACATTTAAGTCTTTAATCCATCTTGAGTTAATTTTTGTATACGGTGTATGGAAGGGGTTTAGTTTCAATCTTCTGCATATGGCTAGCCAGTTACCCTAGCACCATTTATTGAATAGGGAGTCTTTTCCCCATTGCTTGTTTTTGTCAGCTTTGTCAAAGATCAGATGGTTTAGGTGTGTGTTCTTATTTCCGAGCTCTCTCTTCTGTTTCATTGATCTATGTCTCTGTTTTTGTGCCAGTACTATGCTGTTTTGCTTACTGTAGCCCCGTAGCATAGTTTGAAGTTGGATAGTGTGATGCTTTTGGCTTTGTTCCTTTTGCTTAGAATTGCTTTGTCTATTTGGGCTCTTTTTTTTTGTTCCATATGTATTTTAAAATAGTTTTTTTCTAGTTCTGTGAAGAATATCATTGTTAGACAGGAATAGTATTGAATCTCTAAATTGCTTTGGGTGGTATGGACATTTTAATGATACTGATTCTTCCTATCCATGAGCATGTGATGTTTTTCCATTTGTTCATGTCAGCTCTGCTTTCTTTGACCAGTGTTTTATAATTCTCATTGTAGAGATTTTTTACCTCCCTGGTTAACTGTTTTCCTATTCAGTTTGTTTTGTGGTCATTATGAATGAGATTGCATTCCTGATTTGGCTCTTGGCTTGGCTGTTGTTGGTGTATAGGAATAGTAGTGATTTTTGTATGTTGATTTTGTATCCTGAAACTTTGCCAAAGCTGTTTATCAGCTGAAGGAGCTTTTGGGCTGAGACTATGGAGTTTTCCAGATATAGAATCATGTCATCTGCAAACAGGGATAGTTTGACTTCCTCTCTTCCTATTTGGATGTACTTCATTTCTTTCTCTTGCCTGATTACTCTGGTCAGAACTTTCAATAATATGTTGAATAAGAGTAATGAGAGAGGGCATCCTTGTCTTGTTCTTGTTTTCAAGAGGAATGCTTCCAGCCTTTGCCTATTCAGCATGATGTTGGTTGTGAGAGTACTTCATTCTTGATTATGAACAGACAATAAAGGATAATCAGCCTTCTGAGCAGAGCCTCAAACATGAAAGTCAAAAAGTAAAACAAAGAAAGAGTCTCAAAGAGAAACAGAAGCAATGCAGCAAACTGAAGAAAACTTCAAAAACACACTAGAATTGATATCCTCAAAGAAATACAAATTGTATTCATGGGACAAGAAAAGGGGCAATTAAAAAAGGCCTTTTGGAGAATAAGAAAGAAATTTTGGTAGTTAGAATGTGATAGCAGAAGTTAAAACTTTAATAGGATGGAAGATAATGAAAGAACAGAAAGTTAAAAGTGGTAAAATGGTAGAGAAAGGATAAGAAAGCTAAGAGATCTGTTCAGGAAATTCCACAACTAAAATAATAGAAAGATGTTCCAGACAGAAACAGAAAATTGACAGGAAAGCATCATTCTCCCTAGGGTAAATTTCTGAAAACTAAAGAAATCAGTTTCTAAAGCAAGTACTCACCAAGTGCCCAGCACAGAGAATGACAAAAGATTAACATGATGATACATTGTGATCAAATTGAAGAAACCCAAGTGAAAAGTAAAAAATTTTCTTTCAGAAAAAGCTTCTGAAGCAGGGGGAAGGGTGGGGGGCCCACCATATATCACACAAAGAAATAGAAATGGGAATGTCATTGGATTTCTCAGCAGCATC
Source organism: Homo sapiens (assembly GCF_000001405.40). Lineage (NCBI taxonomy): Eukaryota > Metazoa > Chordata > Mammalia > Primates > Hominidae > Homo > Homo sapiens. The sequence goes on from NC_000003.12 coordinate 156,917,578, forward strand.
ACTGGAAATTAGGAAACAATGGAATGGTGTCCTAATCTTCTGCTGAATATTTTTAAAATATGTGATTTTCTATTCAGCCAAACTGTTCCATCTGAGATAAAATAACATGTTCAGACATCCAGAGTCTCAAATTTACTGCCAATGCACAGGACATTTCTGGATGATTTGCTCCTAGGAGTAAACCAAGAAGGAATAAAACTTTGGAACCAGGGTATAGGAGAATTGACATGAAAGAGAGATGAGGACAGTTCCTGAAGTGATGGAGAAGGGAAGTCTTATGATGACAGCTGTGTAGTCAAACCAGAGCATAAACCAGACTATAGCAGGGGAATAGAAAGCTCCAGGAAGGCTACCTCCTGGTAAAGAAATGATTTGGAAAGATTATCTGCTGTGTCTGAAGGTGTCAGGAGAAGAATTACCTCTCTGTCAAAGATGGAAGAAGAGTAAATGATGGTACCCAGAAAACTACGAAAGAAGAAAAGGAGACAATTTTTAATTCCAGAGACAACAAAAAGTTATACAAGAAAGAAATATAATCATGGCATTATATGTTGCTCACAAGTGAATAACAATGTGAATACTAAATATAATTTAATAAAAAGTGCTGATTTAACTATATTGGGAGGATTAAGAGAAAAGTATGTAGATATGTATAGGAGGGTCAATTCTTATTAGCTACCTACCCCAACATCCATTTTGCCTTCTAAGTAACAGAATATATCTGGGGGCTAATCTTTAAAGGACGACACCTTCCATCTGCATGTGCAGCTAAGTATGGCCATGTATCTAAGTTCAGTAGAAGTATTCAGTGGTACTTTAAGGAAATTGGCTTAAAACGGATGGAGTAGGCTGTTATTCTCCTGTTCCTGGCCTGGAATGGGAATGTAATGATTGAAGCTTTCACCACCATCATGGACTATGAGAATAAAGTACAGATACCAAAGATGATAGACCAGAGAGTTGGAAGGATATGAGGCCCTATATGATATTAGCACTGAACTGATTACCAATGCATTTGTTTTATGTGAGATTATATATATATTTATGCCATCATATTCAGGTGGCAATTATATGTAGCATAACTAGATCTTAACTGATATGTATCACTAAATAATATATAAAATTAAATATTAGGAAATATCAGTGTAAACATGTTAGTAATATGGAGGTAAATACTAGGAGAAACAGGAAAAAAACATTAAAAGTAGTTGCCTTTGGCAGTGGGAATTGGGGTAGAAGCACATGGTTACTATTTTTTTAATAACCCTTTTAGTCATTGTTACAGTTTGGATGTGGTTTGTCTTCACCAAAACTCATGATGAAATTTGAGCCTCAAGGCAGCATTGTTGCGAGGTACGGCCTCATCGGAGGTGTTTGGGTCATAGGGGCAGATTCCTCATGAATAGATTAATCCCCTCCCTTGTGAGTGAATGGAGTTTTTGCTCTGGCAAGAATGGATTAGTTCCCAAGATAGCAGGTTGTTAAAATACGAGAGAGAGGTGCATGGCCACCGGCTTTCAGCCCATTGTCCTTGTTCTTTGGCTTGCAAATCGAGAGTACCCTCCAAATCACTTGACTTTCCTTTTCTCAGAGTTGTAGCTCTCCAGAGATGTCCCCAGATGCTCCACATTAAAGATACATCCTTTCATTGCTTTTCCCCCCAGCAATTATGAAGTGTTTACGAGAGAACTAATTCACATTGTCATGGCTGGAAATATTCTCTGATGCTCAACTCCCCTAATCTATAGATTGAATTGGTTTAAGGTCTACTTTGTATTACGAGCATTGTTGTTCCTCCTTGATAGTGACTCTGTTCTTGGTTCAGGTGGACAGCTACTATGCTGCCATTAAAAACCAACTAGGTGGGAGCTTATTCCTCTGCTGAATTGTGCAGTGACTGGTCTCACCCAAGACTTTCATGTGTGAAGAAGCACCTTCTTTTTATCAGGAAATTTCTAGTATTTCCTGTTATTCACAGCTGAATGTAATGCCTCAGTTCATTTTCAATTGTTTGATTATATGTGATAAAAAATGTGTTTTCTTGGCAACCAATATTTCTGTACATTTATATTAGAAATAGATTAATAACTGTTTATAGCAACTACATGCTAACAAATCTTATTGTCTTTTTAATTAATTAAGCTAAACATCCCATTGCCATGATGTATTAGATCAAGTTTATAATGTTACCATGTTATTCTTTGGACGTTGTGAGTTAGTGTTACCATGTGGATAAAATGTCAGACATCTTTTTCCTCATGTAAATTTTACTTTTCATGTTTATATACTTACAGTTTTAATTTTGATCCTAAGTTTTCATTCATTCATTATACCAAAAGTTAACTCATGTTCTTCCAAATGACTTCTTACCGAAAGCCACACACAAAAAAAGAGTTTGGCTTCCTTGATTTTTTTTCTCTCTTGCTTCCTCTCTCATCACGTGATCCCTTTGCACATGCCCCTTTCCACTTTCTGCCATAAGTGGAAGCAACATGAGGCCCTCGCTTGATGCAGCTATCCAATCTTGAATTTTCCAGTCACCAGAATCATGAACAAAGTAAACCTTTCTTTCTTTATAAATTACCTAGCCTCAGGTATTCTTTTACAGCAACACAAAATGGACTAAGGCAGTAATATTTGACATTTTAAATTTGAACATGTATTACTTTAAATGAAATTAAATTAATATTTTTAGTTGTGATTAATATTTATGTTCATTGTAAACAGTTGAACAATACAACAGAATATAGATAAAAAGTTCTGCCTCTCTTCAATATTCTTTACTTTTTCCCCCTGCCCATAAATTCCACTCTCCTCCCCAGGATTTGGTGCCCAAGATTTGGTCTCTCCATATTTTTTCTGTACATTCATATAGCATATATAAGAGACATAGTTTCTTCTTCTACTCCTTTTTATTAAAAGTAAGTATATTTAAATGTTAACTTGAAAATTGTACATATGAGAGAATACTTAAGGAATGTTTGTTTATATTTTTAGAATTTACGATGTAGGCATGCAGTTAAAAAGTCAACAAAATGAATTTCAGAAAGTAAAGAAACAACTGAGTCATTTGCAAGATGAGCTAAAAATTAAATATAGACAATCATACATCTTCAGGTAAGATTAAAGAACTGAAAATTATAAAGATTGAAAAGATATGCTTAATACTAACTTTGTAAATAGCCAAACACATTTTAGTAATATGGTTTCTATATCTGGTGTGATTGAGAAAAGTGAAACAGCATTAGGTTTTCTTTTTTCTTTTTTAAACCATTATCTCAATGAATAGTGTTGCTAATTAAATTTAAATTAGGCATATACCTTGTTCTATTAGTGCCTTGTTACTGTTCTTATTTTGTGGTGGCATTTAGAATGAAAGCACGGTAACTAATTTCCCTCTTCACCAATATTTCTTGGTGTATTTGATCCTCTGAGTGATAGTCCAGTGACAAGAAAAGTAATAGAATAAGAAAACTTCCTAAATAATATTAACATACTCCTTAAATTCAGAAATATCTAGTGTAAAGCATGTTAATTCTGCTTTTATATAATCTTTGGAGGGTTTATAATACCTAAAGATAAAATCCAGCGTTCTAAAGAAACTAAGAAGTACATTTTCTTTCCTAAAATTTGAATTGAGTATATTGAGAATGTTTATGAGAAAGAATAGTTCCTTTTTGAATTGAATAACTTTTAGCTCTTAGAAAAGGGAAGGCAATAAGTTAATTCAACATGGCAAATGACACAGGTTCTGGATGACTAAAAAAGTATGCTGGGTGAGTGTTTTGAATAAGTTTTTGCTTTTTATCTAAGAATTATTACCAGGAATATTCTGAATAAATTTCTGTGGGCTAATAATTTTTAATTCATTTTCTGATAATAACCTATTGAACATCTACCTTTTACAAATGCTTTGCACATAACTGATGCTCAATACATAATTTTTGAATGAATCCATGAATGAAATCCACTCACAAAACAAGTGACCATTTTTATCATCAGAAATCCCCTTGATCCTTTCCTAGAAATCTGGTGTTGAACCAAAAGGATAATGCCATCCAGGTGACCCCAACTTTTGTATTTTAATCAGGACTATCAGTATTCATTTTTGGCTTCTGTAATAGCTTTGGCCCATATCTGCCGCAGAAGGCTCATCTGATTTATCCACCAAAGCCTTCATGGATGGTAAGATTTACCTTTAAAGGCTGGACTGGGACTAGACCAAATAATTATTGCCGCTTCAGGATATTATGGGACTGATACACTTGATCCTAATTATTTTCATTTTTGCATGTTATCTTCAGTATTTCAAATTTTTGAAGAAACATAGACATACAAATGGAGGTGTTATTTTTATTCTGTATTCTAATTTTGTCATCATTTTGAGTTATACTTTTAACAGCTTATTTTGTTCACATGTTTCCATAGATCTGTGATTTTTGCTCATTTTTAGCTGAAAGATCACAAATTAGGAGTCTGGGATCTGACTTACATAAAAATAGTACATACTAAAAACAATTTTGGAAGTAACTAGTCAACTAGACACTTAGTACAAATTACAGTTTGTAATAGATGAATAGAAATAATTATTGTTTTTATACTTTCACTGGTAGATATAATGCATTCCATAGAAAAAGGTATACTGTTAAAAATAAAATCAAACCAAATTTCTAGAGTTCAGTGACTTTTGTTGCATTACTAAAAGCTGATTTTAAGCTAGATTATTGATTATTTTTAAAATATCAGGCCATAAAACTTAGTTGCTCTTAATAAAGAAAAAGAGCTTATAATCTTCTGTCTTGAAGAGGTAAAGGATTCGTAGGCCAAAATGTGGGATGAAAAAAAAAAAAGAGTTAAGGGAAAGAAACATGAGCTTTTTACTCAGATATAATCATCTTTATTTATGGAGCCTAAAAGGAACTTTCAGTAGATCAGTGAACTATGTTTTGGGGTCCATTGCTGTTTTTAATTTCTTCTCTCTTTTGTTTAATTACAATTGGGCTTAATCACTAGCCTCCAGCAAAGTATTCTTTCATGATCTGTGTTTTCCCTGACATCATTTCCAGCCTGTGTCTTGCAAGGGCTCAGCATATTAGTTGGCACATTGGTTGGCTCAGCACATCTGCTACTCAGAATAAAGTGTCTTTTGAAAATGCAAATTAATTGTAGAAGGCCTATAAAATAGATATTAAAAACCTGAATGAAATATAGATATATTTCACCTCACAAAGTTGTGTTTAAGTTCAATATTCCAAATCAGACCATATTTGAAATATTCTAGCAGTATTTACTTTTAGAGGATTACTATTGTGAATCTTTTATAAATTATTTGAAATAAAGAGTACTTATCCTTTAATTTTTCTTATTTGTAAAGCTAGACCTTATCATCTCTAAAATTTTCAATGTCAACTCCAAAAATTTCTCTTGCAGCTCTCTCAGTTTCACTTCGCTTCTTCAGTCTAATTAAGGATGCTAATATTTTTTCTTAATTTCCCAACCATATTTTGGCTTTACTTTGTTTTCTATCCTTGATCCCATAGTTTATTACCCCGTATCTTTTTAAAAACATCCTCATTGAGATATAATTTGCATACCACAAAATTCACCTATCTTAAGGAGACAATTTAATTATTTTTAATAAACCTACAGAGTTGTGCCACCAAATGTTAGCTATTAGATTGGCAACCACATCCAATATTAGAACACTTGACTAATTCCAGAAAAGACCCTCCAGACCCTCATGCCATCTTCAATCAATCTCTGTGCTCACCTTCAGCTCACCAGGCAACTAACATTTCTCTTTCTATAGATTTATACTTTTCTCGACATTTCAGATATATGGAATCATACAATATGTTGTCTTTACATCTGGCTTTTACTAATTATGTTTTTGAGGTTCACTCATGTTGTGGCACTTATCCATACTTTTGTTCCTTTTTATTGCTGAACAGTATTCCACTGTATGGATATACCACATTTTATTTATCCATTTACCAGTTGATGGATATTTGGATTGTTTCCACTTGTTGGTGCTTATGAATAATGCTGCTGTAAACATTCATATACAAGTCTTTGTGTGGACATATGTTTTCAATTCTTTGGAGTAGATACCTAAGTGTGGAATCACTAGGTCATATGATTAATGTATATTTAATTTTTTTTTTTTTTGAGACGGAGGCTCGCTCTATCACCCAGGCTTGAGTGCAGTGGCATGATCTTGGCTCACTGCAACCTCCGCCTCCCAGGTTCACGCCATTCTCCTGCCTCAGCCTCCCGAGTAGCTGGGACTACAGGTGCCCGCCGCCATGCCTGGCTAATTTTTTGTATTTTTAGTAGAGATGGGATTTCACCGTGTTAGCCAGGATGGTCTCAATCTCTTGACCTCATGATCTGCCTACCTCAGCCTCCCAAAGTGCTGGGATTATAGGCGTGAGCTACCGCGCCCTGCCAATCAATATTTAATTTTTTAACTGCCAACCTGTTTTCCAAAGGGGCTGCACATTTTACATTCCCACACCATGAATGAGGATTCTAGTTTCTCCATGTTTTTGTCAACACTCCCTATTGTCTGCCTGTTTTGTTGTAGTCATTCTAGTGGGTGTAAAATAGTATCTCATTGTAGCTTTGATTTGTGTTTCCCAAGTTACTAATGATGTTGAGCATCTTTTCATTTGTTTGTTAATCATTTGTATATCTTACTAGTGAAACATCTCAAATATTTTGCCAATTTTTAATTGGTTTATTTTCTTATTATGTGATTGTAAGAGTTCTTTCTATATTCTGGGTATAAGGCCTTTATATGAACTATGATTTGCAAATATTTTCTCCCAGTGGCTTATCTTTTTATTTTCTTAATAATGTCTTTTGAAAAGCAAAGTTTGTTATTTTTAATGAAATATAATTTATCTGTTTTATAGATTGTGCTTTTGCTGATGTCTGTAAGAACTCTGTCTAAGCCGGTCAGAAGGATTTTCTCCTGTATTTTCTTCTAAGTGTTTTATAGTTTTAGCTCTTCTTTAGATCTATGATCTATTTCAGCTAACTTCTGTGTATGATATGAGGTAAGAATCTAAATTCATCCTGTTTCACGTGGATATTCAATTGTTCCAGTGCTGTTTGTTAGAGGCCAATTTTTCCTTATTGAATTGCCTCAGCATCTTTGCCTAAAATAAATTCACCATAAATGTAAAGGATTATTTTTGGATTTTCTATTCTATTCCATTAATCTATATGTCTTATGTCAGTGCCACACTCTCTTAAGTACTACAGTTTTTAATAAATTTTAAAATCAAGAAATATAATTACTCTAACTTCCTTCTTCGTTTTCAAAATTGTTTTTGCTATTCTGCGCCCTCCATAATGAATTTTAGGATCAGCTTGTGAATTTCTGCAAAGTAACCTGCTGGGATTTTGATAGGTATAGTATTGAATCTATAGATCAATTTGGGGAGAATTTCTACCTTAAAATTTTTGTATCTTTCAATTCATGAATGTGGTATGTTTTTCCATGGAGATCTTTAGCCCTCTCAAAAATGTTTTGTTTTCTTGAACTTCTTTTATTACAATTTATTTCTAAGTGTTTTATTCTTTTTATGTTGTTATGAATTGGGACTGTTAATTTTATCTTGGGGATTGGTCATTGTTAATATACAGAAATAAAATTGATTTTTGTATATGTATCATGTATCCTGTGACCTTGATGAATTTGTTTATTAATTCTAGTATTTGTGTGTGTGTGTGTGTGTGTGTGTGTGTTTGTGTGTGTCTTCTTTAGAATTTTCTACATAGAGGAGTTTGCTAACACTCCAAGTCCTTTTACCTCTACTCATTTAGTTGTATTTACCCTTAAATCCTTTGGACTTCATACCTACTTCCAGGTTGTTAAACACTAATTCCTTAGTGAGGAATCCTCAATATTCTGCTTAGGCTCCTTGGTGTTATTCATCTCTTAGCAACTGTTTTTCTTGCCTCTTATTTCACAGAGAATGTTAAGGTTACCAATAGAGGCAAATTTATTGTGAACCAGATGATGCTTAAGTTTCAGAGTCTCTCACTTAGGACTTCCTTCCAAGGTTCTGGGAGGGCTCCTGGTGAAAGCGAGATGAATGGGTTGTAATTTGGTTAAAAATTCTCTTTCTACTCAGGTTTTTCCTCTCTCTCACTTTTTAAAAAAATTAATTATTAATTTTTTGTGATTCTCACTTCTGTTGTCAGTATACCATTGGAGTAGTCACAGGCATTTGGAGGATCTGAGTAAGGGAAAGTTGGCTTAGGAGTATACCATTATAATTGCCATTTAGTAAGATATTTTAGAATGCTTTAATGAAACAAGCAAGAAATTACATTAATTTGGATGTATATAATTTTTAAAATTAATCAAATAAAAGCATTTATAAGCAAATTAGGCAATAGAAATTATTGTGGCCTAAAGAAGCAAATCGTAATAACTTTTTTGATTACATCAAAGCAAATTTATTAATAGAAAGATAAATTTTTTAAAGTTCTTGGGTTATTTGATAATCTAATGAAAGGGAGTTAATTATTCAGATACATTGGAGAAAGATTTAAGTTTTCACTGATTTCACAAATATGAGTAACATCACTGAATGTAACATACAAATCATAATATACTACTTCAGGGAGACCATCTAAGATAAACTGGCCCATGAGTTTCATTGTTTCAAAGACAATTTAATCACTTTCCAAGAAAACCTGAAATGACAATCTTATGTATTAGAAAAGTTTAATAAGAATTTCCCCAAATTGGACAATGCTAAGAATTTGTGTGGCATTACTGATTACCAAATTACTAATTACTAATTACCAAAGGCCTCCCAGATAAAATGGACTCTATTCAGCCTTTTTCTGCAGACTTAAACACTGATCACTACATTTTTCTTAAAATTTCCATATCCCCTGGCTTTTCTGACATTATTCTTTTGGCTTATCTTCTTACTCACTGATGAGTTCCCCCTAGTCTCCTTTGAGGGATTCTTTTTAGTTTCAGTCCCTTAAATGTTTGTGTTGTCCAGTGTGTTATCCCTAGCACTTCTCACTTTTCCATTTCTCCAACTGAGGAGGAATCTATTTTATTTACTCTTTCATTCAATATTTGTTGAGCACATATTATGCAGTAGGCACTGTGCTAGATGCTAGAGAGACTGTGATGAGCAAGATAGATATAACCTCTGCCTTATAGATCTTAGTCTACTCAGGGATGTAAATATTGACAAAATAATTATACTCTCATGGCTTCAGTCATCACCTTTTTGCTGCTCTCAAATCTATGTCTGTATTTTATTTGATTATTAAGATAATTAAAACCAGAATAAAATCACTGAGATGACAAAAATGTGATTACTTTGAGCTGTTGGATTTTATGAAGCAAATGCACTGGATCAGTCACTTTGAATTGTTTTATTTATTATTACCCCAGATTTTTCACTACCTATATAACCATGGTATGCGGGACAAATGCTGTATAAGACTTTAAGATTGTCATTTAGGATCTAAGACTAAATTTCTCTGACCTAATTTTCTTCACTAAATGTTTACGGTTGAATAAAAAAAGATTAATAGAACAAATGTATATGAAGGTAGTTAGCTATCTTTCTTTGTAGTTAAAATAATGGCAAAATGGAAATGAGTTAGAGTGACCATACACTTCACTCTATCTGAGATATTCCTAGTTTGTGTTTTGTCTCAGCATAATATGAATACCACCTTCTTTTGGTTTCAAAATTGTCTCCAATTAGACACTAGATTATATGGTCACTCTAAAACTATTTTTGAAGAAATGTTTGTTATGCTTACTATTTTTTAAAATCCTATTTTTTTTTTTTACTTTGCAGTCAAAGATTGTCAGAGTACAAATATTTCTGGAATAAGACTCTTTCATTACTTACTTTTACTAAAAGGGAACTAACCAGTATTAAAAATGAAGTATATGATAATTACCAAAACTGGACTTCATTGAAAGGAGCAGTTTTTCTACAAATTAAATCTATAAGTGAAACAGCCTTGACAGGTTTGTTACATATATTTAGAATATAATTGTCCCTTTTTGGTAAATGGTACATCATAAGTAATAAAATAATGATATTTCATTTTATTTGATGGGAATTAGGATTAACTTTGTTATCACTTGTTAGAGTAGATGACCATTAAGATCTATTTCAACTCTGAAATTTAATTATTATAGGTTTATCTAAGATAATCTATGATACATCTATCCTGAACTGTGGCCAGAAGTCTGTTCATTACTGTTAAAAGTAGTAATCTATGTTTTTAAAACTCCTCTTCTCTTAATGACTGAGTAGCTCATATTAGGTCAGCCTTCTTATAGATAACAACTTTAATTCTAGAAAAATAGCTACCTAAAGACAATAAAGAGTGACCCAAAGCAAAAACATAATGGAGGCAGTATCAAAAATTAAAAGAAGGCATACTAAGTGAAAGATGCCAATTTGAAAGGGCTACGTACTATATTATTCCAACTATATGACATTCTGGAAAAGACAAAACTATGGAACAGTAAAACAATCAGTGGTTGCCATGAGTTCCAGACAGAGGATAAATGAGAAGAGCAAAGAAGATTTTTAGGGCAGTGAAACTAATCTGTACAATGCTACAATAGTGGAGACATGTCATTATACATTTGTCAAAGTTCATAGAATGTACAACATGAAGACTGAACCCTAATGTAAACTATAAATTTTGGGTAGTAATAATAATGTTGATTCATCAATTGTAACAAGTACTACTCTCCCACAGGGTGTCCCTAGTGGGGGAGCTTTTGCATATGTGGAGAGAGGGGGATATGGGAATTCTCTGTACTTTCTGCTCAATTTTCCTGTGAACCTAAAACTGTTCTAAAAAATAGTCCATTAAAGGTTTTTATTAATGTTGAAAAATGCATGGCAGTGAGTGAATTTTTTCTTTTTAAGGATATTGGACTGAGAGCAAGGTACAGTTTGCTCCATGCAAAGAAGCTAAAAATCTGATAGAAAACTGTAGACTAGAGGATAGAGATCAAGGCAACCTCAGCCTCTGAGAAGTAAGGGGATATCCCAGAGAAGTGAAAGCCAGAGAAAGAGAGCTCAAATTTTGCATATAAACTCTTTCCAAATCTCAGGCTTATCCCTGAAATACATGTGCTCAATGAAGATGCTAAATAGTCCATCTGAAACTAAAGTAGTTGATATTTTAGCTGTCACCTACCCTATGAGAAACAGATTTAACACTCTAAGTTTAGCCAGATTAACTTCTTGTTAAAATAATACAAGAAAAAAATAAATACTCTTTGGAATAACATAATAAGAATCCAGAGTCTCTATAACATAACACCCACAATGTTCAGTATACAATCCAAAATTACTCATATCCAAAAGAATAGAGACCAGTTGACTCAGATGATATAATTAGCTAACCAGGATTTCAAATTAGCTATCATAACAATGCTCAAGGATATAAAGGAAAATATACTAGTAATGAATAAAAAGAAAATCTGAGTAAGCAACTATTAAAAAATGAGAAATTCAAGAATTGAAAAATATGGTGTCTGAAATAAAATTTCACTGGATGGACTTTTTTTTTTTAAAGTCAAGAACTTATTTTATTTTATTTTAAAATAAACATTGAAGATCCCCCATTTCCCACCACCCTACAAAACTTTTGAATGTGGAATGTTCAACAGCCTATCCATTTTGGTAGGTTACAAAATCAGCAAAAACTCCAGTTGTCTAATGATGAATGTTTGAGAATAGTTTTGTTTTTAAATAGCTGAGCACCTACTGGAAAAATTCCTGGGCTAAATGCTGAAAATAAAATTTAATTTCTGCACAGAAAATACCATTAACATAGTAGACTTTGCTTAAAGGTGGGATTAATTCTCCATGAAGTCAGAATGAGACAATAGCAGCATTAAGTTCGTAGGCACACAGAACTAGTGCTCAAACTGCTAGCACAAATTCCAATGGGATGCCGCAAATGAACACTCAGCAAGTGAATTAATCTGATTCACGGGATTATGTTTAATCGCCGAAAACACACTGGCCAGTGTACCATAATATGTTACCAGAAGAGTTATTATCTATGTGTTCTCCCTTTCAGAAAACTTATGTTAAAGGGACTGTTTTCATCCCATAAAGACAGGACTACAATTGTCAGCTTTCTATTACCTGGATATGGAAGGAAACTATTTTTACTCTGCATGTTCTGTTCTAAGCGTCATCTTGAGCCTTGCACATGATACTCAGATTCCTCACCCTTGCTTAGGAGTAAAACAATATACTTTATGAGGTGATAATATTTTCCATAGTTATTTGAAGTGGCTTGAAAAAGGCAAGATTGACTTTTTTGACATTGGATAAAATCTACAAATCAGCCCTCGAGTTATTCAATGATAACTGACAAACTAAAATATTTCCCTAGAAAGGAAGATGAAAGGAGTGAAGTGTGGTTTGGCAGAACAACTGCATTTCACAGCTTTTCCAGTTAAATTGGAGCACTGAATGTTCAGATGCATACCAAATTATGCATGGGTCCTAATCACACATATAAGGCTGGATGGACTTTTATAGCACATTGCATTTACAGAAAAAAGAATCAGTGAATTTAAAGATAAATCAATAGAAATTATTCAATTTGAAGAAGAGAGATAAACATTGAAAAAAAATGAATGGAGCCCCAGCATCCTCAGGAAAGAATAAAATGCACCATAAGTGACAAATATGAGTAAATATAAAAGACTCCTTTTCCTTTAAATTTTTTTTTAAAAACTCACATGCTTATTTAAAGCAAGCATTATTATTTTGTGGGGCTTATAAAGTATGTCAATGTAACATGACAACTAGAGTCTAAAGGATGGAGAGGTGGATAAATGGATTCATTTTGTTGGACTATATTTGTATTTTATGTGACATGGCAGAATATTTTATTTAAACCAATAAATTAAGTATGTATATTATAATTTCTAGAGCAACTACTAAAAAATTAAATACAGAAACATGTAGCTAAAAAGCTAATACATAATTTAAAAGATAACTCTTTAAAAAGTATTCAAACAATCCAAAAAATGGCATTTTAAACATCATCTAAGATTTATACAGTAATCAAATCAGTATAGTGCTGGCATATGGATCAACAAAGATGAATAGAACAAGATAGCCTGGTAAATGACCCTACTTATATAATCAATTGACTTCTGACAAAGGCACCAAAACAATCCAATGGGAAAAAGAAAGTCTTTCAACAAATTGTGCTGGTATGACTGAATACCCATGTAGAAAAATATACCTCAACTTCTGCCTCACACCATACATGAGAATTAATTTAGGATAAATCATAAGCCTAAATGCAAAGGATAAAATTATAAAACTACTAGAAGAAACATAGCAAAATATCTTCATAACTTGATGGTAAATGAAGATTTCATGGATAGGACATAGAAGTAAGAACTATAAAAGAATGAAAATTGGTGAATTAGACTTTATCAGAATTAAAACATCTGTTCATCAGAAGCTATCAGTATGAAAATGAATAGTTAAATCAGAGAAAATATTTACAAAATGTGTGACAAAGAACTGTTGTCCCAGTTACATAAAGAATGCCTACAAGTCAATAATAAAAGTATTCAATCAAAAATGACCAAAAGATCTGAACAGACACTTTTACACAGGAAGATACATAAATGGCCAATAAAGACACAAGAATGTTCTCAACATTATTAGCTCATCTGCTTGACTAAAATGAAACAGTCTGATGGCAGCAGATGTTACTGAGGAAGTAGAGTACTGGAATCCTTTTACAAATTGGTGAGAATGTAAATTGCTACAGCCACTTAGAGAAAATATCTGACAGTTTCTCATTAAACTAAATATACATCTATCCGAAGTCCCTGAAATTCCACCCTTTGGTATTTACCCAAGGAATGTGAAAATGTACGTCCACAAGATACTTATATGAGAATATTCAGCAACTTTATTCAAGCTTAATTCAAAATATCCTAAAACTGCAAAAAACTCAGGAGTACATCAGTAGTAGAATGGGTTCTCTAAAAGAAAACAATTGAATATATTCAGTGGGATATATAATGAACTGCAGATAATGTGGTAGCATGGATAATCCTCAAAAATATTATGGTACTTGAAAATAGCCTTACACAAATAATACATATTGTATTATTTCATTTATACGATGTTCTAGAAACAGGCAAAACTAATCTACACTGGGGAAAAAATGTTTGCCATGGAGGGTAGGATTGACTGGAAAAGCACAAAGGCACTTTCTTTGATGATAGAAATTCTTTATGTTTTGATAGGGGTTTTTATTACATAGTGGATGCATTTGCCAACACTCATCTATTGGTGCACTTGAGATTTGTACAATTCTGTAGGTAAATTTACTCAAAAATAAAAAGAAATATATGCAAATGTTGAACTCTTATCTGTATGATGAAATGTTTAGGAGAGAAGTGTATTTATGTCTGTAACTCACCTTGATATTCACAGGATGGATTGATGGATGTATAAAGTATTTGACAGGTATATAGTTATGTGACAAAGAAAATATAGTAAAATATTAATTGTAGAATCTAAGTAATGTGTATATTTGTGTCCAGTATACAATAATTTTAACTTCTCTATATGTTTTAAAACTTTCATAGTTAAATATTGGAAAAAAATCATGTTAAACCATGAAACTTTAATTTCACTTCTAACAATTTTGTTATGTAATATGTGCGTTCAGAAATGCATTTTTATATGACAATATGCTTTTAAATTTGAAATTTAACTTTAATAATTAAATTTAGGCAAATAGAGGAATATTATAACAAACATGTAAAAAGTATATCTATATTAGGCCATGTGTGGTGGCTCATGCCTAGCACTATGGGAGACTGAGGCAAGTCAATAGCTTGAGCTCAAGAGTTTGAGACCAGCCTGGGCAACATGGCAAAGCCCTCTCTCTACTAAAAATACAAAAATTAGCCAGGTGTGGTGGTGCGCACCTGTAACTCCAGCTACTTGGGAGGCTGAGGCATGAGAATTGCTTGAACCTGGGAGGTGGAGGTTGCAGTGAACATGTCACTGCACTCCAGCCTGGGTGACAGAGTGAGACTCTGTCTCAAAAAAAAAAAAAAAAAAGGGTATCTATGTTATTAAATGGAGCAGCTGGGCATGGTGGCTCACGCCTGTAATCCCGGCAATTTGGGAGGCCGCGGCAGGCGGATCCCGAGGTCAGGAGATCGAGACCATCCTGGCTAACATGATGAAAACCTGTCTCTACTAAAAATACAAAAAATTAGCCAGGCGTGGTGGCGGGCACCTGTAGTCCCAGCAGCTTGGGAGGCTGAGGCAGCAGAATGGCGTGAACCCGGGAGGCAGAGCTTGCAGTGAGCAGAGATCATGCCACTGCACTCCAGCCTGGGAGACAGAGTGAGACTCCGTCTCAAACAAACAAACAAACAAACAAACAAAAATGGAGCAGACACTGAGAGTGTGCTAGTCGCTAGTCATATTCTTTGGACCTTTAGTGTTCTTCTACTGACTTTTAACTGCCAGTATCTGCATATCTGTGCCAGAGGAATCTTGCTTCTGCCACAGTTAATAATACAGATATACTTTACATAATTATATTTCATTTCGTAAATATACTATATATTATGCATCATTTCCATTATTTAAACATTCATATATGTCTTTTTTTGGATATATGTTTTTGTTATTTTTTGGGTAAATACCTAGGAGTGGAATGGCTGAATTGTATAGTAGAGTATATTCAACATTTTAAGAAACTACCCAAGACTTTTCCAAAGTGGTTGTTCCTTTCACATTTTTACCAGCAGTGTATGAGACCTCCAGTTGCTGCATATCTTTGCCAACACTTAGTATTGTCAGTCTCTTTAATTTTATTCTTTGTAATGAGGTATTCATATAAAAGATATGAATGTACATGTAAAATAGTCGTCTTGGTAATGTTCTCATTTTTGAGTGTCTTGTCACATCTTATAGAATATTTACCTCATAATATCAATAATTGTGAATTCAATCATACTAGAATTGGAGAGACATCAGCTCTAATGTTTTTGTTTACATTTGTGTTGCATTATTAATATTTTCTGTAATCCATGTTTTCTTTTTCAGGAAACTTTTAAGCCAACTATCCATTTTAGGACTGTTAATTAAACCACATAGCTGGGAACAGTTATATCAGTTATATAGTGCAGTGTATCACAATCTTAGAAAAATAACAAACAAGGAGACACTGACATCCCCTTTGTGTAGAGGAACAACCCTCCTCCCTTAGAAAGCTTCACTCACTTTGTTCTCCCTGAATGTGACCTGTGGCCATGACTGTACAATATGTGAAAAGAGGGAGGCCCTTCAGATTTATGCAGGTGAAATTGACTAAGGGTCTCCCAAACAAGTAGCTGTCCCTTCTTGTAATTGAAAGTCTCAGTTCAAATGTCACCTCCTCAGAAACATCTTTGCTGACTGCTCTAGTTAAAGTTGTCTTCCTTTATAGTCCTTGTCTATCCTGATTTTCTCTTTCAATTTTAATAATATTTACTACTACCAGAAATATTCATTTATTGATTTATGTGTTTACTGCCAGTCTCCTCCTACTGGTTGTAATCTTAGTGAAAACAGGAATTTTGATTGTTTTGCTGAGTGCTGTATTACTAGTGTTTTAAGAGAATTGAACCTGTCACATAGTAGGTGCTCAGTGAACTTTGTGGAATTGAAATGGAAGTAACAGTACACCCACATTTTCATAGTCAGATTCCTGATAATATTTATATTAGGTTTTGGAACCTCTGAGTATTCTCTAAGGTTTCTTAGTAACGCTTACATATTCTGTAATCTGGAAAGGG
This sequence comes from Homo sapiens, assembly GCF_000001405.40. Lineage (NCBI taxonomy): Eukaryota > Metazoa > Chordata > Mammalia > Primates > Hominidae > Homo > Homo sapiens. The sequence goes on from NC_000003.12 coordinate 156,934,454, forward strand.
AGCAGAGGCTTCATTCATTAGCTACACTTTCTTGAAAACCAAAGGCAAATTTAATGTAGGCTATTATCAGTAGTACAATTCCAAATTGGATTTTAAAATTCAGTTTGGAAGTTTTTTATTGAATTTATAAGAGGAAAATATAAACACTTAATAATTAGTTTTTCCCAAATTCAAAAGGCTTTAAGGATTGTTGGAATCATAAACATAAAACAACCTCAATATAAAAACATAGAAAATACAGAAAAGGGGCAAAAAAAAGAAACATTGACATAAGTCATCTGTAATATCATGACACAGAGATAACTGCTGTTAACATTTTGATATAGAGCTTTCTAAACTTTCTTTCTGTGCATATATATATATACATACATATACACTTAAAATATATCATGAAAATATAGTCATGCCAATTAACTATGTTGACAGTATTTTATTATAGGTATGTATCTTATTTAACTAATTTTCTATTCATGAACATGTAGGTTGATCATAGTCTGGCTATTGTAAATAAGGCATCACTGAACATCTTTATACATGCATCTTTAGGATTTTATCCTGTTTTTTTTCTTTAACATAGTTAATTCCTAGAAGTGGAATTGCAGAATCAAAGTATATGCCCATTTTGCTTTTCATTTGCAAGTGTTACATTTTATATTTTATCAAACACGAAGAAATAGGAGTTAGTTTTCAACCCTTGACTTTTATATTTACCATTATAGTATATCACTTTTGCCTCAGAAGCTCAAGAACCTTGTTTAGAAGTTACACAGTGGTGATGACAGAAGCTCAAAGGTGGAAATGCACACATGAGGACAGTATATTCAATTCCCAAGCAAGAACTTGGTGAACACAACAGATGGGGTGTGTCAAACTGAAGCTATGTTATTATAAGAGCTTTTTTTGCCTTTTAAAAAACTTTCTTTTTAGTGCTATCACAGCAATCAAATTTCCAGGGCATGGATGTACAAACATGTGCAAATATGTGTAAAACTTTAAAGGTGCTGATGCTTGCCTTTTTAACAGTTTCTTTGATCAATTTGAACACATTTTAAATTTAACAGCAATCCTAATAGCTATATAAACATGCCAATTTTGTAGCATAGAATTTTAAGCAAATAATCTATATCTTAAATTTAAGTATAGAAAAAAATAAATTGAATGTAATGTTTTTAAAGGATAATTCTAGTAAAAGTTGAGGAACTATCCCACTTACATGAAAAGATGACCGGGAGCCTAAGAAGCATGCAGACCTTCGCTTTCCCATAGGTTAGCCACCAACCACATGGGGCTATTGAGCACTAGAAATGTGGATATAGCCTTTTGTTGAAATAACATTTTGGATATGTGGAATGAAATAAAATACACTATTAAAATTAATTTTGTGTGTTCTGATATTTTTAATATGGCTACTGGAAATTTAAAATTACATGTGTGGTTTGCATTATACATATTTCTATTGGATATGACTAGTACGGATAAATAGTGAAATGAACATTTTAACATAAAATTTGTAAATGTTATAATTTATTTGATATTCACAAAAATGATGAGGACGATGTGAATTATAGCTGAGGAACACTTTACAGTCACTCTTAATCCTAACCTGTTAATGTGTATTTCTAGTTGTCTTTATTATTTAATTCATCTTTTACTTAAATTTATTAAACAAACACTATTCAGAGTCAGGAATGTTAGAACTCTTGGCAGAAATCAGGAAAAATCTGGAGAGTAACATAGGATCCTTGATAGTGTTGCCCTTTTACAGACTGACCACCAGGTCTGGAGAAGGGCCGCACAAACCAATATGTCTGCACTCAACCACACTGGCCTCTGTGTTGCTGGCTTCAATTCTTAATACATAAAGATATATAGGCATTCTAAGAGCAGGTCTCTAGAGTCAGCCAAAGTTTATATCCTGACTCTGCCACTTAACAAAAAACTGGGGCTTCAGTGTCCTCATCTGTACAATGAGAACACACACACACACACACACACACACACACACACACACACCCCCCGTATGCCTAGCAGAATAAGGAAGCAAGATATGTTAGCTATAACTATTCTTTTTTATTCTAAAGTCTATGTTTTTTCTATCGTATTCGTTTCTCATTTCTGTTGCAGAATGGTTCATTGTAATGGGTTTATAGCTTTTCTCCTAAATAAAGTAACAAAAAGGGTTTTCACATGTAGTTTTTAAAAAATCTACATAATTAGACCAGAAAAATATACTCAACTGATTTTTGATAAGGACACACAGGAAATTCAGTGGAGGAAGAATAGCCTTTTCAACAAATGATGCTGGAACAATTGGATATCCTTAGGTAAAGAAAAAGAGAAAGTGCCTTGTCCTAAAGTGCACACTTTTACAAAAACTAACTCAGTGGATTAACCGCAGACTTAAATAGAAAATATGAAACTTTTAGGGAAAAAAATCTTTGGGGCCTAGGATTAGGCAAAGAGTTCTTAAACTTGAACTAAAATCATGGTACCTAAAAGGGAAAATTGATAACTTGGATCTCAGTAAAATTTAAGAACTTTTGCAGAGTGTAGTAGCACATGCCTGTAGTCCCAGCTACTCAGGACGCTGAGGTGGGAGGACTGCTTAATCCCAGGAGTTTGAGGCTGCTGTGTTCTATGGTCATACCTGTGAGCAGCCACTGCACTCCAGTGTGGACAACATTGCAAAACCCTGTCCTAAAAAAAACAAGAACAGCAAGAACAACAACAACAACAACAACAACAACTTCTGCTCTGTGAAAGACCTGTTAAAAAGGATAAAAAGCTACAGTACAGACTAGGAGAAAATACTTGCAAATCACATATCCAACAAAGGATTTATATGTAGAATATATAAATAACTCCCAAAATTCTATATTAAAAATATCCAGTTAGAAAATAGGCAAAAGATATCAGTAGAAATTTAACCGAAGATGATATATAGATGGCAAATAAGTACATGAAAAAAATGTTCAACATCATTAGCCATGAGCAAAATGCAAAACCACAATTAAATACAACTACACATTTATTAGAATGTCTAAAATTGAAAAGACTGACCATATTAAGTCTTGACATGGATCAGAGAAACTAGTTTACTCAGCACTGCTGGTAGGAATATAAAATGGTTCAGCCATTCTAGAAAATAATTTTGCATTTTCCTCTGAAACTGAAGATGCACTTACCACATGACGCAACATTTGCACTCTTGAGCATTTATCCCAGATAAATGAAAATCTGTGTTCTCAAAAATACTTGTATGTAAGTGTTCATAGCGGCTGTAGTCATAATAGCCCCAAATTGGAAACAACCCAAATGTCCTTCAATGGATGAAAGACAAATGTCCTATGTCCATATCATGTAATACTGTTCAGCAACAGAAGGGAACAAATTATTAATATATGTAACAACTTGAATGAACCTCAACTAAATTATGCTGAGTGAAAATAGCCAGTCTTAAAAGTTTACATAAGATATGATTTTGTTTATATAGCATTCTTGAAATAACAAAATTATAAGTGTAGATAACAGATTAGTGGTAGCCAGGGATTAGGGATGATGGGGATAGTGGTAGGTTTGGCTATAAAGGGATAGCAGGGATCAGCTTTGTGGTAATAGAGCAATTTTGTATTTTGATTGTGTTGATATGTAATGAAGCTACATTTATGATAGAATTGCATGGAACTGTAACACACACACACACACACACATGAGTGTGTATACAATTGGTAAAATCGGAGTAAGTTCTGTGGATTTTACCAATGCAATTTTCTAGTTTTGATAGTGTGCTACAGTTACACAAAATGTCAACAAGGGGAGAAGTGAGGTGGTGTTAAGTTTGAATAGGAACTCCCTACACATTTCTTTGCAACTTTCTGTAAATTTATACTTATTTCAAAATAAAAAGTTTTTATGTTTTTTTGTTTGTTTGCTTTTTGTTTTTTGAGATGGAGTCTTGCTCTGTTGCCCAGGCTGGAGTGCAGTGGCATGATAACTCACTGCAACCTCTGCCTCCCAGATTCGAGCTATTCTCCTGCCTCAGCCTCCAAAGTAGCTGGGACTACAGGCGCATGCCACCACCCTCGGCTAATTTTTGTATTTTTAGTAGAGACAGGGTTTTGCCATGTTGACCAGGCTGGTCTTGAACTGACCTTAGGTGATCCACCTGCCTTGGCCTCCCAAAGTGCTGGGATTACAGGCGTGAGCCACCGCACCCAGCCATTTTTAGTTTAAAATAAATTGTGTAGTTTTTTTTATTTATTTAGTAAATCTGGTCACTGCATCTTTTTCCCTATTATTGTAATAAAACTGTGAAGTTTTGTGAATTAAAAATGACACTGTATTTGTAATATCAGAATGCCTTGATAATAAGGTTATAGAGGTTTCCTAATGATATAATGACCTAACATAATTTTGAGTTCATTTGCCTAAGCTCACAGGACTAATAACAAAACAAAAAAACTTATCAAGGTAAAGAAATTGATTGCGTAAGCTTAACAGTAATAATTGTACTTGCGTTAGCTAGTGAATTATGTGATAACACTTATTCTAAAAGCTAAAAGCATGTATTGGCTATAAATTTTGATAATAGTACAAACATTTTAAATAACAAATATTCTAAAATATAGTGTGATGGGCTGAATTGTGTCCCCCTCCCCAAATTCATATACTGAAATGTTAAAGTCCTAATCTCCAGTACCTCCTACAGTAATTATATTTGGAGATAAGGTTTTTAAAGAGGTCATCAGGGTAGCCCCTAATCCAATCTGACTGGTGTCATAAGAAGAAGAAATCTGTACACAGACACCTACGGACACCATGTGAATACACAGGGAAAAGGCAGCCACCTGCAAGCCAAGGAGAGAGACCTGGAACAGATCCTTCCTTCACTGTCGGAGAAGGAACCAATCCTGTTGACACCTTGATCTCAGATTTCTAGTCTCTGGAGCTGTGAGAAAATAAATTTCTGTTGTTTAAGCACTCAATCTGTGGTACTTTCTTTCAGAAGCCCTAGCAAATTAATAAATGTAGTAAACCCCATATATATTGCACAATATTATTCAGTTACTTTAAAAGATTTGCATGTTAAAATTAAGTTAGGCTTTAAAATCAAAGTCCAAAACAGAAACAGCATTCCTAGAAAAGGAAATTGCTTAATATTTTCTTGCTGATAATGTATGCTGAACATTGAGTAGCAGGTATGAGTAAAATATTTCCTATTCTAGCAAATGAATATCACTTTATGTAATTGATATTTTTTAAAATGAAGTTTTTATAGATGAAATTTTCTTAAACAAGAGCATACTTATTTTAATAAAATTTCGGGAAAAATATTTTTACCAAGGAAAAATACTTATCAGGCGAATTCCACTCCCAACACAACTGTTGACTGAATAGTTGTTGAACTTTTAAAATTCAAATCTAGAATTAGGCTTAGAAATGTAGTCCACATTTTTCACAAAATTTATGAAATTAGGGATAGAATTGATCAATTATTTTATTCAATTAAAAATGTTTCTTTTGGATATGTGTTTTAACTGCCTATCCTACTCTGACATTTAAAAATGTGGAGCTCAAAATGCCTGCCTCTGAAATGAAGGCTGAGATAAACACATATTCAGGATCTTCAACTAGTGGTATATTAAAAACGATTTAGAAGCTTTGCTCAGCAATGCCTTTACTAATTTATTAGGCATTTATTGAGCTCTTGTTAATCCTAAGACATCATGGTAGAAATTATGGGGGAAATAGAAATGAATAAGATACTATCTATGGCCTGAAATAACTTATAGTCCAATAGTAGGTCACATGTATGCATGTGTTCAGTGCAATACAAATGATGTAAATTGCTGTGAGTTCCAGGAAGATGAAGATCACATCCAGATCAGGTCCAAAAAGATTTCTGCACAGAGGTAACATTTGAGCCATGATAGCTGAATATATGAGGATAGGAGGACCTTCTTCATGGGATGGTGCTGAGACAGGAAAGGTTCAAGGTGGATACAATGACCAGTATAGGTTGACCTTGTGGGGATCTTAATTTCTGAACCCCAAATCGGGACACATGTCTTACAAGTATGGAATTGTATAATGGCAAGGGTAGAATTGAATCTTTGACCCAGGATTGCCATAGGCAAAGGAGTGTTTATTTTGCAAAAGGTAAGTTAATTCATCTCCATTGAGTTTACTTTTTCCTAACTCCATGTTAGTAATGTTATAGCTTCTGTTAGTTTTGAAATCTTGATGTACTTTTCCATGTCTTAGAATATATTTTACAAATAAATTTGTATTGCAGATTTTTATTCTTTAAATGTTAGATAGAAAGTCACATTGACATGAGTAGTTATTTTAGAGTATAGTGTATGCTAACAGAGCCTGCTAACCTGAGCAGTGTCATTTTGGCATATGATAAATAGGTGACACCACGTGTGTGGTGCTGTGCAGTGTCATTTTGACTTAAACATAGATATCGTTTTGGTATGTTATAGTTTATTCAGCCTTAAGAAGCCACCTTTTTGGCTACAAAAATACCCAGAAAGACTTTTTAGGTACGTAGGGAAACTGTAACCTCCTTATTTTCTTTAACTCCATTCTTTTAAAAATTTTATGTACTGTGTGTTAGTAGTTTTCCTCACACAAATTGGGGCATAGTCATAAGTTTTTAGCAGCATATAGCTATTTTGAGGAAAAAAAAATCCCACATAAAATAATCATTAGACTATATTAGAATCCCACTTATTTGGTTTCTGCAATTTATTTCTCTAGGTTTTCCATTTTGAGCAGAAACTAAACATAGAGAAAGTGCCAGACCCCTTGTGCTTATTCCCCAGGTCTATCACAAATGCCACTTTTTCTCCCAGACATGCTTTCTACCCCATTTTGCTTTTCTCTCCTTGTACTACATTCGTGATCCTCCTCATCACGATCCCTTAAAACATGCTCTTTTTTCCTGTGCTCTGTTCTAGCTCTCTGCTTTACTTCTCCTATAACCATTTGCTGGCCAAATTACCTCTACTGCATGTCTGTCCTATGTATCTCTACTTGTGGTCTTCACTGGCCCACATGGTTGCTGTTTCTGCTGTGGTGGCACCAAGAGCAATAAACGAAACCAACCACTTTTGACATCTCGTCACATGTTGAACCTATCACATAGTCCAGGATGGGCTAACCAAAGAAGGGAATTCCAAGTGAAATGTCTGAAAAAGCAGACTGTCCAAATTTTCATCTAAATCACATGCTCATCAATTCAATTAATTGTGGTTGTACAAATTTCATAGCATTTATTTTATCTTTGTTGAGTGTGTGTTCATGTGTTTTAATGATAGTTTAAGGCAATAGTGCAGAAAAGACTGATGAACAGGGAGCTTATTAATTATTCTGAAGGATAATATGCTCCATGCATTTCTCATGAAATTGTATAAAATTAGCATATTTAAATCTAAGTAGAGCTATAAAGATTTTTATTAAACAATCTAAATAGAATAATGACATGATTATTATGAATTCTGGTCTTATTGGGGGGGATACAGTACTATTAAAATCATTAAGATATTATTAACTAATGCTTTCTTCCCCTAAATTTATTAGTTTTAGACACTACATCCTTCTGTCCACTCTACTCCTAAAATCTTTCTTCATAATTTGTAGAGAATGTATTCTAGTTAACCCCTTAGAAATGCCACCCAACCAGCTCATGCTAGAACATTTAAATTTACTTTTCTGAATCATGTTGCTTAAAAAAAAGATCATTTCAATAAAACCTATAACATTACACAGATATTATTCATTTATGTAAGTATTTAAAAAGCAGGCTGTATTACCACTTAATACAATTTAAAAGCTAAAAAAAATACTGTTAAAAGATTTCATGCATCATGTAGCAATAAAACTTTTTTTATCGTTTTCAGACTGACTACTGAATTTAAATTTAACTTTTTAGTTAGATGTCATTATAATCTCAGAAATGTCATCTTGCCTTTCAACTATTAATTTTCTAAAAGAAACTAATCAATCTTTAGAGAAATGTTTTATGATTCAATTATTGGCTATTTGTAAACTTTGAATTCTTCTTACAGAAATAGACATACTGAATAAAAGTTTGACAGTATCCCAGAGAAATAAAGTATGCCTTGAAAAGGAAATGAAAAATCTGAAATTGTTGTCAGATGCAGCCATATTGAGATCTCAGCAGATTCGGACATCTAGACAACAGGAAGTAAACTTGCAAACCAGATGCTATGATTTGCAAAAAGAAGTACTAGGTAAAGAAAAGTCTTTTGCTGTTTTTGGTGACTAGTTATATAAGTACATGAATAAATGTTTACATTTTTACTTATAATTACAACAAAATCTTGTTTTAATTATTTTGAGTTGCAAATATGCCTAATTATTAGTATCACTATGGTGATAACTGTGTCTGTGGTCAATACTTGCTGTCATCATTTCCAGTTTTGCCATTTAGTGTGGTAAGACTTAAGTGAATATATAAAAGACATTTCAACTGCAACGTAAGATTTCAGAAAAATAAGGCGAAATTTACTTTGGTATATCTGTGCTCTTCTATGTTTCCTTGTAAAGGTGAATCCAGAATTGCAGGCAGTCCTTCATTTTTCCAAATGAAAAAATTTAAAGTGTTTGAAGCATCTTGGGCAAGGTTTTAAAGTTTGTCTCCACCTCAGAGGAATGAGTGTCTTGACAGTAAATGTAAAGAGTTTGTAATTTTCCCTGAAGATAGTAAGGGATCAATAAAATAGGTAATCAGAAGAATGATATCACAAAAGCAGAATTTTAGACAAATTAATCTGTTAGTAATGAATAGAGGTGTTTCAAACATCAAGACACTGGAGTCAAGTAGCCATTTTGAAAATATCTTTGCCAGTATCCCAATCCCAAGACTAACCATAAGAAGCTGAAGTAGGGAAGGGAACTCACATTTTTTTAAGTCCTAAGTGTGCTAGACACTTTATGTGAATTATTTCTATCTGTTCTCATAACGACCATGAAAAGCTGGTATAATTATCCTATCTTACAGAGGAGAGAACCAAGGCCCACAAAGTATCATGACTGGTACTACGTTCCTAGTAAATGGCAGAGAGTAAAAGCAAAACCGGTTGGACTTCAATGCTCATGCTTGTCCCACTGTGTCTATTTAGGCTTCTCCGTGGCCCAGTGGGAAGGGTGAGATAGAATCAGGGTTGAGGTGACTACCTAAGACCAGGGAGATGAACATCTGTCTGAGTAAACACAGAAGAGAAGGAAGTCAGAAAGGGCTCTGAACCTCCTGTGTTTGGGAGTCTTTAATGATGGGAGCATACCACAGACTACAGAAATCTGGAGAGAAGCTAGTGTTGAAAGAGAAGATAACAAGTCATCATATTAACTTTATAGCAGTATGCAACAGATAAAAATTTTAAAATCAGATAAAATTTAAAATAATCATATATTTTTATTTTCTTTCCTGAGAACTACCTACTCATAGATTCTGGAAATTTTCTATTGCATTATTGGAATTTTTCTTGATAATTTTATAGCAAATTTTATACAGTATAAATATTATATTCTACATTTGATTTTTTTCAAATGCATAATTTATCTATTGACTTTTTATGGTAAATTTTACCATATCGAAGTTTTTTGTTTTGGTATAATCAATAATTATCTTTTATTGTTTCTGGGTAGTCTTATTAAAGTAGTCCCATTCCTAGATAGTACATACAGTATCCTGGGTTTTGTTTCCCAAGTGAGTCATTAATACATATAGAATTTATTTTGATTTTATTTAAAAAATCTAGTCAGCTATTTGAAATTTTTTGTTTTTAATTTTTGTGGGTACATAGTAGGGGTATATATTTATAGGATACATGAGATATTTTGGTACAGGCATACAATGTATAATAATTATGTCACGGTAAATGAGGTGTCCTGCCTCAAGCATTTGTCCTTTCTTTGTTTTACATACAATTAATTTATACTCTTTTAGTTATTTTTAAATGTACAATATTATTGTTGACTGTGGTTACCCTGTTGTGTTATCAAATACTAGCTTTTATTCATCCTGTCTAACCATATATTTGTACCCATTAACCATCCCCACTTTCCATCCTCTCAACCCTGCCCCATCACCCTTCCCACACTCTGGTAACCACCATTCTATTCTCTATTGCCAGAAGTTCAACTGTTTTAATTTTTTGTAGTTTCTACAAATAAATATGCAAAATTTGTCTTTCTCTGGCTGGCTTATTTCATTTAACATAATGACCCCCAGTTTCATCTGTGTTGTTGCAAATGATTGTATCTCATTCTTTTTATGGCTGAATAGTATTCCATTGTGTATATTTACCCCATTTTCTTTATGTGTTCATTTGTTGATGGACATTTGGGTTACTTCCAAATCTTGGCTATTGTGAATAGTGCTGCAATAAACATGGGAGTGTAGATATCTCTTCAATATACTGATTTCCTTTCTTTCAGTATTATAACTACCAGTGAGATTCCTGGACCATATGGTAGTTCTATGTCTAGTTTTTTGAGGAACCTCCAAAGTGTTCTCCATATTGATTATACTAATTTATATTACCACCAACAGTGTTCAAGGGTTCGCTTTTCTCTATAACTTTGCCAGAATTTCTATTTTCTGTCATTTGGATAAAAACCATTTTAACTGAGGTGAGATTATATCTCAGTATAGTTTTGATTTGCATTTCTCTGATGATCAGTGATGTTGAACACCTTTCCATATACCTGTTTGCCATTTGTTTGTCTGCTTTTGAGAAATGTCTATTTAGATCTTTTGCCCATTTGTTTAAATCAGGTTATTAAATTTTTTCCTATAGAGTTGTTTGAGCTGCTTGTGTATTCTGGTTATTAATCCCTTGTCAGATGGATAGTTTGCAAATATTTTCTCCCATTCTGTGGGTTGTCTCTTGACTTTGTTGATGGTTTCCTTTGCTGTGCAGGAGGTTTTTAACTTGATGTGATCCCTGCAGAATGTTTTTAACTTGATATGATCCCATTTGTCCATTTTTGCTTTGGCTGCCTGCGCTTGTGGGGTATTACTCAAGAAACTTTTGCCTAGTCCAATGTCCTGGAGGGTTTCCCTAATGTTTTCTTTTAGTAGTTTCATAGTTTGAGGTCTTAGATTTAAATATTTAATCCATTGTGATTTGATTCTTGTATATGGTGAGAGATAGGGATCTAGTTTTATTCATCTGCATATGGATATCCTGTTTTCCCAGGAGCATTTACTGAAGAGACTGTCCTCCCCCAACCTATGTTCTTGGCACTCTTGTCAAAAATTAGTTCACTGTAGATGCATGAAATTGTTTGTATGTTTTCTGTTCTGTTCCATTGGTCTCTGTGTCTGTTTTTATGTCAGCACCCAGTTGTTTTGTTTACTATAGCTCTGTAGTATAATTTGAAGTCAGGTAATGTGATTTCTCCAGTTTTGTTATTTTTGTTCAGTATAGCTTTGACTATTCTGGGTCTTTTGTGATTCCATCTAAATTTTAGGATTATTTTTGTTATTTCTGTGAAGAATGACATTGGTATTTTGATAGTGATTGCATTGTATCTGTAGATTGCTTTGGGTAGTATGGACATTTTAATAATATTGATTTTTCCAATCTATGAACTTGGAATATCTTTCCATTTTTTTGTTTCCTTTTCAATTTCTTTCATCAATGTTTTCATTTTGGAGAACTTTTACTTCTTTGGTTAGGTTTATTCCTAGATATTTTATTTTATTTGTAATTATTGTAAATAGGATGATTTTCTTGATTTCTTTTTCAGATTGTTCACTGTTGTCATATAGAAATGCTGCTGATTTTTGTATGTTGATTCTGTATCCTGCAACTTTACTGAATTAGTTTATCAGTTCTAATAGTTTTTATGGAGTCTTTAGGTTTTTCTAAATATAAGATTATATCATCTGCAAACAAGGATAATTTGACTTCTTCCTTTCCAATTTGGATGCCTTTTATTTCCTTATCTTGTCTGATTGCTCTAGCTAGGATTTTCAGCACTGTGTTGAATAATGGTGGTGAAAGTGGGCATCCTTGTTGTGTTCCAGACTTAGAGGAAAGGCTTTTAATTTTTCCCTGCTCAGTATGATACTAAATGTGGACCTCTTATATATGGCTTTTATTATGTTGAGATATGTTCCTTCTATACCCAGTTTTTTCAGGGTTCTTATCACGATGGCATGTTGAATTATATCAAACGTTTTTTCAGAATCAACTGAAACGATCCTATGATTTTTGTCCTTCATTCTGTTAATATAATGTATCACACTGATTTGCATATGTTGGACCATCCTTGCTTCCCTTTTATTATTGGCCTGTTCAGGTTTTGGATTTCTTCATTGGTCAGTCTTGGTAGATTGTATATATCTAGGAATTTATTCATTTCTTCTAGGTTTTCAAATTTATTGGCATATAGTTGCTCATAGTAGCCTCTAATGATAAACAATATGTTCCTGAATAGCCAGTGGGAATTTCTGCAGTATCAGTTGTAATGTCTCCTTTTTCATGTCTGATTGTATTTATCTGGGTCTTCTCTTTTTTTTTCTTTATTAGTTGGGTTAAAGGTTTGTTAATTTTATCTTTTCAGGAGACCAACTTTTCATTTTGTTGATCTTTTGTATTGTTTTCTTCAGTCTCAATTTCATTTATTTTTGCTCTGATCTTTATTTCTTTTCTTCTAATTTTGGACTTGGTTTTCTCTTGCTTTAAGATGCATTGTTATGTTGATTTGAAGCTTTCTACTTTTTTGATGTAAGTGCTTATTGCTATAGACTTTCTTCTTGTACTGCTTTTGCTGGATCCCATAGGTTTTGCTATGTTGGTGCAAGATATAGTGGTCCAGATTTACTCTTTTCCAATTGTATCAGTATTATGTATTAAATAATTTATCCTTTTCTCACTACATAGAACTACTATCTGTTGTATGTTAAAATTTTAATATATACAGATGCTCCTTTACTTACAGTGGGGTTATGTCCCAATAAACCCATCCTAACTTGAAAATATTGTAAGTAAAAAAATGCATTTAATGCTGGCAACACAGCAGATGATCCCACCTTACCATGATTCAACTTACAAATTTTTGACTTTACTGTGGCATTAAAGCAATATGCATTCAATAGAAACCAGAACCCCGTCGTAATTGGTAAGGAGCCTCTCAACTCATGATGGGGTTACATCCTGACAAACCCATCATAAAGTCAAAAAATCATATTGAACCATAAGTCAGGAACTGTCTGTACTAGCAACTATTACTATATTCTGTCTTCTGTTCCACTAATTTATTTGACGCACCATTAATATTACATTGATTTGAATATGACTTATTAGCATATTCTTTCAGGTGCTAAGCCCTTTCTGTCTCCACCATTCTTACTTTTTAAATACATATTTGCAGACAGTTAGTCTTTCATTTTAACTTTAATATAATTTTATTTACCTCTAATCCACAGGCTCCAAGAATTACCTAGTAAAAGTTTTTCTCTCTCTACTCATTACATCTTTCCCACATATTCAAAGGAAGTTATTCTTCCACATAAACTTTAAGATGATTTCATTCACCTCTAATGCCAACAAGGATTCTAATTTGAATTGCATTATATTTATAAACTAAGTTTTAGAAAATTAAAAATTTTGGTAATATTGTCTTTTGAATATTGTAAGTCTTTTCATTCAAAAATATGGTATGCTCTTTCATTTTTAATGCTATTATATGTTCTTTAATAAGATGTAATAGTTTTACTTAAATATGTTTCTTTGCCATTCTTGTTAAATTTGTTACTGTCAGTTTTGCCTCTACCATAAATAGACTATTTTTCCTATTTCAATTTTTGTTGATAGAGTAGACAAAAGCTATTTATTTTTATATATTTGTTTTATATCCATGCACCTCACAAAATTCTCATATTAATTCTACAGTAGACATTTTTTATTAGTGACTCTTGGGCCTACAACTTCCCAAAAGAGTTCATCTATTTTTTCCCAGTGTTTATATCTGTTATTTTATTTTCTTGTCTCCTTCATATCTTATTAAATTCATCTGAAGCTCTGACACTCTGTTAAATAATAATGCTGACAGTGAACGTTCAATCTGTCATTGATGGGCACTTAGGTTGATTCCATGTCTTTGCTATTGTGAATAGTGCTGCTATAAACATTTGCATGCATGTGTCTTTGTGGTAGAATGCTTTATATTCCTCTGGGTATATACCCAATTATGGGATTACTGGGTCAAATGGTAGTTCTGCTTTTAGCTCCTTGAGGAATTGCCATATGGCTTTCCACAATGTTGAACTAATTTACACTCCCAGCAAGTGTATAAGTGTGTCCTTTTCTCTGCAAACTCACCAGCATCTGTTACTTTTTGACTTTTTAATAATAGCCATTCTGACTGGTGTGAGGTGATATCTCATTGGCACTTGATTTGCATTTCTGTAATAATCAGTGATAGTGAACTTTTTTTTCCTATTTGGCCTCATGTATGTCTTCTTTTGAGAAGTGTCTGTTCATGATCTTTGCCCACTTTTTAATGGGCTTGTTTGGGTTTTTTTCTTGTAAATTTAGGGTACTTTTAGATCCTTGATAATAGACCTTTGTCTGCTGCATACTTTGCAAATTTTGTCTCCCATTCTGTAAGTTGTCTGTTTACTCTGTCGATAGTTTCTTTTGGTGTGCAGAAGTTCTTAAGTTTAATTAGATCCTATTTGTCAGTTTTTGCCTTTGTTGCAATTGCTTATGGTGTCTTTGTTACTAAATCTTTGCCCATTCCTATGTCCAGAATGGTAATTCCCTAGGTTGTCTTCCAGGGTTTTTATAGTTTTGGGTTTTACATTCAAGTCTTTAATACATCTTGAGTTGATTTCTATATATGGTATAAGGAAGGGGTCTAGTTTCAGTATTCTGCATATGGCTAGCCAGTTATCCCAGCACCGTTTACTGAATAGGGAGTCTTTTTCCATTGCTTGTTTTTGTCAGCTTTATCAAAGATCAGATTGTTGTAGGTTTGCGTTTTTATTTCTGTGCTCTCTATTCTGGTCCATTGGTCTGTGTGCCTGTTTTCGTACCAGTACCATGCTGTTCTTTTGGCTTCAATATTTACTAGCTGTGTTATTTTGCATAAGTTAAACTCCTCTGGGCCTTAGTTTCTTTATTTACAAAATGGGTATAATAACAGTCCCGACCTTCTAGGGTTTTCACAAGGATTTTACAAGAATTCTCAAGTAGAGAATTGTATTTTACTTCATATTTCAAAGGAACATTTAGTAAGACTTGATCACATACTCAGCATAAAGAAAAGCTGTTTGTTTCAGTTTACTCACATTTAGTTAAAAATTGCTACATCAGTTTTCATAATAGAAATAGGCCTTTATTTCTTTATTTTAATATCTTTGTCAGATTGTGGTTACAGGTCACTATGGCCTTGTAGAATGAGTTGGGAAATATACTTTAATTTTTGGCTCTTTCTAAAACATTGTATAAAATTAAGATTCTCTGTTTCTTGAAAGTTTGGTAGAATTTGCTTAGAAAACCATCTGGCCATATCTTTGTGGGAAGACACTGCTTCAATTTATTTAATAGTTACAGAACCTTTTGATTTTGTTGAGTCAATCTTAGTAACATATATTTTTGTATTAATATATCCATTTCACCCAAGATTTCAAAGCTGTTGGCATGAGGTTGTTCAGAGCATTATTTTCTTATTATTTCTTCTTCTTTATTTGTAGTTACTGCCCCTTTTTCATTTCTTATATTGTTTTGATTACTACAGCCTGGTAGTATAGTTTGAAGTTGGATAATGTGATGCCTGCAGCTTTGTTCTTTTTGCTTAGGATTTCCTTGGCTATTCTGGCTCTTTTTTGATTCCATATGAATTTTTAAATAATTTTTTCTAGTTTTATGAAAAATGTCATTGATAGTTTGATAGGAATAGCATTGAATCTGTAAATTGCTTTGGGCAGTATGGCCATTTTACTGATATTGATTCTTCCAATCCATGAGCATGGGATGTTCTTCTATTTCTTTTTGTCATCTCTAATTTCTTTGGGCAGTTTGTAATTCTCATTGTAGAGACCTTTCATCTTCCTAGTTAGCTGTATTCCTATGTATTTTATTCCTAGGAATTTTGTGTGTGTGTGTGTATGTGTGTGTGAGTATGTAAATTGTAAATGGGATTGTGTTCCTGATATGGCTTTTGGCTTGGCTGTTGTTGGTGTATAGGAATGCTAGTGATTGTACATTGATTTTGTATCCTGAAACTTTGCTAAAGCTGTTTATCAACTCAAGGAACTTTTGTGTCAAGACTGAGGAGTTTTCTGGATATAGAAACATGTCATCTGCAAACAGAGATGGTTTGAGTTCTTCTTAACCTATTTGAATGCCTTTTATTTCTTTCTCTTGCCTGATTGCTCTGGCTTAGGACTTCCAATGCTATATCGAGTAGGAGTGGTGAAAGAGGGCATCCTTGTCTTGTTCTGGTTTTCAAGGGAATACTTCCAGCTTTTGCCCATTCAATATGATGTTGGTTTTGGGTTTGGCATAGACAGCTCTTATTTTGAGGTCTATTCCTTCAATACTTAGTTTATTGAAAGTTTTTCACATAAAGGGAGGTTGAATTTTATCAAAAGCCTTTTCTGCATCTATTGAGATAATCATGTGGTTTTTTTCTTTAGTTCTATTTATGTGATTAATCACATTTATTGATTTGCATATGTTGAACCAGCCTTGCATCACAAGGATGAAGCCTACTTTATCACGACGTGTTAGCTTCTTGATGTGCTGCTGAATTTGGTTTGCAAGTATTTTGTTAAGGATTTTTGCATTGATGTTCATCATGGATATTGGCCTGAATTTTTTTGTGTGTGTGTCTCTGCCAGGTCTTGGTATCAGGATGATGCTGACCTCATAAAATGAGTTGGGAAGTTCTTCCTCCTCGATTCTTTGGAATAGTTTCACTACGAATGGTTCCACTTCTTCTTTGTACCTCTGGTAGAATTCAGCTGTGAATCCATCAGCTCCTGGGGTTTTTTTTTGGTTGGTAGACTGTTTATTACTGATTTAATTTCTGATGTTGTTATTGGTCTGTTCTGGGAATCAATTTGTTCCTGGTTCAGTATTAGGAGGGTGTATGTGTCCAGGTATGTATGCATCTCTTCTAGGTTTTCTAGTTTGTGTGCATAGAGGTATTTGTAGTAGTTTCTGATGGTTGTTTTTATTTCTATGGGGTTAGTGGTAACATTTTCTTCTTCATTTCTAATTGGGTGTATTTGGATCTTCTCTCTTCCTTATTAGTCTAGCTAGTGGCCTATCTTATTAACTTTTTCGAAAAACCTACTTCTGGATTCATTGATCTTTTGAATGTTTTTGTGTGTCTTTATTTCCTTCCATTCAGCTCTGATTTTGGTTATTTCTTGTATTTTGCTAGCTTTGGGGTTGATTTGCTCTTTAATAGCTTAGAATTGTGAGATTCTAATGCTTCAAATAATTTTTTACTATTGGGTATAGTATAAGGAATGAACAAATCAATTTTTCATCTTTGAGTGTATGAAAGTTGTATTCAAATGAATTACTTGTACTTGTCACTTGAAATAGTCAAAATGATATATAGGGTTTTGATTTTATGAACTAGAAAAAGTAGGGAATTGATGTGGCAAGCTCTATTTAAAGATACACTCTTGCATTCTTGAGAAAACTGAAATTCTTCTCATATATCCTGGATTTTCCTCTCGACCTGGAATAGCTGCTGATGGGATGGCCCCAGGAGTTGTAGATTCCTGGAGACTTTTTAGAACTAGAAGCTATTTTTAGCTAAATGGAGGCACATCGAAACCATGTGAGAGTAGTAGCAACAAAAATGCATTTTTGGAATTTATTATACCAGGAGCTGTTAATGCTGACAATATAAATACTTGTGAAATTCTTTAATGTATAAATGATAGATTCTCATGAAAACTGTGAAGTTTTGGAGTTTAGCTTTGATCTTTTTTCCTTCAAAAACGCTGTCAAAGCTAAATATTTCAAATATTTATAAGATCAATAAAAAACGAAACTACTAAGGTAGTGATTTTCATGTATCAGATTAACAAAACCCAAAAGTATGATAGCAGATTGGGTTGGTGAGGCACTCTAATACATTTCTGGGTGGACTATAAATTGGTACAATTACTCTAGAGACTAGTTTTCAATATTTGTCTGAAATACAAATGAACCCCCTTCCTTTGACCCTGGACTTCCTTTTCCAGGAATTAACATGTAGATATGCCTTCTTATAAATGAAGTAACAGATTTGCAAAGTTATTCTTTGAAGCATAGTAATACCAAAAGACTGCAAGCAACCTAAAACATCATGATAGGTGACTGGTTAAATAAATTGTGCAGTATTCAAACAGTAGAGTCCATATAGCCATAGAGAGAGAGAAAGAGAGAGACAGAGAAAGTTCCTTGTTCCTTGGAGAGATAGAGAGCTCCAAACTATATTGTCAAACAAAGAAAGGAAGATACATAACATTGCATATGCACTGTGGTATAATTTGTATACAAAATATGAAGTGAAATATATGTGTATTATTATTTACTTGTACTCTCTATAAATTTTTAAAATCTTTGGAGATATATATACAAGAAACTAACTACAGTATTTATTATTTGGAGGCAATCAGAATTAGGTGAATGAGAGATGAATGAGGGGAGTCTTTAAAAAAAAAAGCTTTATTTTTTATAGCAATTTGAGATTTACTGAAAAAAATGAAAAGATAATATAGAGCATTCTCATATATCACTCCCCCCAACACACAGTTTCCCCTATGGTTAACATTGTACACTAGTTTAGTGCATTTGTTACAATTAATGAATGAATATTGACATATTATTATTTTTTCCCTCAATTTTTATTTTAAGTTCTGGGGTACACATGCAGGATGTGCAGGTTTGTTACACAGGTAAACGTGTGCCATAGTAGTTTGCTTCACAGATCTCATCCTATCACCTAGGTATTAAGCCCAGCATCCCTTAGTTATTCTTCCTGAAGCTCTTCCTCCCTTCAACCCCCCAGTTGACAGGCTCTAGTGTGTGTTGTTTTCCCCATGTGTCCATATGTTCCTATCATTCAGCTCCCACTTACAAGTGAGAACACTGGTTTGTGGTTTTTGGTGTTTGGTTTTCTGTTCCTGTGTTAGTTTGCTAAGGATAACAGCTTCCAGATCCATCCATGTCTCTTCAGAGGACATGATCTCATTCCTTTTTATGGCTGCATAGTATTCCATGGTGTATGTGTACCACATTTTCTTTATTTAATCTATCATTGATGGACATTTAGGTTGATTCCATGTCTTTGCTATTGTGAATAGTGCTGCAATGAACATATGCATGCTTGTATTTTTATACTAGAATTATTTATATTCCTCTGGGTATATACCCAGTAACGGGATTGCTGGGTCAAATCGTATTTTGGCCTCTAGATCTTTGAGAAATCATGACATTGTCTTCCACAAAGGTTAAACTAATTTGTACTCCCACCAACAGTGTAAAAGCTCCTTTTTCTCACAACCTTGCCAGCATCTGTTGTTTCTTGACTTTTTAATAATCACCATTCTGACTGGTGTAAGATGGTATCTTATTGTGGTTTTAATTTGCATTTCTCTAATGATCATGATGATGAGCTTTTTTTCATGTTTGTTGGCTGCATGTATGTCTTCTTTTGAAAAGTGTCTGTTCATGTTCTTTGCCTACTTTTTAATGGGGTTGTTTGTTTTTTCCTTGTACATTTTTTTAAGTTTCTTGTAGACTCTGGATATTACACTTTTGCCAAATGGATAGATTGCAAAAATTTTCTTCCATTCTTTAGGTTGTCTGTTCACCTATTAATAGTTTATTTTGCTGTGCAGAAGCTCTTTAATTAGATCTCATTTGTCAATTATTGATTTTGTTGCTATTGCTTTTAACATTTTCATCATGAAATCTCTGCCTGTACCTACGTCCTGAATGATATTGCCTAGATTTTCTTCTAGGGTTTTTATAGCTTTGGGTTTTACATTTAAGCCTTTAATCCATCTTGAGTTGATTTTTGTATATGGCATAAGAAAGGGGTCCAGTTTCAGTTTTCCACACATGGCTAGCCAGTTCTCCCAGCACCATTTATTAAATAGGGAATCCTTTCCCCATTGCTTGCTTTTGTCAGGTTTGTCAAATATCAGAGGTTGTAGGTGTGCTGTCTTATTTCTGAGTTCTCTATTCTGTTCCATTGTTCTATATGTCTGTTTTTGTACTGGTACCATGCTGTTTTGGTTACTATAGCCTTGCAGTATAACTTGAAGTCGGGTAGCATGATGCCTCCAGCTTTGTTCTTTTTGATTAGGACTGCCTTGGCTAGTCAGGCTCTTTTAGGTTCCATATGAATTTTAAAATAGTTTTTTCTAGTTGTGTGAAGAATGTCAATGGTAGTTTAATGGGAATAGCATTGAATCTATAAATTACTTTGGGCAGTATGGCCATTTAAATAATGTTGATTCTTCCTATCCATGAGCATGGAATGTTTTTCCATTTGTTTGTGTCCTCTCTGATTTCCTTGAGCAGTCATTTGTAGTTCTCCTTGAAAAGGTTTTTCATTTCCCTTGTTAGCTGTATTCTTAGGGTTTTAAAAATTTTTTTTATAGTAGTTGTGAATGGGATTTCATTCATTATTTGGCTCTTGGCTCACCTGTTGTTGATGTATAGGAATGTTTTTGCACATTTATTTTGTATCCTGAGACTGCTGAAATTGCTTATCACCTTGAGAAGCTTTTGGGCTGAGACAGGTTTCTAGGTGTAGGATCATGTTATGTGCAAATAAAGATAATTTGACTTCTTATTTTCCTATTTGGATATCCTTTATTTCTTTCACTTGCCTGATTGCTCCGGCCAGAACTTTCAATACTATGTTTTATAGGAGTGGTGAGAAAGGGCATCTTTGTTTATGCCAGTTTTCCAGGGAAATACTTCTAGCTTTTGCACATTCAGTATGATATTGGCTGTGGGTTTGTCATATATGGCTCTTATTATTTTGAAGTATGTTCCCTTAATGCATAGTTTATTGAGAGGTTTTAACATAAAGGGATGTTGAATTTTATCAAAGGCCTTTTTGCCATTTATTGAGATCATCATGTGGTTTTTGTCTTTAGTTCTGTTTATGTGATGAATCACATTTATTGATTTGCATATGTTTAACCAAGCTTGCATCCCAGGGATGAAGCCAACTTGATTATGGTGGATAAGCTTTTTGATGTGCTGCTGGATTCAGTTTGCCAATATTTAATGAGGATTTTTGCATTGATGTTCATCAGGGATATATTGGCCTGAAGTTTTCTTTTTGTTGTTGTTGTTGTTGTTGTTGTTACATCTCTGCCAGGTTTGGCTATTAGGATGATGCTGGTTCTTATGGCCAGACAAGTTCAGCACTAGCTTAAAAATAATAATAAGGAATGTTGGGAAAAGGATGTTCATACTGTAGAATAGTTAAAAAAAAAAAAAAGTAAGTAGCTTACATTTTCAAAAAGAACAGCATTTGTGAATTTTTTTAGTTAGTCACAATCAGCCAAAACTAACTTTAATTCAAACAGTAAAGTAATTTATTGAAAGGATATTAGATATTCAGAATATCTAAGAGGGTGGAAGAACCAGGCTGAGAAAGTGGTTAGGAACCCAGTAAAGGGAGGCTGCTAGATTCACAGCCAAAATCATTCCACAAGAACTCTCTGGTGAGGATGTAGCTTCTGTGTCCCTAAGACATTGGACACCTACCTCACTTGCTTTCTCCTCTGGTCCTGAACAGCAGTTGATCCCTCTACTCCTTCAGCTTCTTGGCATCAATTGCTCTTGGATCAGATCTTGGGAAAAATATATTTTTAAAAGCCTGGAAGTGAAAATCCATGTTTGGCCACCTAGCCCTAGCATATTTAAACTATGTTTTTATAGGGATGTTCTGCTGCTGCGAAAATGGCAGTATATATCTTTAGAACAGTGTAGCAAATCCAGAAGTAGAATCAGATATTAATGTAAGCATCATTAACAATGGGGAAAAAGCAAAATTATATAATAAGTGCTATAGAGATAACCAAAGGAAATAAACATTACATCAAAATAAGCCTCAAGGCAAACTAGCACACAATAAAAATATACAGAATGTATCCTAATTATGGAGGGATAAAGCAGCACCTTAAAAATTGCAAAGAGTAACACTGACAGAATTTGTCTATTAAAAAGGTAGAATTTTTTAGTTCAAATCTGCCAAACAACCTAAAAACAGCAGACTGACAAAAAAGTATTTGTTTCATATATGATATATGAAGTGTTAAAATCCACACCATGTAAAGGATTTATTCAACTGTGTAAGAAAACTCCAAGACCCCAAGCAAATGGGTGAAAGACAGAAACAAACCATTAACACAGGAAAAACACATAATAAACACAAAATGTTCAATTACTAATAACTAACTAAATAAAATTCTACTTTTTAAATTAGTACAAAGACTTTAATGGTAAAGTTTTCCTTCATTTGGTGACATAAGTTATTACTGTATTTTTTTCACCCCACAGAAATGTTTGTGATTAGTTATCTCCTTTTTGATAATTTATACTTAGAAAACAATCAGAAGAAGAAAATTATTTTTGTGGAAAGATCACATTTATAATAGTGAATAATTAGAACTAATTTATGCCCAACACTAATGATAGGAGTAATACATTATCCCATGCCAACATTTAGGACATTACGCAGACTTTTAAAATGACAATATGACCACTGGGCATCAACATAGAAACATGCTTATGATTATGTTACAGTGTAAAAAGAATCCACAAAATTATATGTGTAATATAATTACAGTTACATCAGAATAGGTGTATTTGTGAACAGAAACCAGAAAGGAACTTGGAAATATGAGAATAAATTTTAGGTGATGGAAAGGAGTAATTTTTTTTCTCTTTTAAATTTTTTTCTGTTGGTGTTTTAGCAATAAACTATCTTCAAAAAAGAAAAAAAAAATCACCCAACACATCTTTCAAGATTTAGCTCACATTCTACCTCCTACAGTGAAAAAAAAAACTCCTCAAAACAATACAGTACTGTAATTAGCCACAGTTTTTATACTCATTAAGATTTTACCTTTATTAAGTCCAGTCTATATCCAAAGCAAACGTACAGTGTAGATCAGTGTTCTCTGTACTTTTCAGATGTTTTCAGTCTTCATATATAGGTTATGCAGTTGTAGATAGAATATAGCCTCTTCTAAAAGGCAGTATAATTGCAGAGCAAAGAGCTATTTTTATTTATTTATTTATTTCCTTTCTCTCTTTCTCTCTCTCCTTTTAAAGAGAGGGTCTTGTTTTGTCACCCAGCCTGGAATACATGATCATAGGTCACTGTAACCTGAAACTCCTGGCCTCAAGCATGAGCCACCATGCCTGACCCCACATAATTTCAAGACTAAATTAGGGTTTCATTTTTGCTGCTGGTGTTGAATAGATTCACACCATGGATAACACCCAAGCTGTGATAACAGAGAAAACATTTTTGAAAGGCTGTTACATTTCTCTTGGTTGAAATCATTTAAAATTAATAAGTCAGAAGTGGACAGGATTATTAGCCCTATTCTCAACTAGCGATGACAAGTACCACTTCACTACGTACCTATCTGTGAAGGGTACCAGGTTGGTTTTTTTGTTTTGTTTTGTTTTAACAACCAACAATCTTACTCATTCTCATATCAGGGTCCCCATATAGAAATTGTCAAAACATTTAGAAACATGTTCACAAGTGTACTTCTTGCTTTATCCACAGATATCTTTCTGGTGAACTGATTATACCAACATATTTTTCTTCCCAATTCATTTGGCAAAAGTATTTACAGTGGTTTAGAAAGACTATAGAACTACAAGTTCAGGAAAGACAGCAAAGTTTCCATCTCAGATTTTGCAGTGTTTTATTGCAAAGTAATTATAACTTTCTTCTTGTCTCTAGGGTCCATGAGGGACTTTCCTGATTTTCCCACCTCCAGTGCCCCAAGCCTGCCCCTTTGCTCCCTTCCTACCACCTATTTCCTACTTGTTAGAACCTGATTTTATCTCTGCCTACTGTCTATTAACCTATTCACTAGCTTCTAACCACAATAGATGTTCCCATCTATTGACCTTGGGCTGACCATGTCCTGGAACTGATTTCATTTTTTCAGCAAGTATTTATTGGACATCTCCCACACGCCAGCCAACGGGCCTTCTCTTCACCTTGACTTCTAGTATGCAGGTGTCCTTCAACTCTTCATGGGTCTTCACAAGACTTCTCACCTCCTAGCTTCACACTGGTTTTATATACAGGTACTTTTAACTTTAGTGATTCTCAACAAGGTATTTTTTTTGTCTCCTGTAAATTTCTCTAGTTCCAATTATGTTCCCATTCAAATCGTTTTGTTTGGCTTTACTTTCTCTACCATCTTATGACATTTACTTTCATAATTTTAATGAACTTCAGCCATCTTCTTAATCTGCTTTCTTTTAAATGCATGCCTAACTTTTGTTATTAGCTGACTTATGTCTGTAAGATTTTGTTATCTTGATAAGCACCATTCATAGCTTTTCCAGCTTATTAAAGTCTTCTCAGATATCATGTTAAGCTTTTGAGAAAAGGAAAAACCAATACATTACAGTGAATATCTTCTCCCCAGATAAATCATCAGGTTAATATAATGGACATAGTATTTTAGATTTTCTTTGGGCACATCAAATAAGGGCAGACTGATACACCACTCATCTCTTCTTTCTTTTGTCCTGTTTTTAAGAAAATAATTGTTTGTTTAAAGAATATATTAGAAATCACTTAAATTCACTTTTTGTTATGAACTTTCTAAATGGCTTATTTTAATTAATAATCATAAGTTCAATTCTAAGCATTTGCATTGTTTATATACTCTTTCCTATAAGCCATTTTACCAACTTCTCTGCAGTTGTAGAACTAACTTTAAGTGCTAAGTATCACAATAAGGCTTCTTTTGTGGTACTAATTGAACATCTTCCTTTCTGTGTTCCTGGCCTAATTCTCTGCCCCACCTTCTATCCCACCACTCTGCCTTTTTTTCTTCAGAGAATTCAAACTCTATACTATCCATTTCCCCTGAATATTGCAATCCCTTCATTCATTTCACTTGAATTTCTATACTGTGGCCTTTTATTATCCATGCCTTTAGTTGTTCCTTATTCTTTCTTAGGTTATCTCTCCTAATCAATGAGTTAACATTTTATCCTTTTTTTAACTAACATGAAATATATATTTTATACCTGAATTTGTTAATGTTTGCTGAATATTATGTCACTATTGTGCTTCCTTATATTTTAAAAACTGTTCTAATATTTTATAGTCCCTTATTTCTTACTTTTGAATTCACTTTTAGAATAAACTTTATCTTTCTTCATTTCAAACTATGTAAATATCTCTCTGCTGTACCTTTCATCCCCCCCACCCATGTTCCCTACCAATGTGGTATTAATTGAAAGCATGCTAAGCCAAGAATCAGAACATGATGACCCTTTCACACATTAGGCAGGTGACTCTGACATGCCATTTATCCTTAATGAATATATGTCCACACCTAGGCAATGAATGGATAGAACTAAGACCTTGGAAGGCCCTTTGGGCTCTGATATGCTATGATTCTGGTTCTAACTCTGATGGCATTTTCTTGTTTCCAAAGTTAAATAAATGCTCATATTTTTCACATTTTGTTACTTGTTTCCTTGTAAATCACCACTGAAAAGTTTCAGCTTTGATTCAAGTATATGATTTTTGTTTGGTTGGTTGGTTGGTTTTGTTTTGAGATGGAGTCTCACTCTGTTGCCCAGACTGGAGTGCAGTGGCGCGATCTCGGCTCACTGCAACCTCCACCTCCTGGATTCAAGTGATTCTCGTGCCTCAGCCTCTGGAGTAGCTGGGATTACAGACATGCGCCACCAAGCCTGGCTAATTTTTGTATTTTTAGTAGAGACGGGGTTTCACCATGTTGGCCAGGCTGGTCTCAAACTCCTGACTTCAGGTGATCTGCCCTCCTAGGCCTCTCAAAGTACTGGGATTACAGGCGTGAGCCACCATGCCTGGCCCAAGCATACGGTTTTTATGATCATTACTTTTCTACATGAAAAACTTTTAACTTTGTTTTCCCCACATTTTTTCCCTTTATTTCTGTCTTGAAATAGAGATGCTCAAAAATTTAAATACATGTGTTAATTCTGGTGCATATAGTTTAATAGTGGTTTAGGAGTAAATAATGGGCTATCAATAGCAACCTAACTCTTAATGCCAAAATTTGATTTTTTCATAGAAAAGCCAACATATGAAGTAAAAATTTGAAGACCAAATTTTTTGTTTCCTTTTGAAGATTTATTTACCTAAGTTCTGTAATTTTATGTTTAGCTCACACTAATAACTTCCAAAATGCACAATTTATCTCAATTGATATAATCCTCTCAGAGGTCATTGTGACCCACAGTCAGTCTACTTAAATGATTTTCCTTCCACCTGCTAGAATAAAATGTCCTTTACTTTTTGTCAGCAGTCACAAATATTGGAAGACAGAGTTCAAATAAGTCACTTCAGCATTCAGCTTATTTTTAATATCCTTCCTTAATTTATTTTACCAACTTTCAAATTTATTCCAAGTGAAAAAACTTTTGACTTTTTAATTTTAGTAAGCTGTTCAGTATAGTAAATAACACAAATACTTTAAAAAATGATTTTGCATATAACATTTTAACATCCTAATTGAATCTTTTAAAACAGCTTTACAGAGATAAAATTCACAAATTACAAAATTCACCCACTTTAAGTGTACAATTCAGTGGTTTTTAGGATATTTGCAGAGTTGTGTGACCATCAGCAAAGTCGAATTTTGGGAGATTTCTTTCACACCAAAAAGAAACTTTGTGGCCATCAACAGCCACTCCCCTTACACTCCTGCCCCTTTCCAACAATCCTTAACCTACTTTCTATCTCTATAGACTTACCTATCCTGGACATTTTATACAAATAGAACCATACAATATGCGGTCTTTTGTGTGTGGCGTCTTTCACTTAGGATAATGTTTGTGAGTTTCATCCATGTTGTAGCATATGTAAGTACTGCATTCCTTAATTAGTAGCTTGTTTAGTGCTTGTGATTCAAGTCACAAAATGAGTGATGTGGTTCAGTTGGAAAAAATACTGAGCTGGGATCCAAACAGTTCTGCTTTCTGGTACTGTTTAGGCCTTGTATAGGCCCTTTGAATAAGTTATTAATTTCTATGTCTCAGTTACTTCATCTGTAAATTGGGAATATGGTAGCTTTTCTTACCTACCTTAATACATTAGAATAGGCAAGATAAAATGTAAGATCATCTAAAGAACTATATATTCAAATGTATTTTAAAGTAACTTTCCTGATGTGATAGCAAACCAAATGATTATATTTAGTATACAAGCATTCAAATTTCTTTAAATACTACTTTAATTTCAGAAGAAAGCTATACATTTTAATTTCTCTTTGCCCAAAGGTGTATTCACCTCGACTTGTTTATTTTCTAGTCAGCCCTGATTAGCTGTAACAGTAGTCTGCCTGCTCTTAGAAAAGGTTACTGAAGAAGAGAGTGCCTATGTTTAATTCAGGAGTCATCCGTCTGTATGGCAGATAGAGATCTATGAACACAGATCCACAAGGACCTTACCTGCAAGGTCTGATTTTCAGAGAGCACTCACTGTAGTGACTTGATCAGCCTTTATGATTCCTTTTGAACTGTTGGACTTTAGTTGGAATAATATGACCTTGGCTTCAAATAAAAGGGGAAAGTGCTGATTTTACAAACAGAAAACCAAGGAAGTTTGTAATTATTTTTAGTTGTATTAAATCCAACAGCCCTTAAAAGAGACCAGCTTGATAATGAACCACTGTGGGCTGCTTCTGTGTCCAAAAGTAGATGGACAAAAAGTTTAGCCTGATCTCTAGACAAATTGCAAGCCAGGCAGTATTAACTAAAATTCTAAGAAATCTTTTTTAGAACCTGATCACCATTTGAAATGTGAGTCTTATAAAGGGATCTCCTGTGGAAGCCATGTGATCTTTGATCACTGGAGTCGTCTAAGATTATCTTTGTTTTCTTGCCTTTTCATTTGCTCCCAACATTGAACTTTCATCTAAAGATTACCACTGTTTTATGTATCATCTCCATTTTATTAATGTTTGAATCATAGAGGAATTTTCTATAATGATCATAGGCATCTACTCCTTATAATGGTTGTCATTCATCTGAGACTCCTTTCTCTCCTTTGAGATAGCTGTAATTCTGGTTCATTCTCTAGTCATTTTTCATTTGTGCCATTGCAACCTTCTCTCCTTGTTCTTTACCTCCAACATCATTTTCTTATTCTAAGGCTAGACTTTAGCTCTACCACTCTCTTTGCCTTTTCTTTAACTGTACCATAGGACCTTGGGAATAAATTTTAGACTTCATTTTTTAAATTCTATGGCTTCTGATCTTTGCCTGATTTCCTAAATTCACCCCTCTCAGATAGTTTGCCCCTTGCATTCTTTCTCCCATTATATATACTTGTAGCCTGAGGTGTCTACATCATCCCATCCCAATGTTGTCTCCTTCTGCTCATTCAGATACCAGTTTCCAATTTATTTAGTCATTCAGCAATATTTATTAGGCACCTGTCATAAGATTAACACTAGGCTTGATCAGGAACAACTATGATAGATGTTCTGTCTTCTCTGTCATACACGGCTTCTATACTAAGCATGATTCATCCTCAGGGAAACCTCAGCTAAGCAGTGAATAGAAAGGAGCTTTAATCTGTTCCTTCCCTAACACCTACGTGGGCACACTCCTCCCTACACACACAGACACTTTTACACATGGACTCACCCAGGCACAGAACATACCGGCTGCTCATAGACATTTACAGCTCATCCACATTTATGGGCTGACAGCATATGAATAATAGTGACAGTGTCTAAATGAGGAATTAATGATCTCTCCCCATACTCCCACCCTCTTGCCCAATGTCTCTTACCTCTTGGCAGCATCTCTAACATCTCTCTACTACTAGCTAATCACTGGTACTATCTTAACATCATTAAAAAAATCATTCCTGTGAGTTCAGGTAGATTTCCTACTATAATCTAAATAGCAGCTGACATTCACATACCACTTGCCATATGTCAGCCATAGGTACCCCCTTACTATCACCCTCCTGGGTTAAGCACTTTTATTATCTCCAGTTTACAAATGAAATTACTAAGGCCTAGAGGAATTCAGTCATTTGCCCAGGACTACACAGCTACTAATCAGCAGAACTGGAACCTGATTCCAGAACTTTACTACCAGATTTCCACTGCCTAGGAGCACCAAAGCATATACATTGTTATCATTAATGTATGCTTCAGAGTGAGCTACTGTATCAGGCCACTTCCAGCCTGGCTGATGGTAAACATAAGCTTTTATGTGGGGAAGGCAGAAGAGGTCTAGAGGAAAGTGGATACCTGATGATGGCTTACAAGAACCATCCATGGCTTGCAAGATGAGTTATAAGATGGGTATGAGTATGTTATATAGTTTAGTATTAGGCTACTTTAATATGATGGTTTTTTGTTTTCCCTTACCAAAATAAGACATGTTCACTATTGATTAGGAAATTCCAACTTTCAGATAGAATTATAAACATTTGATGTGAATCCTTCTAGACTTTATTGTTTGAATATATAGTTTTATAAAATTAGGATAAAAGAGTTTTATTATCCGTACCCTTCCCCCCTCCTATTTTCTTTATTATGAAATCCTTCCATGTCAAAAATATTCATAGTATTCTGTTGTTTGGATTAATCATAATTTATTTGATCCTACCCTATTATTAGATAGTTGTTCTCACTCTTTTTTATTAAAATATTATGATAAACATCCTCATAATTAAATTTTTATATATCTCTGAGTATTGCCTTAGAATTCCTTTAGTCTTAAAACTGTAAAACATATTTGTGTTGTTTTGTTGCTTTTTACTTTTATATTATGTAATTGTGTGGTAGAATTAATTCTTAAGAGTGCAGTTAGTTCAGAGTAGTTTTGTAGCATGAAAAGACTCTTTAGAAGACAAGGAGAAAACTCCTTGTCTTTTGCCTATTTTACTGCCATCCTAGCACAGAGAAAAAGTGTTCAGAAAGAAGAGTCAGTACTCGGTGGCTGAAGATACACTCCATCTCCTTCAGTTTTGCACAGAATTAGCCCTGCGTACAGGAATCTCTGTAAGCATGATCTCTGATTATGAAATACACTGATTCATTAAAAGAAGTTGATGTTTATGTAGTTATGTAACACTACTGGAAAATGTCCTAAATATTTTTAGACCTAAACTTCTCTTTTATTTATTAACTTACTTTATTATTAACCCTACGTCTTTTCTTCTTTATTCCCTAAATGTTTTCAGCTAATATTCTGTTCATTTCATTGTAGGTCCATGTCCCTTCCTACTTTGTTTACTCTAGGCTGTCCGTATCCATTTTCTGGTTTTGAAAAATCTCATTATAACTTATAAATACATGTGATTGTGTGATTTTATGCAAAATTTGGAACAACAAAATACTGCTCTAAAACATTCAGAAAAGTTTCTAAATCCATCAGTATTTTTCCTATGTGATAGGTAAAGTATTATATTCATTTTGCCAGTCTAGATAGAGTGGTTAAATAATTTAATCATGGTAAACACACATATACACACACACAAACTAGAATTTAAAAATTCCTTTCTTATCCTTTCATAATTTGTCATATTTTATAAGTCCCTATAAATTACAATTATCTTCATGTTATATTGGGTTGTTTTAATGTTAAGATTAAAAAACGCAGCAGAAACAGAAGCATTTTTTGCATGAACAATTCTGAAGTGAAAGTGTTGGTCCTTAATATTAGAATGTAATTCATTTATAAATTTTAAATATTCTGATTATCTCCTTAGCTTGGTTTAATCTACTCTTCCCTTCTATCCCCACACACAGCAAAATAATTTTCTGGTTTTAATGTAACTACATCTGTATTGAATTGCATCTTTTTAATTATATATCCATACTTATTCTAGCATCTGATTTATAAAATCTCCACATACTATTTTAGTCCCTTCTAGGATAATGCAGGAAATGTTAAATGTACTTCAAGAACACTTGTTTCAAATAGATGTAAATTAAACCTCTAAAATATAAACCCTAAAATGAAATGAATTATGTAAGTGGCTGTATTACCATTTGAGTTTTGTATTACCACTTGAGCTTTGAAAAATGTTTGCTAAAGTTAAAATATGTTAATTTGATATTGACACAGTTAAGTACTTATTAAAGAATTACTTCTATTATTGGTATATATTTTTGCATGTGCAAGGGTTTACTCTGAATGCTCATTATAAAAATTTTAAATGAGATATTACTTTTGTAAAAGGCTAATAGCTCATCAAACTGTGATATGATAATATATATGTATAAATTATATCTAATGCAGCAGACTGATTTTGTATATTCAGGTCAGTTATATTTTATTAGAAATCTCACAATTTCAACCATGTAATTAACTAATGTAACTAAATAAATAATTTAAAATAGTGAAAAAATAAAACAGATAAATAAATAAAATAAATAGTGATGGGGGTGGAGCCAAGATGGCCGAATAGGAACAGCTCCAGTCCACAGCTCCCAGCATGAGTGACGCAGAAGACGGGTGATTTCTGCATTTCCAACTGAGGTACTGGGTTCATCTCACTGGGGAGTGTTGGAAATTGGGTGCAGGACAGTGGGTGCAGCACACCGAGTGTGAGCTGAAGCAGGGTGAGGCATCGCCTCACCCGGGAAGTGCAAGGAGTCAGGGAATTCCCTTTCCTAGTAAAAGAAAGGGGTGACAGACAGCACCTGGAAAATCGTGTCACTTCCACCCTAATACTGCGCTTTTCCAATGATCTTAGCAAATGACACATCAGGAGATTATATCCCGCACCGGGCGTGGAGGGTCCTGCGCCCATGGAGCCTCGCTCATTGCTAGCACAGCAGTCTGAGATCAAACTGCAAGGTGGCAGTGAGGCTGGGGGAGGGGTGCCTGCCATTGCCGAGGCTTGAGTAGGTAAACAAAGCAGCCAGGAAGCTCAAACTGAGTGAAGCCCACCGCAGCTCAAGGAGGCCTGCCTGCCTCCGTAGACTCCACCTCTGGGGGCAGGGCATAGCCAAACAAAAGGCATCAGAATCCTCTGCAGACTTGAATGTCCCTGTCCAACAGCTCTGAAGAGAGTAGTGGTTCTCCCAGCACGCAGCTGGAGATCTGAGAATGGACAGACTGCCTCCTCAAGTGGGTCCCTGACCTCCAAGTAGCCTAACTGGGAGGCACCCCCCAGTAGGGGCAGACTGACACCTCACACAGCCAGGTACTCGTCTGAGACAAAACTTCCAGAGGAACGATCAGGCAGCAACATTTGCTGCCCACAAATATATGCTGTTCTGCAGCCTCCGCTGCTGATACCCAGGCAAACAGGGTCTGGAGTGGACCTCCAGCAAACTCCAACAGACCTGCAGCTGAGGGTCCTGACTGTTAGAAGGAAAACTAACAAACAGAAAGGACATCCACACCCAAACCCCATCTGTACGTCACCATCATCAAAGACCAAAGGTAGGTAAAACCACAAAGATGGGGAAAAAACAGAGCAGAAAAACTGGAAACTCTAGAAATCAGAACACCTCTCCTCCTCCAAAGGAACGCAGCTCCTCACCAGCAACGGAACAAAGCTGGATGGAGAATGACTTTGACAAGTTGAGAGAAGGCTTCAGACGATCAAACTACTCTGAGCTAAAGGAGGAAGTTCGAACCCATGGCAAAGAAGTTAAAAACCTTGAAAAAAAATTAGACGAATGGATAACTAGAATAACCAGTGCAGAGAAGTCCTTAAAGGACCTGATGGAGCTGAAAATCAAGGCACGAGAACTATGTGATGAATGCACAAGCCTCATTAGCCGATTTGATCAACTGGAAGAAAGGGTATCAGTGATGGAAGATCAAATGAATGAAATGAAGCAAGAAGAGAAGTTTAGAGAAAAAAGAATAAAAAGAAATGAACAAAGCCTCCAAGAAATATGGGACTATGTGAAAAGACCAAATCTACATCTGATTGGTGTACCTGAAAGTGATGGGGAGAATGGAACCAAGTTGGAAAACACTCTGCAGGATATTATCCAGGAGAACTTCCCCAATCTAGCAAAGCAGGCCAACATTCAAATTCAGGAGATACAGAGAATGCCACAAAGATACTCCTCGAGAAGAGCAACTCCAAGACACATAATTGTCAGATTCACCAAAATTGAAATGAAGGAAAAAATGTTAAGGGCAGCCAGAGAGAAAGGTCGGGTTACCCACAAAGGGAAGCCCATTAGACTAACAGCAGATCTCTCAGCAGAAACTCTACAAGCCAGAAGAGAGGCGGGGCCAATATTCAACATTCTTAAAGAAAAGAATTTTCAATCCAGAATTTCATATCCAGCCAAACTAAGCTTCATAAGTGAAGGAGAAATAAAATCCTTTACAGACAAGCAAATGCTGAGAGATTTTGTCACCACCAGGCCTGCCCTAAAAGAGCTCCTGAAGGAAGCACTAAACATGGAAAGGAACAACCAGTACCAGCCGCTGCAAAAACATGACAAATTGTAAAGACCATCGAGGCTAGGAAGAAACTGCATCAACTAACGAGCAAAATAACCAGCTAACATCATAATGACAGGATCAATTTCACACAAAACAATATTAACCTTAAATGTAAATGGACTAAATGTTCCAATTAAAAGACACAGACTGGCAAATTGGATCAAGAGTCAAGACCCATCAGTGTGCTGTATTCAGGAAACCCATCTCACATGCAGAGACACACATAGGCTCAAAATAAAGGGATGGAGGAAGATCTACCAAGCAAATGGAAAACAAAAGAAGGCAGGAGTTGCAATCCTAGTCTCTGATAAAACAAACTTTAAACCAACAAAGATCAAAAGAGACAAGGCCATTACATAATGGTAAAGGGATCAATTCAACAAGAAGAGCTAACTATCCTAAATATATATGCACCCAATACAGGAGCACCAAGATTCATAAAGCAAGTCCTTAGAGACCTAGAAAGAGACTTAGACTCCCCCACAATAATAATGGGAGATTTTAACACCCCACTGTCAACATTAGACAGATCAATGAGACAGAAAGTTAACAAGGATATCCAGGAATTGAACTCAGCTCTTCACCAAGCAGACCTAATAGACATCTACAGAACTCTCCACCCCAAATCAACAGAATATACATTCTTCTCAGTCAGCACCACACTGCACTTATTCCAAAATTGACCACATAGTTGGAAGTAAAGCACTCCTCAGCAAATGTACAAGAACAGAAATTATAACAAACTGCCTTTCAGACCACAGTGCAATCAAACTAGAACTCAGGATTAAGAAACTCACTCAAAACTGCTCAACTATATGGAAACTGAACAACCTGCTCCTGAATGACTACTGGGTACATAATGAAATGAAGGCAGAAATAAAGATGTTCTTTGAAACCAACGAGAACAAAGACACAACATACCAGAATCTCTGGGACACATTCAAAGCAGTGTGTAGAGGGAAATTTATAGCACTAAATGCCCACAAGAGAAAGCAAGAAAGATCTAAAATTGACACCCTAACATCACAATTAAAAGAACTAGAGAAGCAAGAGCAGACACATTCAAAAGCTAGCAGAAGGCAAGAAATAGATGAGAGCAGAACTGAAGGAAGTAGAGACACAAAAAACCCTTCAAAAAATCAATGAATCCAGGAGCTGGTTTTTTGAAAAGATCAACAAAATTGATAGACCCCTAGCAAGACTAATAAAGAAGAAAAGAGACAAGAATCAAATAGACGCAATAAAAAATGGTAAAGGAGATATCACCACTGATCCCACAGAAATACAAACCACCATCAGAGAATACTATAAACACCTCTATGCAAATAAACTATAAAATCTAGAAGAAATGGATAAATTCCTCAACACATACACCCTCCCAAGACTAAACCAGGAAGAAATTGAATCTCTGAATAGACCAATAACAGGCTCTGAAATTGGGGCAATAATGAATAGCTTACCAACCAAAAAAAGTCCAGGACCAGATGGATTCACAGCCGAATTCTACCAGAGGTACAAGGAGGAGCTGGTACCATTCCTTCTGAAACTATTCCAATCAATAGCAAAAGAGGGAATCCTCCCTAACTCATTTTATGAGGCCAGCATCATCCTGATACCAAAGCCTGGCAGAGACACAACAAAAAAAGAGAATTTTCGACCAATATCCCTGATGAACATCAATGCAAAAATCCTCAGTAAAATACTGGCAAACCATATCCAGCAGCACATCAAAAAGCATATCCACCATGATCAAGTGGGCTTCATCCCTGGGATGCAAGGCTGGTTCAACATATGCAAATCAATAAACATAATCCAGCATATAAACAGAACCAATGACAAAAACCATATGATTATCTCAATAGATGCAGAAAAGGCATTTGACAAAATTCAACAACCTTCATGCTAAAAACTCTCAATAAATTAGGTATTGATGGGACATATCTCAAAATAATAAGAGCTATCTATGACAAACCCACAGCCAATATCATGCTGAATGGGCAAAAACTGGAAGCATTCCCTTTGAAAACTGGCACAAGA
This sequence comes from Homo sapiens, assembly GCF_000001405.40. Taxonomy (NCBI): domain Eukaryota; kingdom Metazoa; phylum Chordata; class Mammalia; order Primates; family Hominidae; genus Homo; species Homo sapiens. The sequence goes on from NC_000003.12 coordinate 156,970,216, forward strand.
CAGGGATGCCCTCTCTCACCACTCCTATTCAACATAATGATGGAAGTTCTGGCCAGGGCAATCAGGCTGGAGAAGGAAATAAAGGGTATTCAATTAGGAAAAGAGCTCTTTAGTTTAATTAGATCCCATTTGTCAATTTTGTCTTTTGTTGCCATTGCTTTTGGTGTTTTGGACATGAAGTCCTTGCCCATGCCTATGTCCTGAATGGTAATGCCTAGGTTTTCTTCTAGGGTTTTTATGGTTTTAGGTCTAACGTTTAAGTCTTTAATCCATCTTGAATTGATTTTTGTATAAGGTGTAAGGAAGGGATCTAGTTGGGAAAAGAGGAAGTCAAATTGTCCGTGTTTGCAGATGACATGATTGTGTATCTAGAAAACCCCATTGTCTCAGCCCAAAATCTCCTTAAGCTGATAGGCAACTTCAGCAAAGTCTCAGGATACAAAATCAATGTGCAAAAATCACAAGCATTCTTATACACCAATAACAGACAGAGAGCCAAATCATAAGTGAACTCCCATTCACAATTGCTTCAAAGAGAATAAAATACCTAGGAATCCAACTTACAAGGGATGTGAAGGACCTCTTCAAGGAGAATTACAAACCACTGCTCAAGGAAATAAAAGAGGATACAAACAAATGGAAGAACATTCCATGCTCATGGGTAGGAAGAATCAATGTCATGAAAATGGCCATACTGCCCAAGGTAATCTATAGATTCAATGCCATCCCCATCAAGCTACCAATGACTTTCTTCACAGAATTGGAAAAAACTACTTTAAAGTTCATATGGAACCAAAAAAGAGCCCGCATCGCCAAGTCAATCCTAAGCCAAAAGAACAAAGCTGGAGGCATCACGCTACCTGACTTCAAACTATACTACAAGGCTACAGTAAACAAAACAGCATGGTACTGGTACTGAAATAGAGACATAGACTAATGGAACAGAAGAGAGCCCTCAGAAATAACGCCGCATGTCTACGACCATCTGATCTTTGACAAACCTGACAAAAACAAGAAATGGGGAAAGGATTCCCTATTTAATAAATGGTGCTGGGAAAACTGGCTAGCCATATGTAGAAAGCTGAAACTGGATCCCTTCCTTACACCTTATACAAAAATTAATTCAAGATGGATTAAAGACTTAAATGTTGGACCTGAAACCATAAAAACCCTAGAAGAAAACCTAGGCAATACAATTCAGGACATAGGCATGGGCAAGGACTTCATGTCTAAAACACCAAAAGCAATGACAACAAAAGGCAAAATTGACAAATGGGATCTAATTGAACTAAAGAGCTTCTGCACAGCAAAAGAAACTACCATCAGAGTGAACAGGCAACCTACAAAATGGGAGAAAATTTTTGCAATCTACTCATCTGACAAAGGGCTAATATCCAGAATCTACAAAGAACTCAAACAAATTTACAAGAAAAAAACAAACAACCCCATCAAAAAGTGGGCGAAGGATATGAACAGACACTTCTCAAAAGAAGACATTTATGCAGCCAAAAGACACGTGAAAAAATGCTCATCATCACTGGCCATCAGAGAAATGCAAATCAAAACCACAATGAGATACCATCTCACACCAGTTAGAATGGCAATCATTAAAAAGTCAGGAAACAACAGGTGCTGGAGAGGATGTAGAGAAATAGCAACACTTTTACACTGTTGGTGGGAGTGTAAACTAGTTCAACCATTGTGGAAGTCAGTGTGGCTATTCCTCAGGGATCTAGAACTAGAAATACCATTTGACCCAGCAATGCCATTACTGGGTACATACTGAAAGGATTATAAATCATGCTGCTATAAAGATACATGCACATGTATGTTTATTGCGGCACTATTCACAATAGCAAAGACTTGGAACCAAGCCAAATGTCCAACTATTATAGACTGGATTAAGAAAATATGGCACATATACACCATGGAATACTATGCAGCCATAAAAAAGGATGAGTTCATGTCCTTTGTAGGTACATGGATGAAGCTGGAAACCATCATTCTCAGCAAACTATCACAAGGACAAAAAACCAAACACCGCATGTTCTCACTTATAGGTGGGAATTGAACAATGAGAATACATGGACACAGGAAGGGGAACATCACACACACGGGGGCCTGTTATGGGGTCGGAGGAGGGGGGAGGGATAGCATTAGGAGATATACCTAATGTTAAATGACGAGTTAATGGGTGCAGCACACCAACATGGCACATGTATACACATGTAACTAACCTGCACGTTGTGCACATGTACCCTAAAACTTAAAGTATAATAAAAATAAATAAATAAATAGTGAAAAAATAAAACAGATTTTAGTTTAAATGAGTTATTAATTTGTTATTTAAAAGATTAATATATCATTCACCGAGGCCAAATGAGACACTTGATTGTAATTTATATAAGGACAAATTTATATGTAATATATATAAGGACAAATATATCTTAATGATATTTGTACACTGAATCTAAGCAGATAAAATAATATTATATTTTAATAAAATAATTTAAATAAACTTAATTTAAATAATTTAAACAGTGAGTAAAATAATTTAAAATAGTGAAAAATAAAATAATTTAAAATAGTGAAAAAATAAGACAGGTGTTAGTTTAAATGAGTTATTAATTTGTTATTTAAAAGATTAATTTTTCATTCACCAAGGCCAAATGAGGCACTTGTTATTTATATAAGGACAAATAAATATATCTTAATGATATTTGTACACTGAATCTAACTAGTGTGAAACCTAGCTACAAATAGAGTAGGTGTTTAATAAGTGTCTATTGAAATAAAATAACAAATAAGAAAGTTACATTTTAATGCCAAGACACATACCAGATAATATCAATGAAAACTGCAGAACTATTTTTTGTTTCATGTACTGTATTTTAATCTTAGGCACTTAATTCTAAACATATTTGCAGGCACTCTTATTTCTAAAGTCTGCGAAGTTTTATTCATTCTTTCAGTGATTATTTTTTAATCAACTTCCATGTCTCAAGCACTATAACAGATAAGGTTCCTGTTCTCATGAAACTTACATTCTAGTAAGTTTACATTGAAATGATTCAATGAGTGTAAAGCACTTAGGGTATAGTACCTGGTACATAGTAAGTATTCCACATTTATTAGCTATGATGATGATGATGGAAGACACCCATATATAGATGCTATTCGAAGCCATGAAACTAGATGAAATTATCTTGGGAGATAATGCAGCTAGAGAAAAGGGCTAGGGGCTGAGCTCCTTGTGCTTCCCAGCATTTAGAGTGAATCTAAGATTAAGAATAATCAACAGAACCTGAGAAGATAGCCAGAATATTGCCAAGAGAGAGAAAATAACTGGGTCACATGCTGCGTAATATTTGAATTCGATAAGAACAGAGAATTAAATTTTGAAATTGCCAATATAGACCATCATTCATCACCTTGAAAAGAGCTGTTTCTGTGGAGGAGTGAAAAAGAAAGCTCAATTGGAATGGATAGAAAAGAGACTGAGGAAAAGGCAAATCATAAAAGGAGAGTCATGAATGGCCAAGAAGTATAAGGTGAGGTGCTCAGCTCCAAAAGGAAGCAGAGAACTGCAAGTTAAACCAGAGACACTACTTTGTATTCTTCATATTGGCAAAAATTAGAAAAATAGCTGTTTCTAATGAATATTAGCTGCTTCTAATAAATGTTATAAAGCAGGAGCCTTTATTCAGTGAAGTAGGAATGTAAGCTAGTGCCTCCATTTTGGGAACCATTTGGCAGTATTTATGTGTATTCCTATGATCTCATACTTAATACCTAATACCGCCCTGGAGACATACTGCAGACAAATTGTCCTATAAGTACACAACAAGATGGGTAAAAAACTTTCATTGTAGGATTATTTATGGTGACAAGGTTTCAGGTAACCTAGGTTCTATCACTATGGTACTGGATAAGTAAAATGTGGTATGTGCACATGATGAAATATTATGTATCAGTCAGAGCAGAGTGAATCATATCTACATGTAGCTACATGGATAGGTCTCAAAAAACATAATATTGACTAAAAAGAATAAGAGTCAAAATGAGACTTGTAGTTTAACTTGATTTGTGTAATTTTTAAAACACCTTCAAAACGAATAATTTTTTCACATGTTAAGATGCAGGTTAGAAGGTATACATTAAATTCACAAGCATAAATGCTCTCTAGAATGGATCATTCCCAAATGAAAATGAACATCTCAGTTTCACCCATATTAAAAACGAAACAAAACTGACAACGCTCCTTGTTACCATATTCACCTCCAGCTGCAATTCAGTTTTTCTGCTCCCTATTCATGGAATCAAATGGGGTGTCTTTAATTGCTGTTTCAAACATTATCTCCTCCCCACTACCCTCCAAAAAGCTTTCTTGCCCTTTTTTGTTTGTTTTCTTTTGTACCTTGGGCACATAGAACAGAGTTGATTAGACTCTGTAGTACAAAACATGCTATCATCCTTGACCCGTGCCAGCAACGCCCCCCTCTAATTAATATACCTATAAATTTTTCTAACAGAAAAATAGAATAATACAACATGTATGTGTTCCCATCATCCATAGTTAACAAGTTTTAAAATTTTGCCATAGTTGCACTATAGATTGTTAAAGAAGAAAAAGACAATTAACACTTCCATTTTTACTCCTCCCCATACAAAGATAGCTACTGGTGACACCAGGTCCAAGTGCAAAAACAGCATATCCTCAAGGTGAGAAGTGATGAGATTCAGGGCAGAAGTGGAAGAGTAGCCTTCATGCCACCACCAATGATAATAGCTAACATGTGCGTGTTACTCCCAATGTGCCTGCAACTATTCCCCTTCTTTACATACATTAAGTAATTTAATTATCAGAACAGTCCTGTATGATAGTGACTATTTTACAGATAATGAAACTGGAGTTAACAGTTAACAGGAAGCAGAGCCAGGATTTGAAATTAGGCAGTCTGGCACTCTAAAGAGCTCCTGCATGACACCTTTAAACTATCCTGTCACAGACAAGTGTTGAGTTCTTGTTTTTCCTTGTCTTCAATTACCTATACAATAAAAAAGTACAGCCTTCTATTTTACATTAAAAAAAAAATTTCCCTGATCTCTGGGTGCCAGTTCATCTGCCTGCTTGTTCTTCCATTATGCTACTTTAACCTGGAATCATTTTCCTCCACATAGCACTTTGAACCAGATTTTTAAATGTTTTGCGTTTCCTTTATCCAGTAAGTTTTAAGCTTGAAATAACTTTCCACTATATAGGTTTTAGTTACTGTTTTCTCAAACATTATACTAACTTAATGTGCCCTCCAAGTGACTATGAAGTTTTATATCAGCCTATAAAATAGCTAATTATGAATACCTTTTATATTTGTAGTTTCTAGAAACCTGTAGGGATAGCAGGATTCTCTTAAATGACTGATTATCCCAAATCTGATGCCTGTGTAATGCTATCCAGCAAACAGCTGGCTTCATATGAAGAGAGGTTAAGAACTCTTTCTGTCTTGTTCATTTAAAATCATTTACTTCTTATTTAATATCTGCAAAGAACACAGTCACATCATAGTAGAATTTACTGTTGTAAATTTTTTATTGTTTCCATGGGTTCTGCCTTACATCTGCATGGTGTTTAAAGCCAATGCTTCCTTTATTTTTGTAGGCATTTAGGGCCTTGTTCCTCATAATCCAATGTCATGCTGAGTGACAGAAAATTAAAGTCGAATTTCTTTAACTATAGAGAAGGACTGGGCAGAACAATAATACACTTATTTAACAACTCCTTGCCTCAGAAACTGAAGGAGCTGTTTTGTGCAGGTGGCTTAATCTCTCTGCAGCTTATCCTAATGGTGTTTCTTTATTTATTAAGGACAGGAACTGGGCACTCTGCTTCTAAAAACAAAAGGACCAGACTAGTCTACCAGAACCTATAGTGAACTAGTAGGATGTTTATATTTCATTCAGAAGAGCAAAGCTTTGAATTAGCTGCCATTTTTACTGTCTATTATTCTACTAATTCTCAGGTAATTGAGAATTAACTGCATAAAATTACATATCAAGTACCAGTTCTTTGAAGTTCATTTTAAGATAAGTCTTCCTTTTAATTTATAGCTGCATTTAGAAGTAATAACATAAAATTTATCATATGGGCTCAGACCTATGCTTCATCTAGTTTAGGATCATATCCTGACAAAAGCACCAGGGGCCATTTAATAGTAAGGTGTGATTGTTCTCTCTGATGAAATCTTCTCATGGAATCAGTCACAGTAACACCATAATTTTATTAATATTTTTATTAACTATAATATATATTTAAGCTTTCTAAAACTAAAATCTAAACCACCTTTTGGAGTTAGAAATTCTACCAGTTTACTGCATATTTCATTGTTAAGTAATTCTTTTCATTTGTCTTAAGTATACCTCTTTAAGGATTCTGGGAATATGGTAACAGATTTGTAGCCACACTTACCACACTCTTATGGACAATATCATATTCTCTTGCAGCTTTTATATCTCAAGAGTTTATATTTCAAGTGTGAGAGATATAAGAACTTTAGGATCAGGCAGACCTGAGTTTGAATTATAGGATCTAACTAGCTGAGTGACCTTGATAAGTTAATTACTCTAATCCTTAGAGTTTTCTTGGTAGTTGTGACTATACATGAAATTATATGAAATCAATAAAACCTAACAAGTATGGGTCATCTACTCTACACCATTACCTAATAAGTTTTTTCAGACCCGGGAAGGCTTATTGCATGGAATACAGATGGAGCCAGTGGACCTCACAGTAAACAAGTGGAGTTCACCCGTTTGGCTGGGAATTCTTCCTCTCTGAAGTTCCCATCCTTGAACTGGAGAGCCTCTCCAGAGCTGAGCATGCCTTCTTCCAGCCCATGATGAAAAATACTCACTCTCTTCTCTGGGCATGCAGCCCTTTGGCGTGCCACTCTCCATGCCACCGGTGATGGCAGCTGCCTTCTCCTGGCACAGAATACAGAGCCTAGGGATCCTGCCTGGTGGTGGTATGGTCTGTCCCCTTTATGTAAATGAGTTACCTCCAGCAGCCTCTCATTGTTTCCTTGTTGGAGGAAATGGAGAATTCAAATAGTAGCATGCAAGTACCTGTAATTGAATCATATAAGAAGCCTATAGCATAGGAAAAAAAATTGAACCTGTGATCAAACAACAGAGGACAGATTATTATCCTGAAGAAATGTCACCCCCCCTTAATGAACTCAGTGCCCACCCCTTGCAACAAGCATTGTTGCAAGAGAATCTCCCTTAGGTCATAGTGCAGCCTGGGAAGAGACCTTTACTGATGGAATTGGTGGATAACTCAAAGGAAGCAGAGGATACACAGATGTGATTATGACATATGCAACAAAGTATACACTAAAAGTTTCCACGTGAAATCATACAGAAGAACACACACAGGAGATAAACCCTACAAATGTACATGGGATGGATGCATATGGAAGTTTGCTCTGTCTGATAAATAAGACATTTCTGAAAACATACTGGAGTCAAATCTTTTTGGTGCCTGGACTGTAACCACAGCTTCTGTTCTGACCATCTTGCCTTCTACAGGAAACGCCACATGCTAGTCTGAATGCCTTTGTCTCCCACCTCAACATGACTCCCTACTCACCTGGCTCTTTCTCTATACTCCCACCATTATCTATCACACTTTTTACATGTACATTTTAATTTTGATTCAGCTGGTCTGATCCTCTGAATTTATATCATCCAAAACTTCCATATGGTCAGTAGCAGGTACTCTCTAATCCTCCCTCTCCTTACCATGGGTGACCTAAAAAATGAGAACTTTTTTTAGAGATGCTAAGCAAACTATTCTTAGAGATAGATAAAGTTAATGTAATAAGAACAAGAAAACATGTAAACTAAGAAACAAAAATTAATGTATGTAAAAGCACTGGATAAACAAAGGTTTATACAAATGTCTGGTAAATGCTAATTAAAACATTTGTTTAGAGTGAATTTATTTTCTAATTTAAGGAACTAACTCTTTGTAAAATAAAGTTAAGAATGCCGATTTATATAGTTTTATGTATTTATATGGATGCATAAAGATTTTAAAGTTTACTATTAAAATATGTCACTGAAACACCTGAACAGATGGAACATAGAAATTTTACAACTCCAGTGTTTTGAACATTTTTTTTCTGGAGACACCAACCAGTCTATCAGTTTGTTTTCCATTATAACTTATTCTCAAAAAGCGTACCAGCAAGGGCTGTCACTGGGGCTGGGGTTCAGATCACAGTTTCCACACACAGGACAATGGAAGGACTTAGATAATTCAAGCCATTTGTTCTTTCTGCTATGGTTTCAGTTCTGCATTCACACACTTGTTAGACAGGGCTGCTTGAATAATAATCCTCAAATACTGCTTACATTCTCCAGTTAAAGACTCTATGGAAGCCAGTTTCCTGCTTGTATTCTCTTGGTTTTGAAAGTCACTAAAATGCCTTTTAGATGCTACCCAGAGTTAACACGTTCTTTACTATGAGCCTGGAACATGATTTGTCTGTTTTAGTTCTAGCAGGAAGACTCAGCCATGCTTCACAGTTCCAGACCACAAAAGTGAGCTCAGGCAATCATGTGTTTTAGAAACAAGACACGTGATCAGAAATTCTTATGTTTGTCAGCTACATACATTTCCTTTGAAAACATTAGTAAAATTTAGCCTATTAGCTGTTTGAAAATCAGCATGGTGGTGGGGGCAGAAAGAGGCCAACAAATTGGGCCTGTCAAAACCCATTAAGTCTGTGGGGTGTTAGGATAGGGAGGGCTGAGTAGGCAATGATAAGTTGCATATGGACATACAGGCAAAGTGGAATAAGCAGCTGCCTTATTCTTCAGGAGCTGACTAGCAACAAAAGAATATGGTTTACTCTATGAAAATATCTGGACACTTAAAATGTACTAATCAGATGAAATACATTGTGTCATTTCAGATTTACAATGTCTAGTAGAGGCACTTGGATTAAAACTTCAGAAGGCGGTGACAGAGATGGACAACTATAAAGAAATGCTTATGTAAGATGGAGAATATTAAACAACTTATAACAGTGCTCTGTAGATGTGTTACAAAATGGCAAGAATTAGGAAGAAATGACAAGAATTATAAAGACCCTGGTGTGTTCTCTGTGATTCTTTTGGCAGTGATTTACTGGTGTGGGTAATAGTTTACTGCTGCTTTTCTTGCCCACTTTACTGGCCTAGATTATATATTGAAGAACCTGTAAATATTTTTAAATACATGGAGGATTTCTTTCTCTCAATAAGAAACTTACTTATCCATATATTAAAGCTTTCCCTGATAGTTCAAATGCAGTAACTTAATGTGAAATAGTCTTTGAACTTTTTTCTTATCTTTGTTTCTTTATTATCTCTCCACAAGAAACAATATTGAACTTGTATCTCAAAATTACTAATTTTAGCTTCAAAGAGAGAGTTGAGTAGCTTTGAAATGCTGAAGTACTTATGCTTGATATAAGTGAGAAAGAAATATTGGAAAACACGTGATAAGAAAATGATGTAAAATCAAGAACACTATTTCTTTTAAAAATTAATTTTCAGCCTGGGCAACACGGAGAAACTTTGTCTCCACAAAAAAATACAAAAATTATCCATGCGTGTTGGCACACTCCTGTAGTCCCAGCTACTCGGGAGGCTGAACTGGGAAGATCACCTAAGCCTAGAAAGTTGAAGCTACAGTGAACCATGATCATGCCACTACACTCCAGCCTGGGCGACAGAGTGAGACCCTGTCTCAAAATGAATAAATAAGTAAAAATTACTTTTATTTCAGAAATTTCAAAAATTATAGCATAAACATAGTATATCTATAATTATAATACTAAAATAGTATGTATATAATCTTTGAAAAGTAAGTAGATTCTTTTACTTTATGATATATATGATTTTCAGTTCCTATATTTTAGGAGGATGAACCTCATAAAAACATAAATATTTAGAATGCTTAGCAACCAAATGTTTGTGTTGACCATGAACTACTCCTAAAATCAATGTGTTTAATAAAATACTGAACACAAGAAGGAACAAATACCAAAAATACCCTATCAAATTAATGTATACTTGGATTATTTGTAACAAAATAGTTTGTTTCTGAAAAGGAAAATAAAATATTCATACTTTATAACACTGTGGTTAATAGTACAGTAAGTATAGTAGTTCAGGTGTCTGTGTAGATGGCTGGGGTTGAAGGAATTGGTGGACGGGGGTCCTTAGAAGACCCCCTAGGCCCAGGAAGTAACTTTTTGGGAGATTGTTTTAAATCATGAAAAGAAACAAGGTGATGGTTGCTAGAAAAAAAAAAATCGTTGTTGCTGTCCCTCTAATAACATCAAGGAGGGGTTTGGCCATGTGGATATCTCTTGTGGAAAGCAGTCTAGTCAGGCCCCAGCTACTGTGTGATGATTGCTTCTTGGAGTGAAGAGGGCACAGTCTAGGCATAGGGAGGTGGTGTTAGCACACAACTAAGCTAAGAGGGAATTTGTGGGCATACCAAGACTTAGCATATATAGTGGAGTCTTAGAAAGTTAGGAAAGAAGCTTAACATAGAAATGAGCATAGTGAAGAAAAGGAATAAACTTACTGGTAGTGACATGAATTGATATTTTACAGAATAAGTTGGCACAGAATTCTGTGTATATTCATGTTCTGCATAATGACATTTTGGTCAGTGACAGACCATGTATACAAAGATGGTCCTATAAGATTATAATACCGTATATTTACTGTACCTTTTCTATGGTCAGATATGTTTAGATATGCAAATACTTACCATTGTGTTACAATTACCTACACTATTCAATACATTAGCATTCTGTATAGGTTTGTAGCCTAGGAACAATAGGCTATATCGTATAGCCTACGTGTGTAGTAGGTTATTCCATCTTGGTTTGTGTACACTCAAGGATGTTCACACAATGACAAAATTGCGTAATGACACATTTCTTGGAATGTACCCCTGTTGTAAAGCAATGAATGACTGTGCATGGAGCCTGCCCATTTAATATTAACACATGCTTTGTGGTATTTTTGTTTATTATAATTTTAACATAACTTGTGCTGAGAAATGGTGAGAGTCAGGGTAGACTGGAGATGCAGGGAGAAATACACCACTAAAGTCCATCAAACTAATTATCTGTAGGAAGTTACTGTATAATTGCAGAAATGCTGATGATGTTTTATCAGTTTATAAAACTAATGTTTCCTACACGTACAAGACCTTCTTAACAATTAAAAAATGGAGATGATGCCCATTTTTAGAAATGCGAATTAGGAAAGATAGAGCCACTTAAATGGCTCCAAGTGCTGGAGACCTTTCTCTATGCTACCTGTCTCTAGCTCTTCCATCTATACTCTATCTACTCTCCTTTACTGCTAGGATTAAGTTGAGGAGTATGGGCATTTAGGATCAAAGCCTGGGACTGCTTAAAGCCTCAGGTTGCTCAGAGGTCAGGAGGTGAGGCTAGAGTCAAATGTGTGGCTTCGCCATTTTTGTAATGATAAGTTTGAAGTCAAAACAGTTCATTCAAAAAATTTGATATATTAATACAATTTGTTAGTAAACTCAAGATTTCCTGTGCACACTCAAACCTCTTTGGACTTCCAGAAATTGGAATATGCTATGAAATCAGGTTTCTTCCATTTTTAATCCTTATTCTTTGTGGGGGCTGGGAATAGGAATGTTTGTCACCTGTAAGTTAATTCTTTGTGTTGTTTAAAGATTTTTAAATATTTGGATATAAGTTTTGTGAATTTTGACAATAAAAGGAAGAAGCAATTTATAAATGGGTGAAACTGGGGTTCTTTTTCCAAGATTTTTAAGAAAATATTTTCCAAGGTTTAAAAGAACGTTGTTATGTATTTAAAAATAGAGATTTTATCAGAATGCTTTGGGCTGCAAGTAACAGAGGTAGGATAATGTCAGTTTTAGTTGATAAGAGTCTCAGCAATATCCCCAAGGATCTTGATGTTCTTTCTGTCTCCATCCTGCTGCCCTCAGCACTGGCTTCAACCCAAAGCTAAGTCAGGTCCCTATAATCGCAAGATGGCTGCAGTTCCTCCACTCTAGAGGCCTCATTTGGATATGGTGCCTGCAGGCAGGAAGGGATGGTTTTCTAGTGTCTTTTTAGAAGTGAGAAAAAAGAATTATCAGATGCCACCAAACAGCATTCTCCTTATATTTCCTTGTCTAGAACCCTTTACATATCCTCTCCTAAGTGAACCACTGGCAAGGGGAACAGGGCTGCTACAATTACCTTAGACCAAGCAAGATTTATCCTTAGAACAAATAATAATTGGAACTCTGATGGGCAGGAAATAAGCTGTAGTGAATGTTCAGAAGGTAACCAGTAGCGTTTGCTAAAGAGGTAGAGCTTTAATGATGCTCTGAGAGCTTGATGAAATTTTCTACAAATTTTATTTTTAAGTACTATAATATCTAGATTAATTAAGGGAACACCTCCCTGAAATAATGAAAAATATGAAGACTATAAAATCTAGTTCTATTGCTTTTAAACATATATGGATATAAAATATACTTTTATTACTTTCATATATATATGAATATGTGTGTGTGTGTGTGTAGATAGATAGATAGATAGATAGATAGATAGATAGATAGATAGATAGATAGATGGAAGAGCTAGAGACAGGTAGCATAGAGAAAGGTCTCCAGCACCTGAAGCCACTTAAGTGGCTCTATCCTTCCTAATTCACATTTCTAAAAATGGGCATTATGCCCATTTTTTAATTTTTAAGAAGGTCTTGTATGTATAGGAAACATCAGTTTTGTAAACTGATAAAACATCATCAGCATTTCTGCAATTATACAGTAACTTCCAGGATAAAGATAGATAAATAAGCCTTAAAAGAAAGACTGTCATTTATGGTGAGAAATTTCTAGGAATTCCTGAAAGGTAATACATAGAAAGGATAGTAGAAAGGGTAAACTCTACTGAGGAATAACCCAGGTGAAGAGCAATTGAGTGGTGATGCTGGTGGGCATGGGATAGACAGGACCTTCCTCGGAATTAATTAAAACACAGAGAAGGGAGTGAGACCTGGTGAATCATTGAAATAGTGGTTGTCACACTCCAATCTACATAAGAATCATGGGTAGCTTGCTAAAATTCTATATTACAGTATGGCCTCTCCCACAGACTCAGCCTCAGGACCAGATTTCTGGGCTCCTTTTCCACAGATAATCTGGTTCTATATTTATGTCTGGGGTGGCTCCAAGCAATCACATTTTTAATGCACTCCCCACATGATACTGATTCAGGTGGTCCAGTGAAACCCACTCTGAGGAATTACATATGGACCATTTAAGCCAGCTGGCCCCTCATCAATACCCTACAATCAGCCCTGTGTGAAGCAGCATTTGCAGAAGCATCTATACTCAGACTAACACAATGAGTATGTGGACTAGAGTCAAACAGCCTGGCAGCTACTGAATCCCAGGAGAGACCAGGGTCCCCACAGCCCAAGACAAACCTCCAGTGCCCCCACCAGGTAGCATACCCTGCCCCTTCATTACACCTCTAAAAACAATCAGGGCAAAAATAAACAGCAAAGCAGACAAGCAAACAGAGGATCTTAAGTCTGAGGATTCAACACAACCAAAGATTACTAGGTATGTGAAGAAACACCTCCCCCCAAGTCCCCCCAAAAAGTGGCTATGAATTCACACAGAAAATCCTTAACACCCTAGAAAATTGTTAAATAGCAAACAGATATTAGAATAAGTATAACTGATATCCCCCAAAGTATGTCCAGGATTGTAACCATAAAAGAACAGACGGTTATGGCAGGCTATTAGGAATTCGGGAGATTAGAAATATCAGAAAAATGATCCCATTCATGCTAAAAATGAATACCAATGCACATACACATGCATATGGATTTAAATACATTGAATAAATGATAGGATTACAAGTTACCTCTAGAAATGAAAGTGTGGGCTGTGTGGAAATTCTTATCTCACTCTATTATATATTGCTTGAATGCTTTACACTTTGGATATATTTATTTTCATGTATGTGATAAGAACAAAATTTACTTAAAATGATTTATAATCTGTCACTAAGAATATGTCTAAGTGATTATGTAAAATATGTTTTCTGGCCGGGCGCAGTGCCTCATGCCTGTAATCTCAACACTTTGGGAGGCTGAGGCGGGTGGATCACCTGAGGTCAGGAGTTCGAGACCAGCCTGACCAATATGGTGAAACCTCGCCTTTACTAAAAATACAAAAATTAGCCAGGCATGGTGGCAGGTGCCTGTGGTCCCAGTTACTCGGGAGGCTGAGACAGGAGAATTGCTTGAACCCGGGAGGCAGAGGTTGCAGTGAGCCAAGATTGCGACACTGCACTCCAGCCTGGGTGACAGAGCGAGACTCGGTCTCAAAAAAAATTTTAAAAAAATGTTTTCTAATTTAAGAACCTCTGTAATGTACTTACACTTTAATTCCTTTTTTTTTCTAAGCAAGCTAACACAGGACTTACATTTTAATTTCATTAACAGTCACCTACTGCTCATTTAACTGATAATTTGAACAATAGTAAACTTTTGACCATCACAAAGTACTAATTTTTAAAGCTCTTACTTGGCCTTTCAACAGCATCTGACAGTTGACCAATCTGTTCTTGGGACAGTCTCTATTATTGAGATATAAATATCAGCGTTCTCCTGATTTTCCTCTCACCTTCCTGTTCATTCATGAAAATTTCTTCCTGGCAAGCAGAAGGTGGCCTGGTGGCATTCCAGTGTCAGTGTACAGATCCATTTTTCACATGGTCCTAACTTGAACAGGCTATGTTTATTTCATTTATTTATTCAATACAAAATGTTTACTGAGAGCCAGGACTATTGTGTGCAGGCACTAGATATTGGAGTAACAAGATTGGCACATTTCCATAGAGTTACTTTTCAGACAATGCTAAGTGCCGCAAAAATATAAAATAGGCATAATAGAATGTGAGTAGTGGAGAGGGGTGGTATACTTTTGACAGAGTGGTCAGAATGGCATCCCTGAGTAGATGATCTTTAAGTTAAGATATGAATAACAGAAAGGAGCTAGCCATGATTACATCTGGGAGGAAGGAGATCAAGACAAGACCCTACGTTTCTTGGAAATCAGTTTTACAAGTTCAAAAAACATGAAGGCCAGTTGTAGTGACAGAATAACGGCTCCCCAAAGAGTTTCATGTCCTAATCCCTGGAATCTGTATGTTCCCTTACATGGCAAAAGGGACTTTACAAATGCGATTAAGAATTTTGAGGCCAGGCGTAGTGGCTCATACCTGTAATCCCAGCATTTTGGGAGACTGAGGCGAGGCAGGTGGATCCCTTTAGGCCAGGAGTATGACTTGGCCACCATGGTGAAACCCTGTCTCTATTAAAAAATACAAAAATTAGCTGGGTGTAATGGCACACACCTGTAATTCCAGCTACTCAGGAGGCTGAGGCACAAGAATCTCTTGAAACCTGGAGGCAGGGAGGCAGAGGCAGTAGTGAGGCAAGATCGCACCACTGCACTCCAGCCTGGGCAGCAAAGCGAGACTCTGTGTCAAAAAAAAAAAAAAAAAAAGAATTTTGAAATGGGGAAATTATCCTGGATTATGTGGGCAGGCCTAATATAATCACGAGGATCCTTATAAGAGGAAGCAAGAGGGTCAAAGTCACAAAAGCAGATGTGAGTATGAAAACAGAGATTGCAGTGATGTGATTCGATGATGGAGGAAGGGGCCACAGGACAAGAAATACAGGTGGGCTCTAGAAGCTAGAACAGGTAAGGAAATGAATTCTCCCCTGGAGCCTTCAGAAGGAACACGACCTGGTGACACCTTGATTTTAGGACTTCTGACCTCCAGAACTGTGAAATAATAAATTTGTATTGCTTTAAAACACTAAGCTTGTGGTCATTTGTTACAGCAGCAATAAGAAATTAAATTGACCAGTGTTTCCTGAAGAGTTTCTGAGGAGTTTGGATTTATAAGGAGAGCAATGGGAAGCTTGGGGAGAATTCTAAGAGAGTAATCTAATCTGTTTTTTAAAAGGTCACTGTGGTTGCTCCTTCAAGAATGGACTGGAGTAGGAGTAAAAGCAATATCAGGGAGTCTGGGTGGAAGGCTGTGCATTCATGCAAGTGAGAAGTAATTATGGTTTAGCCTAAGACTGTAGCATGGAGATGGAGAGAAATATATGTCAGAGGTCAATCTGATTTACTGATAGAGAAAATGTGACTGGGGAGCAAGAAGACTGGAAGTGAAACGAAAGAATAAAGACGGGCTTGATCCTTTTTGCATCAGGGTAGACAGTTGAGAGGCAGCAAAGTGCAGTGACTGAGAGCTCAGACTCCAGATCCAGACTGCTGGGGTTCAAATCCCAGCACTACAACTTAGTAGTTACGTCAACTTGGGCAAGTTTCTTTTCTCTTTCTCTTTGGTCTCAGTTCCCTAAACCATAAAATGGGAATAAGGGCTTCTTTGAGGAGTGCACAAGATACATAATGTGTTACCTTTTACTATCATCATTGTGTTTGTTTCATTTACTGAAGTGGGAAATTCTGTGAAAGAAGCAGATAAGGGAGTGGAGGAATCAAAAACAATGCTTTTGATTTGTTAGAGTTGAGATGCCTTTGAGACTGCACAGTGGAAATATCAAGGAGTTAGTTTAAGAATGGCTGTTCCATATAAGCGAATGGAGTGGCATATAGCATCACCTTTCAAAGTGGGGGGAAATAGCTAGCTATTGTATTGTATTGTATTGTATTGTATTGTATTGTATTGTATTGTATTGTATTGTATTGTATTGTATTGGCAGGAGCAGCAGGGACCTTTCTGAAGGTTTACTTGTAACAATTGAAGAGAAAGGATTACCACTATTTGCTAAGAGTAAAAGAAGGAATGCAATGCTTAAAGAGATGTAGACATTCTTTCTATTCCATCCAATTTATCCGTCCTAATGAAGGTGAAGATAACAATTGGGTAACAAAGGTAGACCATAAAAAGACTGGCTTAACTGGTGTGGGGCAGGGGAAGGAACCATGCTGAGGGGACTTCCTAGGATGATAGGTGGCTTTAAAAAAATGCAGCCCAAATTTATTATCTACATAGTAAAATAACCACTAAAAGGAGTTCTTCTGTTCCTGCTTCTAGATTTGGGAAAGTGTACATAACAGTCTGAACATACAGTGAAAGTTGTGGTAGGGCTGCTGAATCTCAAAGGCATTTGTAAAAGAAACATTTTTGTTTGATTTCAAAGCAAATGTGTAAAACTTGGAAAATACAAGGATATACAAAAAAGTCATAGTTATATTTTGATATATTCTTCTAGTCCATTTTCCTTTTTTAAGTAATTTACATTTTATTTTCTTATCATGAATAATAAAGTCCACATTTCAGTTCCCAGGCAATATAAAAGTGAATGTTTTACATATAAGACACCTACATGTAATGTGATAACATGGGGCTTTGGGGTTTTTTGTTTTTTGAGGTTTTGTGAGCCACTATGATTTACTAGACTATTTTAATTAGTCTAGTAAATCATCTATTTTAATTAGTCTAGTAGGCCATCACACAATTTAAAGCTGTGCAATCATAACAAGGCAATCTTCAAGCAATTAAAAACAACGAATTGTTGAACCAATCTGGGAGATCTACTGAGTAATCTGGCCTTTCAGGTAATGTCAAGTGGAAACCCTGTTTTCTCTTTCCATCTGAGGATCATTAAAAAGAAAAAACAAACCTAAACTAAACCAAAAACCACTTGTTCTGACTGAAAGTCAGGATTCAGTCCATGTGACTTGGAGACATGCTCTTCAGCTGGTTGGCAGAGGCACTTTCACTCCAACATGTGCAGGAACACCAAGAGGTCTACCTCCATGCCTGCAGCCCATTGTGCAAGCTCTGGAAAGTTGCCTGCTTCTCAAAGCGCTGCCACCAACAGACAAAGGCCTCCACCACCTACAAGTGCACATTGTGGAGATGGTTGGCCTTACAGCGGTAGATATCTGTCTAGAACAGTACCAAAGACAGCACCATGGACTTCCACTTAGGGCCCAGCCTCTGGGTCAGCTGATTAATCTGCCAGTTTGTTGGGGAGCTGATGATGTGCGAGGGGATCCCAGTCATCGTGTCACCTGCAGGCAGCTGAGTCATGGCTTTTTCCCTTGCTTTCTCCAGCTTCTCCCTTACCCACGAAAATTCCTGTAGCGAATCTAGGAAAGTATCAAATGCTTTAGGACCCCTGGAAAGTAGGCTATGCAGCAGCAGCATTGTTTTCTTGAGGCGTGTGGCTTGATCTTTAATTTCTTGGACATGGTTTCCTGTCAAGATTCCTTCCTGGTAAAGGTACTGAAGAACCAGTCCCTCCACCAATGCCTCTGCACCCAGCTTCAGGCAAAGTAAGCAAAGCACTTGTTTGTCTCTGGCCTCCATTTCTCAGTCTACAATGATGTATCTTTGATGTATCTTTGAGGGGGAGGGAACTCTAGTCCATTTTTCTAAGTAGTTTGCATTTTTAACATAATTGGGAATATACTTTATGCACTGTTTTGGGTTGTTTTTGTTTTTTTGAGATGGAGTCTCGCACTGTCGCCCAGGCTGGAGTGCAATGGTGCGATCTCGGCTCATTGCAACCTCCGCCTCCCGGGTTGACTCGATTCTCCTGCCTCAGCCTCCCGAGTAGCTGAGATTACAGGTGCACACCACCACACCCGGCTAATTTTTTGTATTTTTAGTAGAGACAGGGTTTCACTATGTTGGCCATGTTTGTCTTGAACTCTGACTTCATGATCCACCTGCCTTGGCTCCCAAAGTGCTGGGATTACAGGTGTGAGCCACCGTGCCCAGCCACTTTATCTACTGTTTTGCGAACTTTTTGCTTAGTGATATATCCTGGACGTTTTTCCATGTCATTACTTTATACATTTATGGAAAATTATTAAATGGCTACATAATATTCCAATCTATGGATGAACCATAACTTATTAACACCTTGTTTTTAGAATGTCAAGTTTTTTATTTGTATAAGTAAGGCACTTGGAAAATTCACGTAGCTAAGTCTATTCACACACAGTTATTTCTTTAGCATAATTTTTGCTAGAATCAAACTTGAATATTTTTAAGGCTTTTAATGCATAATAACTCACTGTCCTCCAGTAAGCCTATACAGATATGTAATCTCAACAGTGTTTATAAATACTCATTTCTCTGCTTCCTGGACAATAGTGGGTATTATAACTTTTAAAATTGATAAAATTTGTACCCCTGCATTTCTAGCTCCTTGTATTCTTTTCTTTGTGACTCACCTGAGCCTTTGCCCATTTTTCTAACTGTATGTTAATATTTTTCTATTTCTTCTTTTCTAATGTTTTATTTGGAAATAACTTCAAACTTACAAAAAGTTGTAAAAATAATAATAGTTCAAAGAGCACCCAGATAGTCTTTACCCATTTTCACCTAGTGTTAACATTTTAACTCATTTGCTTTCTCTCTCTCTCTCCCTCTTTACCCTCCTTCTCTTCCTCCCTCTCCCTCTCTCTCTGCACACACACAGACAGAAAGACACACACACACACAAATTTTTTTCCTGAACCGTTTTGAGGATAAGTTACATGCAACATAGCCCTTTACCTCTAGATACTTCAGCCAGCCTAATCAGTGTCATAAATTTACATACAATACTTTAATCTACCATCCATATTTCAATTTTGTCAGTTGACCTAATGATATCTTTTATAACATTTTCTCTTCTAGTACAGGATCCAATCTGGAGTTAATCTACTCAGATATCTCTTTAGCCTCCTTTAATCTAGAATATTTCCACATTTTGTCTTTGTCTTTTAATGACACTGAATTTTTTAAGAATGCAGAACCCCTCACACTTTTTAAAAATAAAAAATTCTTCATTTTTATTGGTCTGATGATTCCTCTCTATTAGATTAAGGATATGTATTCTTAGCCAGAAAACCACATAGGGGGTGATGTGTCCTCAGGGCATCACATCTGGAGGCACATGATAACAATTTGACCCCAACTGATGATGTTAATTTTGATCACCTGATCAAGATGTTGCTCAATTTTTCTGCATAATTACTGGGGGGTTTGTTCTCTTTCGATTAATAAGAAGTCTAGAAGAGACACTTTAAATGCATGTAAATATACTGCTTTTCACCAAAATTTATCCTTAGATATAGCATCCATTAGTGATTTTTGCCTGATCTCAGTTTTACTATAGCGATTGCTAAATGATGACTTTTTAAAATTCCAGATCATCCTCCCCATTTACTAGTTAGGCCTTACCATTCTACTGTAAGCAAGATCCTACCTTCATCTATTTATTTATTGTACAGACTCATCAATTCCTTTCTTTTAATGGCTTATAATTTATTACTGTACTGAATTATTTTGGTGCTCCGATTGTTCTAGGTTTAGTAAGTAGAAGCCCCTTCAAACTGGCTCTTCTGAAATTAGAATATTATGTCATCATCTTTTGTAAACACTTTCTTACTTTCTGGCATCACAAAATATTTCAGATATACTTACTTTGCCCCAGCCTTGAAATCAGTTATTTCTATGAGTAGTCCTGGTTCCTCTAATAGGGAATGGTGATAGAAGCCCAGATCTGGGTTCTGAATCTGCTCATGTGCTACTTGATTGTAGTGATGGCTTCATGGGAATATACATATGTCAAATGTATCAAATTATACACTTTAAAGATGTGCAGTGTATTATATGTCAATACAATACCTTAATAGAGACATTTTTACAAAAATAGGGCAGTGGCAGAGAACATTTATAATGGCTTTAAAATAAAAGCAAAATTAAAATATAGTGTTGAGAGATAAAACTTAGGTAATAAAGCCCTAAGGAAAATCAGTGATTACAATATTATTCATGAGAATGGTTACTTTTAGGGAGCGGGGAGTTGGCTATGATTGGAACCAGGGACAAAAAGGACTTCTAGAGTAGCTGGTAAGGTTTTATTTTTTAACCTGGATGGTAATCACCAGAGTATTCTTCTTATAATAATTCATTATATTATATAATTGTTTTATGCTCTTTTCTGTATCTTACAATTTTGTTATATTTTATAATAAAAAAGATTTAAAAATAAATGAATATTGTGTATGTTCATGATGGTTTTTACATTATTACTAGAAATTAAAGTCATTCTGCAAGGAGGGCATTGATAATCTTACATAATTCATTGTGTGATTTACAAGCTATTTTGAGATATTTTCAGATTATGACTTAACGAGTTAATGAATAGTCTGAATACATTTAAATTGGATATTAAATTTTTAATATATTAACCTTTTGAGTATTGTTACAAAACCCAATCATATAAGATCAAGGCAAAGTTTTCTTTCAGTTTTAGATCTTTCATTTGGTTCTTTTTAATGGTTTTTATTTCCCTGCTGAGATTTCTCATCTTTTTATTAATTAGAATAGATTTTCCTTTATGTCTTTGAGCAAAGTGAATAATTACTTCTTCAAAAATCTTTGTCTGCTCATTTCAATATCTGGGTCATCTCAGAGTCAGTTCCTATTAACTGTCTTTCTCTTTAGAATGAGTAACACTTTTCTGAATACTTTTTTACTATGTTCTGGACATTGTGAACATTATGTTATAGAGAGTCTGGATTCTGCTATATTTCTCCAAAAAATATTGTTGTCGTTGTTATTGTTGAGAGTGGTGAAGTGGTGTTGCTTCACCTCAAATGGCAATCTCTGTCCAGGATAACAGCTCAATCTCAGTTCAGTTCTTTTTCTTTAACTAGGCTGCTTGGAATATGCTTAATACATGTGTAGTTCAGGGGCAGAATTTATGTGGAGTATTTGGGACTCTCTTTCTCCGGCTCTCGCCTCTTCAGCATCCTTTCTTTACTTTCCAACAGCTGTGGTTGCCCCAAATACCATGGCCTCTGGTTCTATGGGCCAGAAAGACTGACGATTTCTCTAAGAGTTTTAGTTCCCCTGCAGGGTGCTGACTGGGGGCTGCCCTCAGGCTTAAAATTATTTTTAATAGCCCAACCCCATGCTGTCACCTCATTCCAACTGTCAACTTTCCTCCAGAATCTCCCTGCTTTTAGTCACTTTCCAATACCTTCACATAGGTATTTTGGGTTTTGGTTTTGTTTATTTGTTTTTGTTTTTTAGTGTTGTGCAGTTTATACTTTTTATTTACATGCAAATCAGTCTGACAGAAGCTTTGTTGGCCAGTATAGAAGTAAACTGAATGTTTATTTCTTTAAACAAATAATAATATGAAGATGTTAAGAAATTTCTTCTATTGATGAGTAAAATAATGCTACAGAAAAACATATACTTTATTTTGAAATAATATATTTTAACTTCTTTTGTATTATTTTAGGAATAAATCTAATGAAGCTGATGACTGTCAAAGAGAACTTAAAAAACTGAAGTTTGAATCCATTATTTCTGAGTCACAGTATGCATTACCAATTTTTAAATTTATATTTTTAATAATTGAACTTAAAACTGTATTTAAGTAACATTTTATTTAAAAGGCACTTATCATTTTTTATTTTCTTATTGTTTACATATAAAATACCTAATTCAAGCTTATATTATCTTGCAGTTGGTTATTGCTGTTGCCACTGCCTAGATGGGAAAATATTAACATTATAGAACCATTCTTTTTTTAAAATTTTTAATTTTTTAAAGTTACAGTTATAATCTATAATTTCAAATGAGCTCTTGATACATCTTTGGTAAATATAAAATGTAGTATATAATGTATGTTGGTGGGTGTTTTTCCTATTTCTTTTTAGGCATACTATGCTGCTTAAGGAAAAAGAAGACTCTTTAATGACTTGTCAACAGATATATAAAGCATTACAGGAAGAGCTGACTGTGAAAGAAAAGCAAGAAGAAGACATAAAGAGAAGAATTAACCTTGCAGAAAATGAACTGGAGATAACCAAAACTCTTCTGAATCAGACAAGGGAAGAGGTTTTAACACTGAAAAATGAAAGGTGCAGTAAACAATAATTTCTTACAAAAACATTTTATGTTTAAGTTAGTATTCCATATATATTTGCAACATCAGTGTCTGACATATTATAACAATAGTGAAATCACAGGACTAAAGATATATTTCTCCTACAAGGTCATTGCATCCCACCACCTCATTTTACAAGTGATTAGACTGAAGCTCCAGTTGGTTACATGACTTGGTAAAGTTGCAGTTGGTGAAAGTAGGAATGAAGCCCAAGTTGCATTTGGTGTCAAATTCTTCTTGAAAAAAAAAAAAATCAGACCACGTGTGATACTTGTACTACTAAATTTCACCTGGGTCAGTGATTGGTAGATTCTATCATTTTTCCAACAGAAAAGATCTTTTTATATCACTTTTTCCTTCTATTGGCTCCTACTTTTCTTCTCTCCTCCTTGTCTGTCAGCACATCTTGTTGGAGGATATGGCACAAGCAAAGATACCTCCTTAGGTGGTATCGAGGATACTAAGAAGTACATTGGTCCAGGCTTCCAAGATACTTTTGTTTAGTTAATTTGTGTTTAACCTTATCTGTAATTAATATTTCAACCTTACTTTCTTTCTTTTTGTTTTCATTTGCCTGCTATGTCTTTGCTCATTCTTTCTGAATCCTTTTGTTTTAAATGCATATCTGATATATAGCACAAATCTTAGGGTTTTTTTGTTTCATTGATTTAAAAATCTGGGCTTCTTTAAGAGATTATTTCATTTACATTTACTGATATAATTATTATATTAACTAAGAACACAAGTTTCATAAGGGCAGGAATTTTTGTTTTCTATCATTTTCTGTGCACAGAAGGCACATGATAGGTTATTTGTTTTTCATTCTTCCTATCATTTTTATATTTTAGTTTATATTTTATTTTATGAATATAATTTAGAAGAGTTACAATCTTTTTTTTCTTTGAGTCCTCCTTTGCAAACCTGTTTGCTGAGTCTGGGGGTGGGGACCAGGGTAGTGGGTAGCAGTTATCTTAGAATTAGATTTTTTTGTCTCAGAACTCTTTCTTGCCAACACTGTTCCCTGGGCACCAAATCTGTTTCTACACCAGGCAAGCAGGAAGTCTGTGTAGTTCATAGGGAAACAAGGCTTATCTCTCGTCCGTCCTGGGATGATTTTATAATTACTTATATTTTATTGAATAAGATTAGCAACTGCAGAGCTGATATCCCCCCACCATTTACTCTTCACCCTTCAACACCGAAAATGTACCCTCTACTTAACTGACTATTCCACCCCACCTCCTCTGCCATTTATTAGAAGCTGCAATTTTATAACAATGAAATGTATAAGAGCCAGGCTTATTAATAAAAAAAGGAATGATAGTTGAAAGATTCAGCATGTGTAAGCAGAGATAAAACCTATATATGCTAACGTATATAGTCAGAAAGATTAAAATCAGTTATGTATTCTATACAAAAGACACACATCATACATCTTTGAAAAGACACCATGGAATAAATACAAATTTTCAAAGTATTTGGTTTAGAACTTTGGTTATCTGAGCAGTGCCTATATTACCCAGAATATCATATTTCCAATGGTGCCAGATTAATTAGGCTTAATTGTTTAGTCAGATGAATGCTGTCTCCTTCACTGAAGTCATTGAGAAGAACCTGTCTTTGTCTAATTGTTTCTGGAACTCTTCTCCAAGGACTGGCTTAAGCACATGTTTTAGACTCTCGTCAGTATGACAGATCTTTATCCTTTAGGAATACACTGAATATTTGAAACAGTCTCAGATAGGTCCAGTGAAAATAAGTCCAGTGAATATGATGGGAAATCAACCTGGGAAATACTATTGGGGATCAAAAATAAAGTAAATTTTTCCCCTTTTTCTATGCTTAATAAATTATCTCTGACTGCAGTTTGAAGAGGGGAGTTTTATGAATGCTTTGAGGATTAGTAACCTCAGTAGAATATATATATAGCTTTCTTGGGGAATTGCTTTGAAATAGCATTCACTTGGATGTATATGTTTTGCCATGTTTTTAAAAAAATTATTATGACTATAATCTTACCCTCTAAATGTTGAATGAGAAGGACAGTTTCTATCAGCTTTCAGAGAATAGTGACATCACTGACCTAACTCCTATTCTTCTTCTTTTCCTTTCTTTTTTTTCTTGTATTATTGCCCTTGTACTTTCTTTATTCTCTCTGCTTTAGTCTATCCAGAATATACATGTACTTAGTAATTGGTGACACTAAGTTTACAGACATGATGTCTGTCACATAATAAAAATAAAAATGACAGACACGGTGGCTCACACCTGTAAGCCCAGCATTTTGGGAGGCCAAGGCAGGCAGATCACTTGAGGCCAGCAGTTTAAGACTAGCCTGGCCAAAATGGCAAAACCCCATCTCTACTAAAACTACCAAAATTAGCCGGGCATGGGGGCTCATGCCTATAATCCCAGCTACTCAGGAGGCTGAGGCACAAGAATCACTTGAACCTGGGAGGCAAAGATTGAAGTCAGCTGAGATCACGCCATTGTCCAGCCTGGGCAACAGAGTGAGACTCTGTCTCAAAATAAATAAATAAATAAATTTTTTAAAAATGTCCTTGTAGACCAGTAGGTTATCATGTGATCACAGGGTTACTCCTAAACATAAGCGTTGCCTTCTTCTTTTTTCTAGGCTACTTTCAGATTTTGTCTGCCTTGTCCTCTAACTGCCCAGAGCCTGCCACACATATCCACTCAATAAATATTTGTTGCATGAGTGAATGAATGAATGGATCACTTTGGGTAATTCAGCCAGTCTGTCAATTATTTGTTGGGCATTTATTATATGCCAGGTACTATGTACCCTGGGTACATAGTACATAGCTTATATTTTAAGGGTAGAGACAAACAGTAAAACAAAAAAATAGAGAACTGACTAGAAT
This sequence comes from Homo sapiens, assembly GCF_000001405.40. Classification (NCBI taxonomy): domain Eukaryota; kingdom Metazoa; phylum Chordata; class Mammalia; order Primates; family Hominidae; genus Homo; species Homo sapiens. The sequence continues at coordinate 156,996,189 of NC_000003.12, forward strand.
AATTATAAATTGTGATAATGGATATGAAGTAGTAAAAATTGATAGAAGAGGTGCCTGCTTTGGCTAGGGTGGTCATAAAAGTGACTTCGAAGATGATACTCTGCCCATTTCCTAAAGGAAGACAAGTGGAAGTTACCAGGCCAAGAGCCAGGGAGGAACTTTTACAAGCAAAAGACAAGTTGGTGAGTTCTGGGAAAGGACAGCAGGGTAGCGTGGCTAGTGGCATAGTAAGTGTGAGTGATGCAGGCAGGGTCACATCATGCAGGGCCTTGCAGGCCTTTGGGAGTTTGGGTGCTGTTTTCAGTGCAATGAAGAGAAACCATTGAAGGTATTTAAGCAGAAGAGTGACACTGTAGAAAAATCATTCTGGATGCTGGACGGAGAAGGTATTGGCAATGGGAGCAAGTCAGGACATTTACTGTTTTGATAAAGGATTTTATAGGTAGTGAAGCTTAAGAGATATGAGAAATATGAGGATCTCCAGCTCCTACACCCTGTCAGTTTCTGTTGGGTTAAGTGTCTATGTCAAGTGGGTAGTAGTAAAATAGCCATGGCTTACTCCATGGTGAGCCTAAGGGTTAAAAAGATCTTCTCATTCGGGCATGGTGGTTCATGCCTGTGATTCCAGCACTCTGGGAGGCCAAGGTGGATGGATCATCTAAGGTCAGTGGTTCGCGAACAGCCTGGCCAACATAGTGAAACCCCGTCTCTTCTAAAAATACAAAAATTAGCTGAGTGTGGTGGCGGGTGCCTGTAATCCCAGCTACTTGGGAGGCTGAGGCAGGAGAATCGTCTGAACCTGGGAGGCGGAGGTTGCAGTGAGCCGAGACTGCACCATTGCACTCCAGCCTGGGCAACAAGAGCAAAACTTCATTTAAAAAAAAAAAAAAAAGATATTCTGAAGAACAAATGGCCTTCAGAAGCTTTTGACATTACTGTCCTAACTTGTCTTGAAACGGTGGTCTTTTGGCTCCAGGGCAACCTGTTATTCGGTCTCTTTTCTAGCTCTGTTTTGGTTCTTTCCCCTTCCCTCCTGTGATCACCTGATTGCAGACATTCCTTAAAATTCACAATTGAACTTGACTTTCCTCTTTCCACTTTTTTCCTTCAGTAAACTGACCCTGTCTCAGCTTAGCAAGTTTGCTCTTGAAGCTTTGATTTGAAGCACCAATGGGACTTTTAAATAAGAAATTTCCTTAAGCAGTTGGAGGTGTGAACATCCCTCCAAAAGAAGCAGCTGGGCTCAGGAAACACTTTTAATATAGAGATGCTTGATAATACCCTAGGAGATTCTGGTTCAGTAGGTCTGGGTAGGGCCTAGGAATCTGCCACTTGGCAAAGTACCAAACCACTGCTGTGGAAGTATTACAACCAACCAGGCTACCAGATGTGCTCACCAAAGGCCAGAGCCCCATTCACTCCCACTGACTTTGTGTGCTTTCATAAATCCAAGCAGTGTCAGATACACACCAGCCTTCCTCCCTGACCCCTCAGGAGAGCAGAGCCCTTACTGAGGTCACAAATTGTGCAGTTTAGAAGCTGTGTATTTCAGAAGAGAAGAAAACGATGTAAAAAGCCAGAGGTGACCCTAGAAAAAAACTAGCAGAACTTCTGAATTTGGAGAAATAAGGGAATTAGTAACTAGCAAATAGTTCATTGATTAGTACAAATCTATTTATTTGGGCATTGCTATCTTCCCCACACTCAGCTGAGGAAGTGAAAGGTAGGGAAGAATCTTCAGTGAAAGGAAAAGAAGTAGGTCTTCTCGAATCATGGGATTCTGCAGGTAAAGACAGTCTGGCCAGCTTGGTCACGGACACACTGGGACTGGTGAAAGGGGTTTCCTTTATGGATGGAGAGGGATGCAGCAAGGCATAAGGATGATGTCAGAGAAAAGTGTGGCCATTTTTAAAATTCTTGTAAAGACAGCCCTCAGCTCCCATCCTACTGGGACACAAGGTCTCGGTGGCCAAGGTCAGAACTCTGCCCAGAACTGTGAATGTGCAACACTCCTTCAGGCATATTGTGGGTTAAAAAGTGTCCTGTTGGCTGACAGGGGCACCTAATTCCATCCTTAGGGAAAACTATTTCTATAGTAAAATATGTCTTAAATTCTCTATAACAAATGTACAAATATATTTTATAAGGACATATGTGTTTAAGCTTGAAGACTGCCTACATATAGCACTTGGAGAAATTCGCTTACACCAGCATGTGGCCTACAACCATACAGCCAGAACACACACTGTTTATAATAGCTCTCATACCCTTTGCATTCTTAGATGCTGTATTATCTTTATCTTGGTAAACTCCAAGAAAAAATACAGAAAGAGATTTATTGTGATCAATTTGCCCATAACATGATGGGAACAATGAAGAATGTTGTTAGAGGAAAAGCTTAATCGTAATTAAAGTTAGGTGCAAGTTGCTTATGTGTAAATTATTCTGAGATATAAATAATATACATCTGCATCTGTTTGGCTCTGCATTAAGTATTAAGATACTTATGTATCTTAAATGCAGTTTACTAAATTGTCCCCATTTCCCCATAAAGCATAATTTTTAAGCTACAGGGAAGGGTTTTATCCACTTCCCTCATCCTCACCTGCATTACATTAACTTCTCTTTTGGCCTCTCCTCTCTCCTTCATCTTTTTCTTTTTAGTCAAAAGCTATGAACCCTCACTGATATGGTTTGGCTGTGTCCCCACCCAAATTTCATCTTGAATTGTAGTTCCCATAATCCCCACGTGTCATGGGAGGGACCCAGTGGTGGTGATTGAATCATGGGGGCAGTTACTCCCATGCCATTCTCGTGATAGTGAGTGAGTTCTCACGAGATCTGATGGTTTTATAAGGGGCTTTTCCCCCTTTGCCCGGCACTCACTCCATCCTGCCGCCCTGTGAAGAAGGTGTCTGCTTCTCCTTTGCCTTACTCCATGATTGTAAGTTTCCTGAGGCCTCCCAAGCAATGCGGAACTGTGAGTCAATTAAACCTCTTTCCTTTATAAATTACCCAGTCTCGGGCAGTTCTTTATAGCAGCATGAGAACAGACAGACAATACACTCACTTCAGAAAAGTATACACAAAACCCAGCACATTATTTCAAGAGGTTTGTAGTCTCCTGTTTTCAAATATATGGCAGGACCTCATGATTAAACATACCTGCTTTCTCATTTTCTTTCTATCCCTCCTTCTGTCTCCTCTCTCCTCCCCTCCCTTTTTCTCCCCTCCCGTTTTCCTTTCTCTTTCTCAAGCTCTTTCACCTATCCGCAGGTTTCACAATGAGGAGCCCTCTAAGTGCTTCTGTAGACATTATCTTATCTTGCCTTCACGGCACCCTGTGCACAATGCCATGTACCATTTTGTGAGGCTCAGTGGAAGGGCTAAGGGGGACAGGAGGCCAGCCTGGGCTCTGCCATCATAGCTACTTGCCAGAGGAAGGGATTCACTTTTCTTGCATAAGTTTGCCATCTCTCCTTACCAAGCCCTGTGTCCATAGGTCTTCCCTCAGACGGAGGGAGCGCTTTTTCTAATTCACCAACCCAGAAGAGAAGCCATTTCCAAATTTGCACAAGGGCACTGGTTAGCAGAGCTGTGGCCTGCCACACCTGCCTCACTGGTGAAGCAGGTGTCATTTTCCACATTTTGGAGATGAGGACATTAACGTTAATTTAACTGAGGCTAAATTTCTTGCTCAGGGTGACATCATTGGCAAAGACAGAAATCAAGCTCTGTTGGGTCTGACCTTATAACTCATGTTCTCTTCTCTACTGTTTGCACAATTCCCTAAGTATTTGTCTTGAAGGGCTAAGTTTTGTCATCCTTTCTCAGTGTGACATCTTTCTGAACCATGTTGTAACACTGAGTCTTTAGGAGACTCACAGCCCTGCAGAAAGCAACGCTCTTTTTGTGTCCCTTCTCCTCTCCTCTCAATTTCTTGTTCACCCCCAACCCCCTCAGTATTCTTCTCTTCACTCAATAAATATGAGATGGTGTCCTCTGCTTTCTAGTGCCTTGGTAGAATAAGAAGTAAAGCTATATCTTCAGATGGAAAATAGAATAAAAATAATTCACAACTGCATTCTAAAAATGTAAACTGTTTACTTATTTCATTGAGGCTTGTTATATTTTCATAAATTCTAGAAGCAATGACTAGTGATTAGCTATATCTAGTATTAGATAAGAAAAAGGATTAAGAAGTGATGCAAGATAAAGTCCATTCTTAGTTTAAAAAGAATGGACTTTAGAATTAGGTAAACATAGAGTAAATCCCAACTTGACCACTGTTAAGCTTGGGCAATTAAGGCTTCTTTTCCCTATCTGTAACGTGGGCATTTTAATAATAGCTATCTTCTTAAGAATTTTAAAATATTGTGCCTGGTAGGTTGTAGGTACTCAGAAAGTATTAGTTTCCTCTCTTTCATCTTTCTTTAGATTGCTAACATCTTAAAGCACCATGTCTTATTAATTTTTATTCCCTGCACCGGCCATGTAAGATATTCAGTAAATATCTGTTGAATTCATTATTATCTGCTTTACTCATACAGTTGTAAAGATTAATCCTTGGAGTGATTCCATTTGGATGCTGATATGGTTAGGCTTTGTGTCCCCACCCAAATCTCATCTTGAATTGTAATTCCCATAATCTCCAGGTGTCAAGGGAGAGAATAGGTGGAGGTAATTGAATCGTGGGGGCAGTTTCCCCAATGCTGTTCTTGTAATAGTGAGTGAGTTCTCAAGACATCTAACAGTTTTATAAGGGGCTCTTCCCCCCTTTTCTTGGCACATCTCCTTCCTGCTACATTGTAAAGAATGTGCCTTGCTTCCTCTTCATCTTCTGCCATGATTTGCCATAAGTTTCCTGAGGCCTCCCCTAGCCATGCTGAACTTTGAGTCAATTAAACCTCTTTCCTTCGTAAATTACCCCGTCTCAGGTATGTCTTTATAGCAGTGTTAAAACATACTATTACAGATGCTAATCTGTTAGTTTAAAGCATTATGAAATGTTCTAAGTAATAATTGAAAACAATAAATTTTATCAGGTTTTTTCTCCAAGACTCACCTCTTTCTCTGATTTCCTATCCATCAACAGCTCTCAGAACAAGAGGCTTGCCAAGCTTCTTATGTTATCACACACTCACTTCTTTTAACAGAGGCAGGAGTTGTGGCAAAATCAAAATTATCTCTTTGATTGACAATGTGAAGACATCTCTAAGAGAACAACTTGTGAAACAGAATTTAAAACTGTCATTTTGGCATTATGGTTTGACATTTGTTTGCAGTTATGTTTTTAACTGCAATTAAGGGAATCTGGATTCGCATGTACATAAGAAATAAGATTCTCATTTTCCTTTTGGTCCAATAATTTAATAAAGTTTTTAAAATAAATACTCTTAATTGTGAATAAGTCCTAATTGTGGCAACTCCAAAAATTTTAATTTTAAACCTATCTGGTGAAATTGCAGGGTAGAATGTCAATAGCCACACCTCCATCTGAGATATGCAAAGCAAAGACAGCATGACATACTGCTGGCTGGCATAAGCTTGAGTTAGCTTTGTCACTTGTGAATCATGTCACCTCAGATAGTCATTTATCACTCAGGTCTTCATTTCTTCTAAAACGGAGGGAGTTGTATTAACATATTTCTAAGGAATGAAAAGAAAGAACCACTATATCCCCAGAGAATAAAACAGTGCCAGACACATAGTCAGCTCTCAATATTTGCTGTAGGGATGGATGCATGCATGGATGGGAATGAATTTAATTTCTATCAAACAACTGATCATGGAATTTAAAACTGGGAAGCTCCAGTTTTTCTTTCAGGCCAGAGAGCTTTTGACTTTCAAAAATCAGACCTAGGAGTACAATGAGAACTCCTGGATTCTAATGGTAATCTTCTTTATTAGATTCTTAGTAAAATTTAAATTTAGAATCTAAATCTGTGTCGTTTCCTATAATTCTAAAACATCAACATCTCTTGAACTGGTTCTAGAAAAAGAAGTCAGATACCTAAATAGCTATACATTTTCAGCTACTTATAACATGGAAAAATATGTACTATGCCTTTACAATAAATATTTTATTTCTTACAATTCCTCTAAATTTCTAGCAAAAAGTCCTACGTGAGTCAGAGTTGGTTCTTCATAGTTTTTTTCAACACAAGATTGTTTTCTCTTTATCAATGGCCTAAGATTGTTTTATGATCTTGAACAATGTGTGAGCAGCCCCATGGTTGTACTGTACAAGTGTGATTTTTATTTTTGGAATCTAGATTATCTTTTTCACACATATAATCATTCCTGTATACGTTACTCACTGCCCATTCCATTCTAATCAAGAACAATGAGTGCATATAACATCACGTATAATTATTCTTTCTGCTTTATCCCATTAAAGAGTCTCACTGAAGATTTCTTAGAGTCAGGAATGGAGGCTCAGCAGGGAATCAAAGCGGTATAAAAGTCCTTCTCATTTCTGTAACCATAATATCAAGCAAAATTACCATCACAGATACAAATTTATATTTTTATAACAATTTACTCAAAACACCATATACTTTGTTAGAAATGTCATAAAGAACTTCATAATTCCTTGAAAATTCAGTGAATAATTATCACTTCATTAACATTGTTTGCATCCTAGCTTACTATATTTTAGCTGCTATAATCTACTAGACTTTTTAAGTTTTTCTTCCAAAAGGTTACATTTAACATGAGTTCCATGTACTGAGTCCATCAGAGGAATGCATTTGGAATGGATTCTACTTTTTATGGTATCAAAATTATAACTATATCCAGGGAGACTGAAATTCAAGCATCTCAAATATTCAGTACCATCTACTTTATAGTAAAGGTAGCTTCTAATGTATTCACAGGCACTATCAGGAGATGCTCATTTGGATTTTCTAATCAATAAGACTTCTTTTCCAACAGGAAACCTAATTTAAGAAATTAAGCAGATCAAATTGTTAGGCTCTCTGGATACTTCTAACAAGCACATGACTAGACACATTTATTCTGTAATCCTGGCATTTTGAAAACCAGGTGAAGTGCTACTTTATTTCCATTGACAGCTGCTCCTTAGCTTGATCAAGTTACTATCATGATATTCTCATATTATTGCTGAAGCTGTACAATACCACTTATAGGAAGACCATTGTATTAGTTTCCTATTGCTGCTGTAACAAATGACCACAAATTTAGTGGCTTAAAATAACACAGATTTATTGTCTTACAGTTCTGGAGGTCAGAAGTTCAAATGAATCTTAAGGGGGTAAAATCAAGGTGTCAGCAGGGCTGGTTCCCTCTGCAGGATCCAGAGAAGACATTCCTTACATCTTCCATCTGTTACAAGTTGTCAGCATTCCTTAGCTCCTGGCCACATGAATCCAATCTCTGCTTTCATTGTCATATAACCTTCCCCCACACTAACCCTCTGCCCCATCCAGATAATTCAAAATAATCTCCTCACCTCAAGATCCTTAACTTTATCACATCTACAAAGTCCCTTTTCCCATATAAGGAAACATACTCACAGATTCAGATATGGACATCTTTGGAGGCAATTATTCAGCCTATCAAACTGTGATAAGCTAAAAATGTCTATTATCAACCCTGTAGCAACCACTAAAATAAAACTAAACAAAGAGTTATAGCTAATAAGCCAACAAAAGAGATAAAATTGAATCATAAAACATGCAAAATCCAAAAGAAAACAGAAAGAAGGGAAAGGGAAGAAAAAACAGATGGGAAAAATAGGAAAGAAATGGCAAAATGGTAGATTTAAGCCTAACTATATCAATGATTAAATTAAATGTAAATTGTCTAAACATTCTAATTAAAATGCAGAGATTGTCAGATTGTATAAGAAAGTAAGATTTAGATATATGCTGCCTGCAGGAAACATATTTTAAATATAAAGACATATGAGGTCAAAAATAAAAGAATGGGAAAAGACATAACACACTGACCCTAATCAGAAAGCTGTAATGGCTTTACAAAGTAGATTTTGGAACAAAAAAAATATTACCAGAAGTAAAGAAGTTCATTTTATAATGATAAGTAGGTCAACTCATCAGGAGGACATAACACTTCTAAATATTTGCACATCTAATAACAGACCTTAAAAATACAGGAAGCAAAAACTGGATGGAATTCCAAGAAGTAGGCAAATTCACAATTATTGTTAAAGATGTCAATACCCCCTCTTAATAGCTGATAAAACAAGTAATAGGACAATCAGTAGGCTATAGAAGACTTGAACTTTGTAATCAATTAACATAATTGACATTTATACAACATTTCACCCAACAACAGCAGAATACACATTTTCCCGCCGTGGTTATACAGATTACTCACTGAGACAGACTGTATGATTGGGACATGAAATAAAACCAAAGAAATTTTAAAGGATTTAAATAATACAGTGTACTGTATGTTCTCTGGTCACAGTGTAATTAACGTGGAAATCAAATACAGAAAATTATCTTGACAGTCCCCTAAATATTTGTAAATTATATAACAATTCTAAATAAGACAGTGGTCAAATAAAATATCAAAAGGGAAATTAGAAAGTATTTTGAACTAAATGAAAATGAAAACATCAAAATTTATGAGATGTCACCAAAGAAAAACTTAGGGACAAATGTCTATGTGAAAAAAGAAAAAAAGGTTTCAGCTTCCACTTTAGGCAATTAGAAAAACAGACGAGGAAAAAATTCCCAAGATAGGCAGAAGAAAGTAAAAAATATCAGAGTTGTAATCAATGGAAAACAGAAAAACAATAGACAATATCAGTGAAACAAAAATTTGTTTCTTTGAGATCAATAAAATTAATAAACCTCAAGGTAGACTAATCAGGAATAAAAAAGAGAAGTCAGAAATTACTAATATCAGAAATAAGAGGGATGATACTACTACAGATCCCTCAGATATTAAGATGATAATACAGAAATATCATGAACAGCTTTATAATAAATATTATGAACAACTTTATGTCATTAATTTTGACAACTCTGATGAGATGGACAAAATTTTTTAAACAAACTACCAAAGCTCACTAAAGAAGAAATGGATAACATGAATAGTTCTGTATCTTTTAAAGAAATTGAATTTGTAATTTAAAATCTTCTCACAAAGAAAACTTCCAGCCCAGAGGTTTTACTGGTGAATTTTACCAAGCATTTAAGGAAAAGATAATACTATTTATACTCAAACTCTTCCTGAAAATTGAATAAGAAAGAACAGTTCCCATCTTAATTTATGAAGCCAGTATTATTCTGATAACAAAACCTGACAAAGACATAACAAGAAAATTAACAGACCAACATTCCTAATGAGCATTGATACAAAAATTCTAAACAAAATTTTAGCAAATTGAAGGGGCTAAAATCAAGATAACATATAAAAGGAAATAAATCATGAATAAGTGGAGTTTATCATAAGAATATAGGATTAGTTTAACATAAAAATCAATGACATTCAACAGATAAAAGAGATAAATTCAACTTTATCAAAATTAACGTGTTCTTCAAAAGACACTTTAAGAGAATGAAAATAAAAACCACAGACTGGAATAATATATTTGCAAAGGATCTATATAATAAAGGAGTTTTTCTATAATATACAATGATATTTAGAAACTCAGTTACATGAACATAAACATCCTAATAAAAAATGAACAAAAGACTTGAATAGACAACACCAAATATATACAAATGACCAATAAAATAAGCACATAAAGTGATGCTCAATATCATTACTCATTAGGGAAATGCAAACTAAAACCACAATAAGATACTACTATACATTTTTTTTTTTTTTTTTGAGACGGAGTCTCGCTCTGTCGCCCAGGCCGGACTGCGGACTGCAGTGGCGCAATCTCGGCTTACTGCAAGCTCCGCTTCCCGGGTTCACGCCATTCTCCTGCCTCAGCCTCCCGAGTAGCTGGGACTACAGGCGCCCGCCACCGCGCCCGGCTAATTTTTTGTATTTTTAGTAGAGACGGGGTTTCACCTTGTTAGCCAGGATGGTCTCGATCTCCTGACCTCATGATCCACCCGCCTCGGCCTCCCAAAGTGCTGGGATTACAGGCGTGAGCCACCGCGCCCGGCCACTACTATACATTTTTAGAACATGTAAAAACTTAAAACCTGAAAGTATGAAGTGTTTACAAAGATATGGAGGAACTTGAACTCTTATAATCTACTGGTAGGCATGTCAAATAGTACAACTTATTAGAAAAACAGTTTGGACGTTTCTTTAAAAGTTAAATATATACCTACCTTGTTACCCAGCCATTTCATGCCTATGTATTTACCCAAGACAAATGAAACCATATATCAATACAAAAACTTGTACACAGGTATTGAGAGCAGCTTAATTTCTAATAGCCAAAATATATACAACAACCTAAATGTTAACCAACAGATGAATGGATGAACAGATTGTAGTGTATCTGTACAATGGACTACTACTCAGCAATAAAATGAATGAACTATCAATAAGGTACAACCTGGATGAATCTAAAATAATTATGCTGAGTAAAAGATGCCAGACCAAAAAAAGAATATACTGTATGACTTCAGAATCATATAGTGTATTTTCAGAATATACAGTATTTCAGAATATATCTACATATCCCCAAAATGCAGACGAATCTATAGTGACAGAAACCAAAGTATTGATTGCCTGGAGGAGAGGGGCAGGAGTGATGGATTACAAAGAGGCGGATGGGCACGGCGGCTCACGCCTGTAATCCCAGCACTTTGGGAGGCCGAGGTGGGCGGATCATAAGGTCAGGAGCGAGACCATCCTGGCTAACACGACGAAACCCCGTCTCTACTAAAAAAATACAAAAAAAATAGCCGGGCGTGGTGGCGGGCGCCTGTAGTCCCAGCTACTCGGGAGGCTGAGGCAGGAGAATGGCGTGAACCCGGGAGGCGGAGCTTGCAGTGAGCCGAGATCCGCCATTGCACTCCAGCCTGGGCCACAGAGCGAGACTCTGTCTCAAAAATAATAATAATAAATAAATAAATAAACAAACAAAGAGGCAACCCCCTTAACCACCCACCATCTACAGACCATAAGGAAGTTGAGAAAGCTGTTGGTGTCCCAAGGGCAAAACCTAATAGCTCTTCAGATGTGGCCAACCCAGATAATGAAAAAGAGGCACATTTCAGAGAGGAAAGCTAGGAGCTGCGGCAAAAATTGAACTTAGCAGTTACTGGAAGTAAAAAGAATCACAGTCCAAGCAAGAAATGTTCCCCTCCTTTAGCGTAGGCTTCCCGTGGGATTTCAGAGTTGTGATGGAATCCACTGGTGCCAGTCAGGTGACTTACAGTGCACCTCCCAGTGAGAGGACTGTGCTATCCACACCTGATTGCTATGAGACTTGGTCAATTGATTTGTTCTGCCATTGAAATGTGAGAGAAGTGATATATACCAATTCTAAGCAGAAACTTTAAGAGATTCTATGTTTTGGCTTGTTTTGTTTTGTTTCTTGCCACAATAACAGCATTCTCAAGTAAGAGCTGCTCCCTGGGCTCTCTTGTATCCTGGTACAAAATGTGGAGCAAGGAAGCAGATAACACATAATCCAAGAAAAATAAACTTTGATATTGTAAGCCGCTGAGAGCATATACATGTTAAACTTAAGATGTTTCTAAAATAAAGTAAAACAGTCAGGTGGAGAGTTGGATACATGAATCAGATACTCAGGAACAGATCTGAACTGGAGATAAAATTTAAGAGTTGTCAGCAGCTAGATCGCATTAGAGGAAGATGACTCTGCAAAGGAGACAGGAATGGCCAGATATTTGGAAGAAAGCCCTGAGTAAAATTTTTGATGTAATCTCACTTTTGCTCTCCTCATTCTTTATTCCTTTCTCTTCACTTCCATTTTTCCAGCCTAAAGACTAATGTGCAAGCATCAAGCCTGCTGGGTCTGCCTCACACGTTAATAGATCTCCCTTTCACATTTGCTGGATTTTGAGCACAATTTGAACAGTGACTCTCCCTTCCTAGTTCACCTCTATATCTCCAGGGCTGGATGACACTGCCTTGTTCAGAGAGGACAGTAAACCCCATCACACAGGAGAGTGACCTACAACTCACCTGCACATTGCTTCACCTCGGTTTTTACCTTCAATTCTCTTTCTTCCACATACACATTCTACTCTGTCCTCTGGCTGTATCAATAATTGTTTTTTTAAAATAAATTTTGAGTAGATACATTGAAGGTTTGTATATGTATCAAATATAAAGAGCTACAATACAGTGAACTTCTGTGTATCAACCACTCAGTTTAGGAAAAAGAACCTTACCATTATCTTTGAAGTTTTCTTTTGCTTCTTCCCAATTCCATCTCCTTCTCTCCTTCCTCAGAGAAAACCACCAGCCTGCGTTTTGTGGTTCTCAACAAATGAGGAATAGAAGAAAACTTCCTAAAACTGATAAAGAACATCTACAAAAACCTACAGATAACTTCTATTGTGTCCGTGTTTCTCTCTATAATTTTACCAAGCATGTTTGTATTCCTAAAAAATGTTAGATTTTGCATGTATTTTATCTTCACATAAATAAAATCATTCCATATGTATCATTCTAATTTGTTCTTTGTGCTCAATATTATGTTCCTGAGATTTGTTTATAAAGTTTTATGTAGCTGAGGATTATTCATTTCTTCATCTATATTGTATGCTAAGGTATACCACAATTTATCTGTTCTGCTCTAGCCTTATTCCATTCATTTTGATAGCAATTAATAATTTCATTATTGTTCAGTTCGAAGTATTTTCAAATACCAATTGTGATTTTTATTTGACTCATGAGCTATTCAAAAATACATTTAATAAATGTTAAAAATACTTGAAGCTATTTATCTTTTGTTACTGACATTTCTTTGTTTTCATGGAATATACATTATTACAGTGCTATTCTATAGAAGTATTATGTTATACTTCTACGTATGTAATTTTAAAATGCTTAGTTGCCACATTAAAGAATAAAAATAAGTAAAATCAATTTTAATAATTTATTTAACTCAAACTATCCAAAACATTATTTAAATATGTAATTGTCTTAAAATGTTATCACAGGTATTTTAGATATTTTGTACTAGATTTTCAAATTGGTATGTATTCTACATTTATAGCACATCTTAACTTGAACTGGCCACATTTTAACTGCTCAATAGTTACATGAAGCTAGTGGCTACCATATTGAACAATGCAGGTTATAGTATAACAATTGTTTGAAATTAGCTAAAACTTACTTTTTGTCCTAGAAGTGGTCAATTCCATATGAGCTGGAAAATAATGATGTATTTTTCCACTAATTGTGTACAAGGTTCTAGATGTGAACCTAAATCTATCTTATGAACCTTAAATCTCCTTTATCTTTAATTAACTATTTCTTTGCTTGACCCTGGATTGCTACATTACACAACTATAACAAAGACATTCACCATAACAGTCTGGAGTTGTGCAGTTTATACTTCCATTGACATATGTGGTGGTCCTGGGCTGATTTGTCTATAACTGAGAAATCTATGGTAGATTCTACCACTAAGGTGTGGATTTAAGAATTTCTTTGTACACTTATATCAAGTTTTGCTTTATATATTTTGAGGCTATTTTAATAGGCACTTGTAAGTTTAGAATATTCATAGTAAATTAAACTTACCATAATTATCAACTATTCATGTTATCTATTTCTTCTTTAGTGAGCTTTGGTAGTTTGTTTAAAAATTTTGTCCATTTCATCAGAGTTGTCAAAATTAATGACATAAAACTGTTCATAATATTTATTATAAAGCTGCTCATAATATTTCTGTATTATCATCTTAATATCTGAGGGATCTGTAGTAGTATCATCCCTCTTATTTCTGATATTAGTAATTTCTGACTTCTCTTTTTTATTCCTAATTAGTCTACCTTGAGGTTTATTAATTTTATTGATCTCAAAGAAACAAATTTTTGTTTCACTGATATTGTCTATTTTTTTTTGTTTTCCATTGATTACAACTCTGATATTTTTTACTTTCTTCTGCCTATCTTGGGTCTTGGTATTAGGAAATGAGGAAACAGTTTGAGGTATCCCAAAGAAGTAGACTATATAGAACTCACTACTGCATGGTTGTAGTAAAAGAGAGAGAAGAAAATGTCAGAGATGATTCAAACCTTCAGAAATGACCCTTGAAGGTTTTCAGAAGTCAGGAAGAAAGGAAAGATCATAGGAGATGATGTTTATTTTGGTTTTTGATGTATAAAATTTTTGGTGTTGATGGATCATTAGGGTGGAGATGTTGAACATGCAATTATAAATCAAAGTCACAGGTTTTTGCAGAAGGGTCAGAGCTAAAAGGAAGAGAGTGATGATGAAAAACAAAAGGATTAGAAGAATGAATGAGCAATAGAGAAGAATCACATACATAGAACATGAGAAGAGTCATAGTGATCATGCAAGGAGGAAGGATCCCTGATCAATAAGCATACTTTTGCTGCTACTGTTGATTTTTTATCTTAATTTCAGTGCCCCTGTGAAATTCTCTCTTTAATTTCCTCCTGTCCTTACTTCCATCCAGAGGATCACAAGCTAAGCATTAAGATCTGCTTATGTGGATTAAGATGATAAAGTGATCTTTATGTTTTCTAATTTCTAATATGTTTTATGCTATATTGCATCCCCGACATCACACATCTCTCTACTTAATTTGGTTTGTTCCTATCAATATTTGAGATAAGTAAAAGAAAAGAAAATTTCACAGGAACTGCTAACATGTATTGGCTTAATGGCATATCCCAACATATTTTCCTTTTTTAAAGAAACCAAATATTGTCTGGTGCTATTTTAGAATTTAGTCTTATACTTTTTGAACCACAACTTATAACATTTTATTTTATTTTTTGCACACATGAACAGCCAGAAGACATTTCATTGTATTTGTGACTCTGCATATGTAGTTAATGTTTATTGCCAAAATAATATCTTATTACTTATTAAGCAAAAATTAAGCCTGGGAAAAATACCATAATACAAGTGCTGCATAGCACTTGTAAATTGCTGTTAATAGTTAAAATGATATGTAGTAGCAGCATATATACTGCTGAAGAAAATAAACAGACTAAGTTTTGAAGTAATATCTCCCGACCCAGGAACTACAACTTAGGAATTGTGTTAGGGGTAAGTATTGACTCATTTGTCGGGTTTGTGATTTTCAGGGAATTGATGCTGATTTCACATCAGAAAAGCATCGAGCAGCTGCAAGAAACCCTTAGACAGAAGCTGCTGAGTGATGATAACTGGAAGGAGAAGGTAATGGTAGTGTGGCTTTCATCAGCATGCAACCTATTTGCATTTTAAAAATTCTGACCATTTGTCAGAAGACTCTTCCGGATAGATTTATTTGCTTCTATGCACACTTTAGATTCCTTCTGGAATTTCCTAGACCAGACATGCTTATGGAATGTGTCTTTTCCAAAATATTAGACAACATAATGGAAAATAAAAAATTATAACACATTTTGGAATCTTGTAAGATAGCTCTTGGTTCTCATGAAAAAGCATTTTTTTTGCTTTTAAATATTTTCTTATCTCCTCATCAACTATCACAATCTACATTTGATCATATTCTTAAAACCAGGGAAATAATTCTTACAACTTCTCTTCTTCTCCTATAAGAAGATAAAAGAATGGAAAATGTTTTAGAATTATTTGGTTTTGGACTTTTGACATATATACCCTGACAAAGTAAAATGAATAAGCATTCAGCTTGCTATTATTTACAGAGAAATGTTTGCTGTTAGAGAACAAAAAAAAATTGCATTGGTTTTGGTCTTTGGACTTTTTTATAGTTTTCAAAGTTTCAACAATGAATAGGTATTACTTTCATAATTTTAAATAATAAAAGTAATATTTTAAAAATTGTTAGTCCATACCTTCTCAGACCATCCACAGCTCTAGTCATTGAGTTAAAAGCAGTCATCTTTCTGCCATAAACTTCCAGTACTCCTTGATTGATCTCTGGGCCCTATTCTACACACTGACCCAAAGCATTCCCAACTCATTCTCTTACGTGACTGGTATCTATGCCTAGCACTGGCCTTCTGCCTTAGTTTTCTTATTATGTCTTAAATTTTCCTCTAGAAATGGAGCTGGTCGCCAAAATTCAGATTGTTTGACTGAAGTCCTGACAACTTGTTTGGGTTTTATCAGATTCTTCTCCTTGGGGATTGACCCCATAACTTGTAACCTCAGCAACAAGCAGTGGCCTCCTTCAAACTAACATCTCTACCAGGAATCCCTCACTCTGCCATCCAGCATACTGAAACCCTTTAGGTATTCTTGCTGCCTCAGAACAATTTTAAATTTGTCACTTTCATTTCCAATCTTCAAACAGTTGGCCATACTCAGCCAATAGTAGCCCTCTAAAAACAAGTACCCCTTCCCTTGTCCATCAGGGTACACAGTCACGAAATAATAAAAATGATCACTGTAAAAACAGTACCACATGGGCCAAAACAAAATTGGAGAATATGGACTAATGTTGCTATTTGTGTCTCATTCTTATTTTGTTTTATTTTGTAGTATAGGCCTTTTCTTTTCCTTCTCTAAGGCCCAGCTTCTTTCATTCTTTCTCATTTTTATTAGCCTCAGGGTATTCAACTGACTGGTCTGCACTTATTCCCTTTCCTTATTCTTACCAATCTATGTTTAAAAATTGAAAAAGAAGATTATCAACCCTATTTTGTATAATCCAAAATATTCATATTAGAGCAATGAAAGATTGTTTATCCATCCAACTGATGGAACAGTTTAACACTGTGGTTAAGATCTAGTGAGATCGTCTCTCATACCTACTCTTTAAGGGACTAGAAATTAAAGTAACATTTTTGGAAAGCAATTTGTCAATATGTACCAAGAGATATTATAAACTTCCCATCCTTTGATTCAGAAATTTTACTAATGGAATTAACGTGGATAGCGATTCAGAGAGTCATTCCTCTTCTCAAACTCCTGAGCTCCTTCTCTTAGTATGATGGAGTAAACTTTCCTGCTTTTGCTTTTGTAGAAATTTCCCATCTCCATATTCACACCCCACTAGGGGTTTTCAGATACACTTCACTGGAGAAAAGGTCTCTGTTTATGATCCCCTCTAGTACTTCTATTCACTGTACCCTGTCCTTGAGGTGCTAACACAGAGTAAAACAAGTTAGTGTTAGCATCTGACATATGAAAGCATTTATGTTCTTGCTTTATGCTAGTAAGTTAATTTGGTGGTAAAAATGATTCTATATAATATTCTATAAGTTCTTGCTAGGACCATGATATCTTTCTAATGAATTAATTATATTGCAGAGGTATGTATATATGTATATATTTTCTATAGTATAAATGGACATTTCATTTCGTTGAAAGGGCACGACTTCTTGTTAATAAATGTTATCATTTAGCTAGCAGTAAATCAAGATCCAGACCAGAAAAGCAAAGGACTAATAATTATGCCTTGGCTGTGTTAGCTATTGAGACTATGAATAAAAAGTTCTCTAAAAGTCTTCTCATGAGAAAGGAGAATCATTAATATGACATTTTCATCTCCTTCTTGGGTCACTGTGCCTTTGCCAAAGAATGAAATGTTCTTTTTACAAATATATAATACACATTTTAAAATAAACTTCATAGCTTAAATGGTTTTAACATGCAAAAAAGTAGATAGCAATTTGTGTCTGTGCTTAATTATTTTAGAGTATGTAAAAAGCACACAATAAGATCAATAGTTGCTATGCAACAAGGATGGCACATTTTAAAATAACTACGTATTTACTAATTGTCATGGATTTTTATTTATTTCAAGTATTACTACTTGAAGAAAGCAAATTAATGTGGATGCTGAACCTTTAAAATTGGTTTTAAATGTACAATATTGTTACTATTTAAAGTTTTTTAATTAAAAAATCCTATAGCCACACTGCTTACATGATCAAATCGCATTATTTAATCACTATCACTTTTTAGTGCAATAAGCAAATTCTAAGCAAATATTTTCTTAGATTATCATCAAGACATCACACTTAAGAACGTTTTAGAATTTCACTAATGACCTCATTTAAAATAGTACATAGAGCTTTTGAGAAACCAGTAGTTAAACAAACAAGCAAAACCTTATTTCTTGGCTGAAGCAACTAGATTGAGAGTGAAAATGCAGGTGAGAAAAGTTTACTTCAAGAAATAGTCAATTTCAATTTTGAAGGGAGGCAAAAAAGAAAATCTCAAATTAGTTTTCAAAATTAAAGAACCAAATGACCTAATAATTCCTAACGTGTTTTAGTATGCTATTATTAAAATTAAAAGAGATAATTTCTGACGTACAAAATGTGACACAGATGATGTTGTTATTTATAAAATATCAATTTTAATTTATGCATAATAAACATGGCTAAAAGGAATATTGAGGACATGCTTTAATTTTTATATTTTTAAAAATGCAGTTTTAGAAATTGAATTAATAAAATCTGAAAATTTTAGATCAGGAGTGGCCTGCGGAGATCATCTCATAAACCACTAATCTAGATAACAAAAATGATCTCCATTAATAATGTAATTTTCATTATTATGACATTATTATTTCCATTTTGCACATTAATAAAAACACTTACAGAAGTTAGGTAATTTGCCAAAGTTATAAAGGCAGGAAATAAGCTGAGAATCCACCTCCATGTATCTAAATACAAAGTTCCATATTTCTGCATTTGGCCAAGATGGAGTAATGGGGACCAAATTTACCCTCCTACCTAAAACAAATAAAACAGTGAGGAAACGATAGAAAACAATTGTTTCAAGATATTGGACATCAGGCAATGAAAGACAGTGATTCCTGGAAACAGAAGTCAAACAAGGTGAGCCCTGTGGTTGCCATAACTTAGTGCCCTGAAAGAAATTTCAGGTCATGGTTCAGGGAGTGGGAATCTAGTTTGAACTTGTCAGATTCTTTGAGTTGAGGAAACCTTGCAGCGTCCTGGGAGATCATGGTGGCTAAAGTTCATGGATAGTGTTCACAGGAGAGAGTTGCACAGGGAAGAACACTGGCGATCTACAAAAAGTCCGCCTTGCATATGTTTATGATCAATGTGTACATGTGGGAAAATGACATAAAGCCAGCGACAGACAGAGCCAGAGAGAATATTGAATACTTGCACATGGCCAGTAATTTGCATTTCCATCAGCCAGACTGGTAAACCTGTAATTTATAAGGCCCTAGGTAGAGTGCTCAAAAGGGTCTTGCATCACAAGTTGAGAATACTTAGCCCTAGATGAAATGCTGATTTGATTCTGCATAATACATTTTAAAAGGAAGGCCTAAAATAATCAAGCTGATTTCAAGAAACTGAACTGCATCCTAGGACAGAGCTCAAGAATATTCATAGGAATACAAAAATATCTAGCACCGAACAAGGTAAGTTAACAATGTCTGGCATCCAGTGAAAAATTGCCATCCTTGGAAATATACAAGAAAATAGGGCTCAAAATGAAAAGAAAAATCAATAAATAAAAACTGACCCAGAAAGGCACAGAAGTGAGAATTAGCAGAAAAGACATTAAAACAAATATGATAACTGTATTCCATATACCCAGAAGCTAAAGAAAAAATTGACCATGTTAAGCAGAGAAATGGAAGATATAAAAAAGACCAGTTACTGAGTTTTGACAGATGAAAATTAGATTATCTGATATTAAAAGTACACTGGATTGGATTGATGGCAGATTAGACATTCCAGAAGAAAAGCTTAGTGAACTTGAAGACACAGCAATAGAAAAACTTTTTAAATAAAACAAGATAGAATAGACTCCAAAACAAAAACAAACAAAAAAAACCTCAGAAAGAACATCAGTGAGCCATGAGACAGATTCAAGAGGCCCAATATATGTGTAATTGAAATTCCTGAAGGACAAGAGACAGAAGAGGGAACAAAAAAAATTGAAGAAATAATGACGGAAAGTTTTACAAATTTAATGAAAACTAAACACCCACAGTTTTAAGAAGCTCAATAAGCCTCAGGCACAACAAACCCAAGTTCACCAAGGGAAATTATAATCCAGTTGTCCAAAACAGTAATAAAAAGAATATTTTAAAGCAACTGGATTTTTTAAAAGACCTTATATAGAGAGGAAAGGAGACAGCAGATTTTTTTTAAAATCAGAAACAATGCAAGCAAAAAGATAGTAGGATTGAAAGTACTAGAAGAAAGTTAGGGGGGCAATGAGGAAAGCTGTCAACCTAGAATTCATACCAAGTGAAAATATCTTTCAAATATGAGAGTAAAATGAAGACTTCTTCAGAAAGCACTGAAAAAATGTATTACCAATAGACCCACGCTATAAAAAATGTTAAAAGAAGTCCTTTAGTCAGAAGGAAAGCTATACCAGATGGAAATATGGATCTACACAGAGGAATGTAGAAAACCAGAAATAGTAACACTGTGGGTAAAGATATGGGGTGTTTTTTCATTATTTAAATTTTTAAAAATATAATTGATGATATTTATAACATAGAAGCAAAATATATGACAATAATAACACAATGGCTGAGAGGGTAGAAGTGGAAATATATTACTGTGAGATTCTTATACAATACATGTAGTGATATGTCATTAGAAAGTAGACTGTATTGAATTAAAGACATATTCTCCAAACCCTAAAATTATAGATAATAAGCCAATAAAGGAGACAAAATTGAATTTTAAAATAGCAATCCTAAAGAAGACAGGAAAATAAGGGAAAGAGAAAAAAGATGAGATGGGCCAAATGGAAAACATAGCAAGATAGTAGATTTAAAGCTAATTATATCAATAATCACATTAAATGGAAATGATCTAAACCAGAGATCAGCAAACTTTTTCTATAAAGGACCAGTTAGTTAATATTTTTGGTTTTGTATGACATACAGTCTCTGTCACAACCATTCAACCCTGTCATTGTAACATATAAAAGCAACCATAGACAATATACAAATGAATGGGCATGGCTGAATTTAGTCTGTGGGCCGTAGTTGGCTAAACTCTGGTCTAAATATTCTATTTAAAAGGCAGAGATGTTTATCTTGGATAAAAATGCAACACCTTACTATATGTTGCCTATAAGAAATGTACTTTAGGATGTGAGGGAGACCTGGCTGCGACATCTGTCACTCTGTTGATTACCAGGGTTGATTTGGTTGATCTGGCTGACTAAGCAGGTGTCCCCATCCTCCCTTACTGCTCTATATGTGACCTTCTTGAAGCTGCACGTGTTCTGGTAGAAGAGGATGACCTTCCTTGATAGAGGAGAACCACATTCTTCTGTAAAGGGTATACGAGTAGCTGTGCTCCTCCCCTGCTAGAACTTCTAAATAAGCTCTCAAGAAATGCACTTTAATATAAAAACACAATAGATTAAAAGTAAAGAACGAAAACACAAAAGAAAGCTGGAGGCCAGGCGCGGTGGCTCACGTCTGTAATCCCAGCACTTTGGGAGGCCGAGGCAGGCGGATCACGAGGTCAGGAGATGGAGACCATCCTGGCTAACACAGCGAAACCCTGTCTCTACTAAAAATACAAAAATAAAATAAAAAATTAGCCGGGCATGGTGGCAGGCACCTGTAGTCCCAGCTACTTGGGAGGCTGAGACAGGAGAATAGCGTGAACCCAGGAGGCGGAGCTTGCAGTCAGCCAAGATCAGGCCACTGCACTCCAGCCTGGGCCACAGAGCGAGACTCTGTCTCAAAAAAAAAAAAAAAAAAAAAAAAGAAAGCTGGAGTAGCTATATTACTATCAACAAAGTAGATTTCACAGCAAAGAAATCAGAATACTTAATATTTTGCTAGGATTAAAGGAAGATATTTAATAATGACAAAGGGATCAGTTCACCAGGAGGACATAATAACCCTAAATGTTCATTCACCTAAAAACAGAGCTTACAATTACATGAAGCAAAAACTGATAGAACTGTGAGAAGTAAATTCACTAGTTAGAGCCTAAGATATCAATTCCTTCTCTCAATAATTGATAGAAAAATAGCCAGACAATCAGTAAGGATTTATACAATGGAAAATGGTATAAATTTATTAACAGATATATTGAACGATATTGTTAACAAACTTGACCTAAATTATATTTATAGAATTCTCAATTTGACAGCAGAATACACATTCTTCTCAAGTGCACATGAACATCTTACCAAAATCGACCATATTTTGGCTTATAAATAAGTCTCAATAAGTTTAAAAGGATTCACATCATACAAATATTTTCTCTGACCACAATGAAATAAAATTAGAAATCGTTAGCAGAAAGTTATCTGGACAATCCTTAAATATTTTGAAACTAAATAAATACCAAGACCACGCCCTGAGCCCACTATGCTGTACAGATGTAGGGGTTGGGGGGACAGCTTACATGAAAAAAAAACTAAACACACTGAGCTATAGAGTTCACCGGCAACACCTGAGTATACACATTGTTTCCACCTTGTAGTTGCTCTATGATCTTGGTGAAGTTACTTACTTCTCTGAGCCTATCTCTTAATCGAGACAGTGGGAGTAATACTTCTATTATTCTATGTTATTCTTAGAGTTGTAAGAATTAAAAGAGTTAATATATAGAAAGTGTCCTATACCATACCACCCTAGCTTGTATTCATTTACTCAGTGAACATTCTCTCCTTCCAACCTAAGTTCACATAGTTCTTGACAGGATTTGACCTGCAGCCTACATATTCTGATTCCTTAGCATTCATTTTTTAACTGCAAATTCTGTTTTGAATAATCATCTGCTTTTATTATTTATTCAGTAGCTATTTCAGAAATAATCTAAAGTACTGTAATAATTTGCAATCAGTATTCATTTTTAAGTTTTGTAAAATAGTACAATAATTTATTTTAGGAGCCATATCTTTAAAAATTATATATGCATATCAAATATAAGCAAATTATTTGATTCCTACTTTGGCATCTAAAATTCCCATTGGTTTTAAAGGTATCATTGAGTAATAAATGGTCATATTATAACATGGTGTTTGGCTCCATGTTCAATAAGAAAAATGATAATAACAAAGTCAACCACAAAGACCTCGCTTGGAAAATAGTGAAAAGGCAGTATTTTGCATATTGGTATTAAATACAGATTTTATAAAGTACTAATTATGCATTTCAACAACAAATACAAAAGAAATTTAAAAACAATGCTCTGAATGCTCTGGAGTCATCCGGTGGCCTTCACCAAGGAGATGGAGTTTCAGCTAGAAGAGGATATAGATAAATAAAAACCAAAAATAATTAAAACCTGGGATGTGTACAAAGATAATAATTGATTTTACTTTGTGTAATTCTTAAGTTAATATTATTCATGCTTTTTTAGAAATCATAATTTTCTTCTTATCAAAATTACTATTAGTTATTGTATAAAGTGGTTCATGCTTTATATGTACACCATCAACAAATTTATTTATTTTGCTCAAACATAACTCCTGTCATCTAAAATATTTTAAATTATCAGCTCCTATCAACATTTAAAAATAAAAACATGGCAATTTGGCATGAATGCACCTACTGAAAGGCAAATAATGTACCCCTTAAGCAAATCGTTGTGTTTATGGGCTCATAATTTTGTTCAAACTAATCAGATCATGAAGGAACCAGTAATCTCATTTCTCTGTGCTAACACGTCAACACATTCAGATGGCTCTTAGCATCCCACTGCAGCTTTCCTAAGTGTTTGAAATCCCATGTGAAAACTCATCACTCTGCTTCTTTTTCTCAGATTGTGCAAATTAAAAACAAAGCTAGTAATAGTCAATCATTCTTCTCCCTTTTGTCTACAGTGCTTGTTCTTTCCCACTGTCCATATATTTATTCCTTCCTTGTTTTCTCTCTTTACCTACAGTAGTTCAAAGAATAGTTCAGGGGCAACAAGATCTTGCTTTCTAACTCGAGTAAAACAGAACATTCAGCTCATTCAAGCCATCAGCCATCACCTTTTCTTCCCTGAATATTTTATTTCAACTTCATCAAAGGGACCCTGCTGATTTTCTTTTATTATTATTATTATTATTATTATTATTATTATTATTATACTTTAAGTTTTAGGGTACATGTGCACAATGTGCAGGTTAGTTACATATGTATACATGTGCCATGCTGGTGTGCTGCACCCATTAACTCGTCATTTAGCATTGGGTATATCTCCTAATGCTATCCCTCCCCCCTCCCCCCACCCTACATCAGTCCCCAGAGTGTGATGTTCCCCTTCCTGTGTCCATGTGTTCTCGTTGTTCAATTGCCATCTATGAGTGAGAACACGCGGTGTTTGGTTTTTTGTCCTTGCGATAGTTTACTGAGAATGATGATTTCCAATTTCATCCATGTACCTACAAAGGACATGAACTCATCATTTTTTATGGCTGCATAGTATTCCATGGTGTATATGTGCCACATTTTCTTAATCCAGTCTATCATTGTTGGACATTTGGGTTGGTTCCATGTCTTTGCTATTGTGAATAATGCCGCAGTAAACATACGTGTGCATGTGTCTTTATAGCAGCATGATTTATGGTCCTTTGGGTATATACCCAGTAATGGGATTGCTGGGTCAAATGGTATTTCTAGTTCTAGATCCCTGAGGAATCGCCACACTGACTTCCACAATGGTTGAACTAGTTTACAGTCCCACCAACAGTGTAAAAGGGTTCCTATTTCTCCACATCCTCTCCAGCACCTGTTGTTTCCTGACTTTTTAATGATTGCCATTCTAACTGGTGGGAGATGGTATCTCATTGTGGTTTTGATTTGCATTTCTCTGATGGCCAGTGATGATGAGCATTTTTTCATGTGTCTTTTGGCTGCATAAATGTCTTCTTTTGAGAAGTGTCTGTTCATATCCTTCACCCACTTTTTGATGGGGTTGTTTGTTTTTTTCTTGTAAATTTGTTGGAGTTCATTGTAGATTCTGGATATTAGCCCTTTGTCAGATGAGTAGGTTGTGAAAATTTTCTCCCATTTTATAGGTTGCCTGTTCACTCTGATGGTAGTTTCTTTTGCTGTGCAGAAGCTCTTTAGTTTAATTAGATCCCATTTGTCAATTTTGTCTTTTGTTGCCATTGCTTTTGGTGTTTTAGACATGAAGTCCTTGCCCATGCCTATGTCCTGAATGGTAATGCCTAGGTTTTCTTCTAGGGTTTTTATGGTTTTAGGTCTAACATTTAAGTCTTTAATCCATCTTGAATTAATTTTTGTATAAGGTGTAAGGAAGGGATCCAGTTTCAGCTCTGCTGATTTTCTAATTGACCTAATCTCCATAATAATTTTTGAAAACTTTTTTTGAAGGTTCTTCTAAAGTCCTTCTGTCATCTAATTTTTGTCTTGTTCCACCAAGTTTGCATATATTCTCACTGTCTTAATTTGAGCAATCAATCCGTATTTGGAAAGATGTCGTTTTGTCCTAAAATAGCTATTGGGCTCTACTAATTAACCACAGAAGATTTTAAAAAATACTTGATACCTTAGCACCTCAATACACATTTTTCTTGAGCTTCTCAAAATAGTTTGTTGCTCTTTTATTAATAGTGCCAGAGCATCTTATGAACTATTAATGCTTATATTATTCACTTATTGATTACTATTAATATTTAAGAACTATGTGACTATTAATTATTAATAATTAATTAATAATGGAATGTTATTGATTATTAACTTTTATATTAATATTATACCTTCCAATTTTTCCAAATGTATTACATTTGGTTTCTCCTTTCATATATTCTTGACTTATCTATGCCAGAGTGGCCAAAGCACAGTGATCAAATGAGAAAAGTAGTGGAAGTCAGACTGGAGGAATCCAGGACTGCCACCATACACAGTGTTTAAGTTGCACCCTGCAACAGGCCAAGGCAGCAAAGCGAGATGGAATCTAGCCTGTACTCTGCTCATCAAGTCCTATGACTGGCATGAGACTGTTTTCATCTAAGGATGGGGTGCTTTGTCAGTTTACACAAAGGTGTCATATGGGCTAGTAGTCGCCCCGTAAAAGGCCATATACAGGAGTTTTGATATATTAATGCACTGAGAAACCACGAAGAAGGAATAAAAAAATCTAATTTATAGTTTGTAAAGAATACTGTGCTGTGTGTAGTAGCATGGGTTGGAGTGAAGCAGGAGTGAAAGTAAGGAGGCTGTTCAGGAAGTGATGGTGGCCAGAACTAGGTGATCAGGAAGTGCTGATGAAAGTTGAGACATAGAGAAATGGATGCAAAGCATCTTTTGAAGGTAAAATGAATAGGATTTTGTGTTGGATTGGGTGGGGAGGGTAAAGGAGAGAGGTATGAAAGATGATGTTCCAGTCACTAACTTGAGTAACTAGATGGATGGTAGAGCTGTGTCCTGAAATAAGAGGGAGAAACAGGCTTTGGGAAGAGTGTTGTTACAAGATTTCTGGGCCATACAATTCATTGGAGGCACCTGTGAATTATCTAAATGGCTACCAGGAGGCAAAGTGGATTTAAGTACCTGAAATTCAGAGGAATATCTTCTTTTTTTCTGAGTGCCCCCTGAGACTTCCTTTGTCTTCAGCAGTCTGAGAGCAGCCCATCTGAATAATTCTGTAATTCTGTAATGTTGCTAATAAATCATCAGTAGCCTATTATCCCAAACAATCCAGAAGTTTATTTTGAAAGAGCCAAAATAACTCTTTGCATTCAGTACTGTATAAACATAATTACATTCCCTTAAGGCAGATGCTTAGTCCTATACCCAGTACAATAAAACCAATTGACCCCACACTGGGGCTAGTCTTCCATCAGTATTTTATTTAATGTAAAGGGCTTCCTTTAACTTTCTTAGCAATATTTGTGTCCTTGTACCCTGGCTTCATTGTTCTCTTGAGAAATTTAGGTTGACCTCTTTCCCTGTCTTGGTGGCCTAAATCACACAGTCACCATCAGTTGTGAGTTTTTCTCCCAATTTACCTGGCTTTACCCTCTCTTAGAGTTTATAATCCTGGCACAGTATAAATCTAGAGCCAGACTGTCACTGGGATTTCCTTTTCCAGTCTCTCTAGATGAACTCCCAGGAGTAAATGACTCCAGTTCTAATAGATTTCTTCTCTTTCTTGTTTCAGTAGGCAGAGCCAAAACCAATGGTTAAAAACCACATGGAGAGAGATGTTGGCTCAACTACAGGAAAAACTGCCTAATGCTTAGTGCTGTCTGAAAATGGAAATGCCTTCTGGGGAAGGAGTGAGTTATGGTTTCTGGAGGTGTGAGGCACCCAGCAGTCAGTCATTTAGTATGGAGTCAGTAGTAGAGACTGAAGGGTCAGAGTGTGGAAGTACTCTCCACTGACTGTTAAATTCCTACTCATGTTAGAGCTTTACACAGAAGCTTTGCCTCCTTTAATCCTCATAACAGCCCCTAAGGGAACTCGTTATAACCCTACCAGGAAGGGTTACAGTCACAAACTTAAGATCACTCAGTTAGGAAGTAGCAGAGCCAGGATTAAGAGCCAGGATTTAAACTCAACTTCATCTGCATCTAGAGTTCTTGCTTATTCTTTCCACAATTCATGGAAACATGAGAGATTGAATTAGGAGATTTCTAAGGTCCCTTCTAGCATTATGATTCTATCTGAGTCAAAGTATGGATACAGATGCTCTTCACCTTTCAGTGGGGTTACATCCTGATAAACCCATCATAAATTGAAGGTATTGTAAGTCAAAAATGGGTAATCTGTAGACATGATGGAATGTGAAAACACAATATCTAAAAAATACTGGCAACACAGTACATACACTGTACAGTATCAGCTGTTTGCCCTCATGATCACATGGATGACTGGGAGCTGTGGCCCACTGACACTGCCTAACATCCCAAGAGAGTATCATACTTCATATCAACGGCCCAGGAAAAGATCAGAATTCAAAAGTTGAAGTATAGTCTCTACTGAAAACGCATATTGCTTTCTCTCCATTATAAAATCGAAAAATCATAAGTCGAACCATTGCAAGTTGGGGACCATCTGTACGGACATTACTGACTCTTTTCCTTTAATCATCCTTCCCACTTTAGTCACATTAAAATGACAATCTGTGACTTCAAAACTTCTATGACCTCCATCAAGAAAGGGCCACTTGAAAAATCAACATTTGTCCTTTGTGTTCCCTCTGAGTTTTAAGCAGAACTTAGTCTAAGGCCCTCAAAATCTGCTTAAAAACAAAAACTTCAATTTTCTGAGTTGCTGGCAAGGACTGAGTTCACAGTATAAATGAGCAAGTAATTAAGCTTTTAGTATTTCTGAAAACTGTCATATAGTTGTAACTCCTCTACTAATTTTTCAGGTCTTAGAAGGTGGTGGAATATTTGGCACAAGGTCAATTTTTCTGGCCCAAGTTCTAAGTCACACTTTTTTTTGAACACTAGAATTTTTAAAATAGTTTAATTAAAAATTTAATGTCAGAACATTTTAAAACTTAGAGTTTGAAAATAAGCTTAATGTACTTATTTTAAGGTAAAAATAGTTTTACATGTGCTTTAAATGCCATTTCTAGATTGAAGCAGAACTTGCCAAGGAAAGGGCCCAACACTTGGTTGAATTTGAAGAGCAAGCTCTTCTCTTTAAGGAAGAAACAAAATTGCAACTTGATATTGAAAAAGAAAAACACCAAGATGTAATCCAAAAGTATAAGAAAGAACAAGAGGAACTACAAATGAAGGTCTGTAATTATGATGTTCATCATTATTTAATAGATTTGAAACTGCAGATGTTGTATATTTCGCCTTAGAACACTACAGTATTTATAATTCCAGTAGCTTTCACTCATGGTCACTGTGTCTTGGTTTTAGCTATGCAGGTAAGACGGTTTGGCTAATTCTCCAGAATGGATAACTGAGATAAGTTATACAAGCATGTAATCCAGCTATGTATGGATTTTTTCTACTGGAATAAACTTATTTTTTAAACATCATAAATTATATGACTAAAAATTAGTACGGCTAGATATTTCAACACCTCAAATATCCAACATTGAAAGATAATGAGGTGTTTTATATAATTAAAATTTTCCCAACCACTAAAGCATATACCCTTTAATTGCAAATATTTTTCATTCTCAACATTTCTGAATGAAGAGAAATATTTTTAAAATGTAATTACACCTCCCTAAATTTCTTAAACAGTATGTTCTAAATACTAAAGGTTTTGTTAAGGTTTTCCTGTTTTTATAGGACTTGAGTGTAGAGTGTGTATGTGTGTGTGTGTGTGTATGTGTATTAATCAAGACCTAGTGGGGAAATAACATTTTGAATACATGCATTAAGAGTCTGTGTTAATTAAGCATCAGACAAGACCTAATGGCTTCTACATTTGTGTACAGGAGGTATGGTACATCCATTTCAGTAGTCCATTGTGAACAACAGGCAGCACCAGCTACATGTGTACAACCAGTGCAATAGCACATGGTCCCACACTCAGAAAGGCTTCATGCTTTGGATTTATTGCTTTGCAGATACTACCTTGAAATTCTTAATAATCTAACTGGGCATGGTGGCTCATGCCTATAATCCTAGCACTTTGAGAGGCCCAAGCAAGAGGATCACTTGAGGCCAGGAATTCAATACCAGCCTGGACAACATAGCAAGACTGTCTCTATTAAAAAAAAAAAAGACTTAATTAGCCTAGTGTGACGGTTCATACCTGTAGTATGTTCATACCAGTGTATACCCTGGCTACTTGGGAGGCTGATACAAGAGGTTCACTTGAACCCAGGAGTTCAAAGCTTCTGTGAGCTATGATCATACCATTGCACTCCAGACTGGGCAACAAAGTGAGACTCCTTCTCTAAAAGAAAAAAAAAAATCTTAGTGATTTTATCTTTGAACTTCTGTTTTGTAAGTGAAATCCTACTGTGGCAATGGAGCATGTGCCACAAGCTTAGAGCCTTGGCTCCCCCAAGGTTCTGCCTCCCCTAGAGGGTTCTCACCTCTTGCTTCCTGGCTCCTGATGCCCCAGGCTCCACCGAGTCTCCCCCTTTCTTCTTCCTCTCACTCTGTGACTGCTGTTGCAGCCCTGGGTGGTTCAGGATCCCATCAGCAGGAGAATGCAGACAGGCAAGCTGGAACTTGCCAAATGTTACAGTTTCTTAAGAGAAGTCATAAATCCTGATTTTTAAATCAAGATTTTGTAAGTGAAACCTCCTGATCTTTAAATGTTGACTGCCTTTTAAAAAATAAAAACATATTTGTGGTTATGTGAACCTCCTCTCCCAAAGATACTTTCAGTGTCAGCTCTCCTCTGGGTGATGAAAACCACTGTGCAGACCTGACAGTGGCCTTCTTCCCTCTTGGATTAATTGAAGATAATAGAATATTAATTTATAAAATTATGAACTATGGTGAAGAGACTTCTCACACAAGTTATTCTTTCTGTAAATTTAACATTTGAAACAAATTTTGGATACATAACTCTTTTTATGTAACAGTTCACAAAGTCCTTGGAACCTTGGTCTGTGAATGTTTTCCAGATTCTTAGTGGGCTAGTTTCTTGTTGTGCTAATATTTATAACATGACAATAATTGAGCATAAGTAATAAAGATATGTTTCATTAGAAGCAGCTCTTGTTTCGTTGTTTTGTTTCTTAAGGAGAAAGAAAACAAGAGGACTTTTCCCTTCTAAAGACTTTCATGCCATCAGGAAAAGCTTCTCCAAGTTATTCTCTCATTCATTTATCTAGAGGAACCACCTTGAGAAGCAATACATTTTCAGAATATTCAAGTGTTTTCTACAACTGTGCTGTCCGTCATGATAGCCACATGTGGCTGCAAAAGTTTCCATTAAATTAATTAAAATTAAATACAATTTAAATTCAGTTCCTTGGTCACATTAGTCATATTTCAGGTGCTCAATAGTCAATACTCTTTTTTGAGAGCTATGGTTAGAGTATTTACACCATGGAAATTACATACAAATCTTGCTTTTTTTTTTTTAAATTTGAGAGTCAGTTGTTAAACATTTACCAGCACCGTCAGTAGTCACATGTGGCTAGTGACTACCATATTGGATAGCATAGAATATCTCTAACACCACAGAAAGCTCTGTTGGGCAGTACTGTTCTGGAAGGCATAGTATCTGGAGTTCCTCCAGCCATTATATACAAAAAAGAAAAAAAAATTATGTTAAAGAAAAATTTATTGGTACAGTTAGGGTAAAGTATAACTCTAGTGCTCTCCTCCTTGCATTCCCCCAAAATCAGGCATTTTGAGATCCCAAAGCCAACCTAGTTAGGTCCAGACAGTCCCCTGATCTACTTGTCAAGACTTGAGCTGAGGCTGGGCACAGTGGCTCACAGCTGTAATCCCAGCACTTTGGGAGGCTGAGGCAGGAGGATTGCTTGAGCCCAGGAGTTTAAGACCAGCCATGGTAACACAGAGAGACACCATCTCTACAAAAAATAAAAAATTAGCCAGGGGTGGTGGCATGAGTCTGTGATCCAGCTACTGGAGAGGCTGAATTGGTAGGATCGTTTGAGCGCAGGAGGTCAAGGCTGCTGAGAGCCATGATTACACCACTGCACCACTGTGCTCCAGCCTTGGCAACAGAGCAAGACCCTGTCTCAAAAAAAAAGACTTGTGCTATCCTTTGTAGCTTAATATAGTCACAGAAATTTATATATTTCCAAAAGTGCCCAAGTGATTAATGTGATACTGTTTTAAGTAGAAAAATAAATGTTTTAGTCTTTTAAAAAGAAAATCTTGAAGGCCTGCACATCATGGGTTTGGTTTCATCTGATCAAGTGAGTACACTGATTAATGAAAATAAACCTCTTAAAAACCATAAGAATTCTGTGGTTACCTAGAAACTATCGCCTACAAGCTAATATGAGATTTATCTTACAGATATCTGACTTAATCACAGGCGCTACAAGAGATCTAAGGCAGGAAGTGACCACTCTTAAAGAAAAACTTCACAAATCCCATATTCGGTACACTGAAGAATCTAATTCAAAGGAAAAAGAAATTGAAAATCTTAAAAATTTGGTTGCAGAATTTGAATCTCGCTTGAAGAAGGAAATTGACAGTAATGATTCAGTTTCAGAAAACTTGAGGAAGGAAATGGAACAGAAGTCGGATGAACTGAAAAGAGTAATGCTGGCTCAAACACAACTGATAGAGCAATTTAACCAGTCCCAGGAAGAGGTAGGAAGCAGATAGTGGTAACTTTGCAATTAATCAAAGAGCACATGTTCTTTCAACAAACAAACAAAAACGTGAAAGGCAGCTTAGTTTCATGGAAAGAGTCCTGGAATGTTAGTCTGACCTAAATCACATCCTGGTGCTCTGTCCTTAATCACATCCTGGTGCTCTGTCCTTAACTTTAGGCAGTCACTTAGCCTCTCCAGACCTGGCTTTCCTGTGAACTACATAATCTCTAAAAGTTTCCTTAGCACCTAGTTCTTTCTTGCAAATAACTATTTTAAGCCTCTAAGAGTAGGAATCTTTATATGTTTATGTCTTATTTGTTTTAACGTTAAATTGTTGCCAAATAAACTTTTAGAGAACTTTCTGCATACATTTAAAAAAATTAGACTATGTCTTTTAAACACAATTTTACCTTAGGTTTTTACTTCCTATCAATGTAAACTTATAAGGTAATATGCATGCGTCGGTTTTCTTTCTTATGTATGTATGATTATTTCAGTGATGGTTTTCATTCAAACTGGAGTAGACCTATTTTGATTTGAAAACATTTTTGAAAGTCTTATGTCTGAACTACTGAGCAGTTTAGAAATACTGAAACAATTCATCTGTTCTCTAATCATCAATATCATATCACATTACAATATTTGATCCCTTTGATGACAGTATAGCAAATAAAGGTAAATGGAGGAAGATTCTGAATGTTGGTGAGAAGTAATATCTTTGTTGGTTTGGCATCAGTAAAGGCATAAAAGGAAAGTGCTA
The DNA here is from genome assembly GCF_000001405.40 of Homo sapiens. Taxonomy (NCBI): domain Eukaryota; kingdom Metazoa; phylum Chordata; class Mammalia; order Primates; family Hominidae; genus Homo; species Homo sapiens. The sequence goes on from NC_000003.12 coordinate 157,029,168, forward strand.
ACAGCAATATCGATTATTAACAATTAAATATGCCATGGTCTTGCTATATTTAAATTATCAGCCAAAATAGAAAGTTTACATAATCATTGTAATTATGTAATTATGAAGTGAACCTATTACAAAGAAGTTATAAATATAAGATAAAATATGGAGTAGATAGAATACTAGATCAAGAATAATGCCTAAAACAACTCTATAAGTAGAAATTATTTACATGTTACAAATGAGGAAGAGACTGAAGAAGGTTGAATAATTTCCATAAGGTCAGACAGTTTGGTGGAGCCAAGATTCAAATTCGAATCTCTATGATATGATGTTTCCTCTTTTGGGAAACCCAGTTCTTATTATTCTGCTTCTGTATTTCACAGTGACCACAGACTTAGCAGTTATAATCTCCAGGGACTCAATTTTCTTTTAGTATTATAATTAAGACAAAAAGATGATTAAGTTCTCTTGTTGTTACACAGCAGCTCAGTCCCCCCAATGAAGGAAGCCGCACCCCTAGTTCAGGCAGGAGTAAGGAGGGAGAGCACACGTGGACTTAGCTCTGCTAGAGAAACCCTGAGAAAGAGAGAAGTGATGCTGATTTGCCTCAAATGAGACAGCAGTAGTGAATCTCTAGAGGAGGGAAGCAGGATAAAGGACAGAAAGATTGAGGCAACTAGACTAGCAGGTTTTCTAACTATTCATTCACAAAAGAAATGGCAATATAGAAAATGAGGAGTAACTTATAAACTAGGACAAACAGAAAAAGACGGAAGGGCCAAATTCAGTAAATGTATATTAGCATCTGTGTTACTCTGTTCTTGCCTTAGTCTAAAGGAATATGTGAGACTGGATAATTTATAAAGAAAAGAGGTTTAGTTGGCTCATGGTTCTGCAGGCTGAACAGGAAGCATAGTTCTGGCGAGGACCTTAGGAAGCTTACAATCATGGCGGAAGGTGAAGGAGAAGCCAGTGCATCACATGGTGAGAGAGAGGTGGGGGGAGGTGCCACATTATTTTAAACAACCAAATCTCGCATGAACTAACACAGCAAGAACTCATTCATCACCAAGGGGATGGTGCTAAGCAATTCATGAAGGATCTGCTGCCATGATTCAAACACCTCCCACTAGGCCCCACCTCCAACATTGAGGATTACATTTCAACATGAGATTTGGAGTTGACAAACTTCCATACCCCATAACAGCATCTATCTGGGTGCCAGGCACGTGTTAGATAGGTACTGGTGATGTAATTATGAATAAGACTGACAACTGCCACTTCCTGCTCTCAAAGAAGAATTTAAAGAAAACTTTGCATGAGTAATTAAATTAATATCCAAAGGAAAGAATGATCTAAACAGAATTTATCATAAAAAAAGCATAGACTGAAAGCTCGAACATTTGCATGAAGAGCCTGTATAAGTTATCTATTGCTACGTGACAAATTACCCCCAAGTTTAGCAGCTTCAAACAACAAACATTTATTATCTCATAGCTTCTGTGGGTCAGGAATCTGAGCATGGCTTAGCTGAGTGTCTCTGGTTTAGAGGCTCAAGTTCTCTCATGAGGTTGGTGTCAGGGTATCCACTGGGCTGCAGTCTCATCTAGAGGCTCAACTAGGATGGGATTGGCTTTCAGGCTTACTTATATGGTTTTTGGCAGAATGTATTTGGCCAGAGGCTTCCCTCAGTTCCTTGCCACATGGACCTCTCCATAGAACAGCTCAGTGTGTCAGCTGACTTCCCTCAGGGCAAGCGAGTGAGAATGAGAGAGAGAAGGTGCCAAGACAGAAGCCACAGTCTTTTTGCAACCTAATCTCGGAAGAGACATACCAGTGCTTCTGCTGTATTCCATTTATTACAAATGAATCAGTAAGTCCAACCCACACTCGAGGTGAAATCATTGCACAAAGATATGAATATCAGGAGAGTAAGGATCATTAAGGGGGCGTTTTAAAGGCTTCCAATCACAGGGCTTCGGGAGGTGATTTTGGCAAGAGAAAATAGACTAAAAGTGAAGAGTGGATTTCTTCATCGACAAAAGGAGCTGCAGTTGGAACTCTTCCTGCTCATTAGTTTTTAAAAGAAGCCACTTAGGAATAAAGCTTTTTTAAAAAAATGTGGACTGAAAGACATAAGACATTGGGTTGGTATATAAATGATCACAGATCATTGCTAGAGAGGAGAAAAGGATCATCCCAAAGGTAAAGAAAACCAATTAAGGGTATACTTAGGGGGGCAATTTCCTTTTGTGGGAGCGGGGAGGGTAGACTAGAGTTTCCTTTAGAAGTTACCAAAATATCACCTCAAAGTTAACTAATTCGAACTGAACTGTAAGAGTAAATAATTAAGGCTGCTTCTCTGGCTAAGCATGCCAGAGTCCAAAATATGCTTATAAAAATAGGAAATGAGCCAATAAAAGGGATAGGATTTATGAGCCAAAAAGAATAGAGGCCATAGCATGTAAAGTGAAAAGCACCACTTTTTTTGAAAATGCATTCCAGACACTTGAAATTTCTCAGATTCTGGAGAAATAAAGCTGCATTTAAGTGGAAAACAAATTCCCATTCGAATGAAAATAAATTAATGGTCTAATAAGGAGGCTAATTAAGAGGAGGAAAGCCCTGTTCTCTTTCAAGAGGCCAAATAATGGGTAGACTTTGTTTTTAATTGTATGAAGAAAGTTCTCAAGGATAAGAGGAAAGCCAAAGCCTCTAAAGGGCAAAATGGGCCTTCCTAAGTGGAGCAGGGATTATTGGAGGGCATCCCCAGAAACAGCAAGGGTCGCAAAGCAGAGCAACAAAGGGTGCAGGTCAATAAAAAGAGAAAATGGAAAATAAAACTGTGCTAGAAATGTAAATGTGAACAAGGAGTCCCTGAGAAGATACATTAAAAGATTGGAAAGGAGGGAGGGAGGGAGAGAGAGTGAGAGAGAGAGAGAGAGAGAAAGTTAATATGTTAGAGAATAACACTTATCAATAAAACCAAGTCAAAATGGGTCATGTGCTTCTTGATGCCCATTTTCCTTCCTACTGGTTCCATGTGAGTACAGTCAAGACAGTGTGACCCCCTATTACGGACCTTGTTGTGATCCAGAGGAAGAATGTGGTAAATCAAATAAACAGCTCACATACAATCACCGAAGGACAATCAGTACAGATAGTTCAATATTTTTGTTGTTTGAAGACCACACATAAGGGAGCCAAAAGAGCAGTAGTTTTAAATGCTATAGTTCTTGTAGTCATACAATGAAGATGAGTGATACTCAAAAATAGAAAATAATGCTCTTGGTTAAACATGGAGAATTGAATACATATGTTTATCTCTACTTCATTCCATTGCCACTAAAATGGCAGTCAATTAATAAAAAGTGAATAAATCCATTAGGACAAAGAGAACAGGAGAGGAGTTAGCACTTGATAAAAAAGATATTGGCCAAAGCTTACAAAAATGGAAAGCAAGTGTCTAAGAGATAAATAACTTATCATATAGAATACTGAAACCTAATGCCCGTGAGGATTGGGGATGGGAGGATTCAAAATGGAGAAAATCTAGTTATGTGACACAACACTGGAGAGGCTCAGGAATTGGAGAAACTAGATGCAGGCATAACTTGTTTTATTGCATGTCACTTTATTGTGCTCCACAGATACTGTGGTTTTTTTTTCCCCACAAATTGAAGGTTTGTGGCAACCCCTATGTCGAGAAAGTCTCTCAGTGTCATTTTTTCAACTGCATGTGCTCACTTTATGTCTTTGTGTCACAGTTTGGTAATTCTTGCAATATTTTAAACTCTTTCATTATTATTATATCTGTTATGGCCACAAAACCAGTGATCTTTGATGTTACTATTACACTTGTTTGTGGGTGCCAAGAATGGTGCCTATATAAGACAGCAAACTTAATAGATAAATGTTGTGTGTGTTCGGACTAATCCACTGACTGGCCAGTCCTCCATCTCTCTTCTGCTCAGGACTCCCTATTTGCTGAGGCAAAAACAATATTGAAATTAGGCCAATTAACAACGCTACAATGGCTCCTAAGCATTCAAGTGAAAGGAAGAATTACACATCTCTCACTTTAAGTCAAAAGGCAGAAATGATTAAGCTTAGCAAGGAAAGCAAATCAAAAGTTGAGATAAGCCAGAAGCTAAGCCTCTTGTTCCAGTTAGCCAAGTTGTGAATGCAAAGGAAAAGTTCTTGAAGGCAATAAAAGTGCTACCTCAGTGAATACATGAATGATAAGAAAATAAAACAGCCTTCTTGCTGATATGGAGAAAGTTTGAGTGGTCTAGGTAGAAGATCAAACCAGTCATAATATTCCCTTAAGCCAAAGCCTAATCCAGAGCAAGACCCTAACTCTCTCCAATTGTATGAAGACTGAAAGAGATGAGGAAGCTGCAGAAGAAAAATTGGAAGCTAGCAGTGGTAGGTTTATGAGGTTCAAGACAAGAAGCCATTTCCAGAACATAAAGGTATAAGGTAAGATAGCAAGTGCTCATGTCGAAGCTGTGGTAAGTTATCCAGATCTAGCTAAGATCATTTATGAGGTAGCTACATTAAACAACAGGTTTTCATTGTACATGGAACAACCTTCTATTGGAAGAAGGTACCATCTAGGACTTTCATAGCTGTAGTACAGAAGCTTTGAAGCCAAACTTCAAGAATTAGCCTTCAAAGGACAGTCTAATTCTCTCATTAGGAGATAATGCAGCTAGTGACTTTAAGTTGAAGCCAATGCTCATTTACCATCCCAAAAATCCTAACACCCTTAAGAATTATGCTAAATCTACTCTACTCTGTGCTTTATAAGTGGGACAACAAAGCCTGAATGACAGCACATCTTTTTGCAGCATGGCTTACTGAATATTTTAAGCCTGTTGATACCTACTGTTCAGAAAAAAAAAAAAATCCCTTTCAAAATATTGCTTCTCATTGACAATGCATCTGGTCACCCAAGAGCTCTGATGGAGATGTACAAGGGGATTAATGTTTTCATGCCTGCAAGCACAACATCCATTCTGCAGCGCATGAATCAAGGAACAGTTTTGACTTTCAAGTCTTATTATTTAAGAAATATATTTCATAAGATGATAGCTGTCATAGTTATTGATTCCTCTGATGGATCTGGGCTAAGTAAATTCAAAACCTTCTGGGAAGGACTCACCATTCTAGATGCCATTCAGAACATTCCTAATTCATGGGTAGAGGATAAAATATCAATAATTACAAAAGTTTGGAAGAAGTTGATTCCAGCTCTCATGGATGACTTTGAAGGTTTAAAACTTCAGTGGAGGAAGTGGCAGAAATAGCAAGAGAACTAGAATTAAAAGTGGAGTCTGAAGATGTGGCTGAACTGCTGCAAACTTGAACATATAAAAAGTTACTTCTTATAGATGAGCAAAGAAAGCCATTTGTTGAAATGGAATCTACTCCTGTGAAGATGCTGCAAAAAATATTGAAATTACAACAAAGGATTTGGAATATTATATAAAATTAGTTGATAAAGCAGTGACAGGGTTTGAGAGGATTGACTCCAATTTTGGCAGAAGTTCTACTGCGGGTAAAATGCTGTCAAACAGCATCACATGCTACAGAGAAATCTTTCATAAATGGAAGAGTCCCTTGATGTGGCAAACATCATTGTTGTCTTTTTTTTTAATTTTTATTTTCTTTTTGAGACAGAGTTTCACTCTGTTGCCCAGGCTGGAGTGCAGTGGCGCAATCTCAGCTCACTGCAACTTCTGCCTCCCAGGTTCAAGTGATTTCTGTGCTGTTGTCTTCTTTTAAGAAATTGCTACTGCCATCCCAACCTTCAGCAACTTCCACCTTGATCAGTCAACAGCCATCAACATTGAAGCAAGACCCTCCACCAGCAGAAGATACAACTTGCTGAAGGCTCAGATGATTGATAGCATTTTTTAGCAGTAAAATATCTTTAAATTAAGGTATGTACATTTTTTAGACTTAATGCTATTGCACACTTAACTACAGTATGTTGTAAACATAATTTTTATATGCAATGGGAAACCAAAAAATTCATGTGACTTTCTTTATTGCAATATTTGCTTTATTTTGGTCTAGAACCAAACCCACAATATCTCTGTATGCCTATGCCTCTGAAAGAGGGATGTAAGGGTGGAATTGAAAACAAGGCTGTTTGAAAGATTATAAAAGGACCAAACAGATCATCAGAGATGTCCTCCCAGTTCCCAAGAAGCCCCTGCCCACCATCCTGGCAGAATACCAGGGGTTTACTCTCTAGCAAAACTGAATGAGAAAAGGCACTGAACCTGAGGACAGAAGAGATAAAGCAAGAGTATATTAAGTATGGAGACTTCCCAGTACCCTTCACACTCTCATGTTTCAGAACACAAGTAACCAGGCTTATGTATTAATAGCCATAAAAAAAGAAATTGGAAGAGCCCCTTCTGGAGAAATGAGCTGCCTCAAAAGATAACACCAGCCTGGCAGAGTGGCTCACACCTGTAATCTCAGCACTTTGGGAGGCCAAGGCAGGCAGATCACATGAGGCCAGGGGTTTGGGACCAGCCTGGCCAACATGGTAAAACTCCGTCTCTACTGAAAATACAAAAATTAGCCTGTCGTGGTGCTGCACATCTGTAATCCCAGCTACTTGGGAGGCTGAGGCACAAGAATCATTTGAACCCAGAAGGTGGAGGTTGCAGTAGCGGAGATCACACCACTGCACTCCAGCCTGGGTGACAGCAAGACTCTGTCTCAAAAATAAATAAATAAATAGGATAAGACCCATTGATACTGACAGTTGGGATATTCCAATGAAATGGCTATATCCATGTTCAGTCTACCTACTTAGAAGGATATCAGCCAATAAACTGTATACAAGCACACTGAGCTTAAGGTAACATTTTGGGGACACATTTTTAAACACGAACAGCCAAGGATCACCAATTATTTGAGAAACATCTCTAATGTGAAGAACAGAAACAATAAGCAAAAAAGAACTTCACAGAAAAAAATACAAAACAATACAGGGAGCAAAAGAGAGCTTAAAAATGTATAATTAATATCCTCAGAGAGAAAAGAGATGATATTGTATTCATTAAACATAAACAGCCAGCTATGAAAAAAGAACAAGAGTGAATATTAAAATATAAGGACTGAAATTTTAAAAAAATCAATATTTGGGTTAGATGATAAAGATGTGAAATCTCCTAGAAAGTAGAAGAAAAAAGCAAAAAGATGGAGAAAAGAAAAGAAAATTCAAAGGAATAAGAAATAGAAGACAGTGCCTTCCAAATTCCAAAGGAAAATTATGCCCAGCCTAGAATTCTATATCCTGCCAAAACAATCCGTCAAGCATCAAACGCAGATATTTTCAGACTTAAGAGTTCTCAAAAATGATACTACCCTGGCAGCCTTTTTCAGAAAGCTGTTAGAAGATATATGACAGCACAATGATGGAATAAGTAATAAAGGAGAAAATATAGGAATCAGGAAATAAGGAATCCAACACAGGAGAGGGATGGAGGGAATCCCAGGATAATGGTGGGAAGAAATGCTAGGATTACAGCAGTGCATCAGATTGAAAGAATAACCAGACCAAAAGAATGGAAGTTTCTTAGAATGTTGAGCAGAAGAATGGTGGGTTCTTAGAAGTATGTCTCCAAGAACAAAGAGAAGCTGATAGCTTACATGGGGTGTTTGAACATGTTGAGAGGATATTTACACTTCTGTAAGTTTGGTGAAAAATTAATATCAACACCCAGAAAATGAAGCAGAAAAATTATGAGACAATAACTCTGGATGGAAGCTATGCAAGGAAGAAAATGTCATCTTAGTACATAACATGGCCCAGATGTGCATATGCTTATATACTATAATCATATAAAGATGAATATAGATTAAGCTAAAAATTGTGACAGAAATATGAGGATAGGAGGAGGAGCAGCATCTGTTGGGAATTGGTATAGGAAGCTGAACCCTCATCTTCCATTCCATGCAGTCAATAGATATGTTCCAAACTGAAAAACAAAGAAGTATAATGATGTTATTTTGAAGTACTGAGGGTAACTATCAGAAGAAATAGTTTAAAGATCTGAAAATGGTTATTCCTGGGAGGCAGGACTTGGAAATGTGAAGAAATGCTTTTTTCATTGTGAGTTTTAGTATTATTTTACTTTTTAGCTATATGTAATCCATTAATTTTAAAAAATTAAAAATAATAGAAAGGAATAAAGTATAAAAAGGACCTAGTAGAGAAGGTGGCAGAGACAAGAATAAAGGTCAAGCAAGGAATATTGAAGAAAAATCAGGAAAGTTACAAGTAAAACAAAAGCAACAGAATATAAACCTTAATGAGATTTTCTTTTCAGATTATGAGAAATGAAAAAATTAAGACAAAGCAGATTCTAGCTTAAACTTAGTAACAGGTGCCTAGTACACTTCTGTTTATTCCCCAAGTCTAAGTGCAAGGAGAACCCCTCCATGAATCCACAAAATCCCAGAGGCAAAATTAGCTATACACCTGTGTGCCTACTGCAGTTGCTTATTTATGCATTCATTTAACAGGTAAAGAGTTTTGTTGTTTTTATAGATGCTAAGGAAAAAATAAATCAGGGTAAAAGGGATACTTTCTGAAGGAGGGGTGCTATATTAGATGGGGTAGTAAGAGGACTCTGAGGAAATAATGAGGCAAAGAGCATTCCAGGGAAAGAACACTCCAGGCAAAGGTAATAGAAAGACTCTGCAGCAAGGAACATACTGGGAACCTTAAAGAAGCCACAAGGAAGTCAGCAAGCACTGCTGGAGCTTAGTGAGCAAGGATAGTGATAGAAACCAAGGTTGAAGGGCCAGTTCACATGGAGTCTTCGTAGGCTATGATAAGGTCTTTGGATACTTTGCTAGGTGTGATAGAAAGCCACCTAGGAATTTCGAACAAGGAATTGACATGATCTGACTTATTTTTAGAGGATAACTGACTTCTGTGTAGAAAATAGGTTGAAGAGGGCAAAAAAGAGAGCAAGGCTGTGAAGGAGGTGACCAATCACCAGATTTGGGATATATTTTAGGGGTGAAGGCAATAGAGGTTGCTGATTGATTGGATGATATGAAAGCATAAAAAGGAGTCAAGGATAACTCCAAAGCTTGGAATCTCAGCAACTGAGAGAGTGCTGAGATGGGAAATGCTAGAAAAGAAATACAATTGGGGAGGAATATCAAGAATTTTATTTGGGACATGTTGATCTTAATATGCCTGTTAGATACCCAAGTGGAGATGTTGACTAGGCAATATGTCCATAGGGAAGGCAAGCTGGAGATGTCGATTTTGGACAATTCCACATGTAGCTGATACTTAACCCTTGGGACTGAATGAGATCACCCAGAGGATGAGGTAATAGAGCAAGGGTTGAGAACAGGCACTCTTAACTTTTAGAGCCTGGGAAGAGGAGTAGAATCTAGCGATGGTGACAGAAAAGGAACTTCTGGTGAGGTGGGAAGAAAACCGGAAGAGAACACTATCAAGGACTCTAAAGAAAGACTGTATTTAAAGAAGGGTACATGCAATATAGACAGGCCCACAGTCCCTTATCTGAAAACTTTGTGCTCAGATATAAAATTATTTTGAATTTTAGAAAGTTAGTAAGTACAGTATGTCCTCATAGATGTAGGGCAGCCTCCCCATGCAATGACATTAATACTTCTGCAGTGAAACATCTGAATGTTCACATGAAATAGAATAAAGACTGTAATTAGCCTCCTATCAGTTCAGT